>NC_000012.12:131620114-131921738 GCF_000001405.40 Homo sapiens | reverse complement strand
GCTGACCTTCCCTAAGCAGGAGCTCGCTTTGGCTTTGAGTCGGCAGTGGTCTCAGGCCCTTGCCTGTCCTCCGGGGCTGCCCTGGGGCTAGAGGGTGGTGGCACCCACGCCTGCTGAGCCAGGCAGCTGGAGGGGCAGAAATTCTGTGATCCCCACCTGTAAAAGATGGGAGACACCCCCCAAGCTGTGTGGCTCCAGATGTGCTGGTTCTGCCCCGTGAGCTGCAGGGAGGCCGGCAGGCTGACTGTCCGTGGGGCCCAGGGCAGGGCTCAGCACCAGCGATCAGCGCCATGGGCTTGTCCCGAGGAGTCCAGCCAGCACACAGAGCCCACTCTGCAGGGCTCGGCAGGACGGGGGGCCCAGCCAGGCCAGAAAGGTCAGGCACAGATGCCAGTCAGCAGCGCCGAGAGTCTCCGCTCAATGCACAGCTTGCCTGTGGAGGGAGAGGGGAGTGTGAGGGAGACGCCCAGAGTCCCCAGCCCCCAGCCCAGCCGGGCACTCACACTTGGTGACGTTCTCGATGTCGGCCTGGTCCGAGAGCATGTGCTGCAGCCCCTCCAGGAGCAGCAGGGCCTTGTGGTAGCGTGGGACGCAGCCCTCACGGTGCTGGAACATCTCGTCCAGGGCAGCCGACTGCACCTGGGGGCGAGGACAGAGGCTGGACAGGGCCAGCTCACCCCACTCCCTCCCAGCAAGGGCTGCCCTGCACCCACGGCAGCGGCCCAGGGGTGGCAGATAGGCGCTCAGGGCAGTGACGTGGAGACATAAGTGCTGGTGCAGCCTGCTGTGCAGAGGGGATGGTCACAGGGCCAAGGGGAGACACTGCCTGGAACCAGATGACCCTGGCCAGCGCTCTCAGCCCGGCCCCAGGACAACAGAGTGCCCGCCGCTCAGTCAGTGTCATTACTGCTGCTGCCTGGCCTGCCTGGGCGGGAAGGGGGGCAGGAGGGAGGCTGACTTTTCCCATGTTTGTTCAGACTGGATTTTTACTACATGCTTAAATTTTCTTAAAAAAGGAGACTCAGGCACTCATGAGTTTTTGCCTGTAATACCCAGCATCTTGGGAAGCTGAGGCAAGAGGATCATTTCAGCCCAGGAGTTAGCGGCTACACTACACTTCAGCCTGGGCAACAGTGCAAGACCCTCTCTTAAAAAAAAACAACAAAAAATAAACGAAAAGGGGGCACCACCTCAGAGGCAGAGGGAGCTCTTCAGAGCCCAAGCAGGGAGTCTTTGCCCGTGGTACCACCTGAGTGCACCACACTTCCAGGCAGGTTGTCCGGGACCAGGTGCTGCTTCTGGAGGCTGACACCTGACTACGAGGCCTGAAGACCAAGTCTCTCATTTTACAATTGGGGAAACTGAGTCGGGGCGAGGCAGGATGCACATGGGCCACGGCACCCGTACAATCAAGGATGCACCCAGCCGAGCTGCGAGCGCCTGCAGGAGGCTGGGGGTGCATAATGCTGTCATTTCAAGACCTCCAGAAGTGACACCCCCCAAAGTCTCACCACGCTGTGGGCATCAAGGTCCCGTCCCAGTGGAGACGGCGGGCCTGGAAGTTCCTGGCCCCTGCCCCACTGGTGTCTGTCTGTCCCGTACCATCTGCACAGCGTGGCTGAAGATGAGCCTCTCGGCAGTGATGCTGTGAATGCGGTCCAGGAGCCGCTGCTTGTCCAGGAAGAAGCGCTGCAGCCGCAGGCTCAGGCCCTGGCAGGACACCACGCTGGCCTTGTACAGCTCATTCAGCCTGCGCACCACTGCAAAGGACGAGGGTGGTCAGCTCAGGGTGCAGCAGACACGGGGCAGGGCTGGAGTGGCCATGATCTGCCCGGTGCACTGAGCGAGCACGTCCCTCCCTCCCTGCCACAGCCCTGGCTCCCCGTGGCCTTGAGGGTGTGGCCAGGCTCCGCACCTTGTCCCGGGTGCCATCCGACCCCACGGCCTCTGTGCTCTGCATACTGGGCTCCAGGGTGCTGTCCGACCCAATGGCCTCTGTGCTCTGCACACTGGGCCAGGCCCCGGGGCCTCTGCACCTCTGCACAGGGGCCTACTCAAGCAGCCTCCCTGTTACCCTGTCACCCAGGCAGTTGCAAGGTGGGCTTCCTCCCCAACCCGGCATGTGGGCTGAGCGGTCGCAGCCCTCACCCTGCTTCACAGTGGACGACAGGCAGAGCTTGCCGGCCCGGATCTGGTCGATGGCACTTTGCAGGCCGGAGGACAGTAGCTCGGCCACCTTCAGGTACAGCACCAGCTGTTCCGCGAAGCTGGGGGCGGCAGGCAGATCAGAGGAGGCCGGTTGGTCCTGGCCCCCAGGCCACCACCCGCCCCACCCCAGCCCTGGCGGCACCCACCCCCATTCTCGGCTCAGCAGGCTGATCTGGTCGGCCACCACACTCTCCTGCAGCTGGTACTCAGGGCCCCCCGCCGCCTCACTGGCGCTGCCCTTCAGGGCTGCGATCTCCAGGACGTGCTGCACGAACAGCAGCGTGAAGCGCAGGCCACGCAGGATCTCCGTGTGCTCTTGCTGCAGGAAGCGGCCGTCAGGGCGGCAAGTGCTGCCCGGGCTTGGAAGGGGCTTGTCTCCCTTCAGACTCACCGATGACGCCTTGGGGAGGCAGGGCAGGGTACCCTCCCCTGCTGCAGCCCGGGCAGCTGGGATGTGCCACGCCCGACACCCCACACACCCTGCACCCCACACACCGTACACCCCACACAGCCGACACCCCACACACCCTGCACCCCACACACCCGACACCCCACACACCCTGCACCCCACACCCTGCACCCCACACACCCTGCACCCCACACACCCTGCACCCCACACACCCTACACCCCACACCCTACACCCCACACACCCGACACCCCACACACCCGACACCCCACACACCCGACACCCCACACCCCACACACTCTACACCCCACACACTACACCCCACACCCCCGACACCCCACACCCGACACCCCACACACCCTATACCCCACACACCCGACACCCCACACACCCCACACACCCTCCAGCCAGAATGGGAACCTTTGCTCACTCCAGCCCTCACCTCCATGAGGGTCTCCTCAGGGAGGTCGGGGGCCTCGAAGGTCACAGCCCCCTCCAGGTTCGCAGTAATGGGGTCGGCAAAGCTGCAGCCGTGTCCTGGAGCAGGGAGCTCAGGGGCTGGGGCCTCGCTGCAGGGCCCAGGCACCAGGTGGCGGGCAGAAGAGCTGGCAGAGCCAGTGGGGCCCGCTGCAGGGAGAGGGCGATGAGGGGCACACCAGGACCAGCAGACACCGTGGCCCCCATCCATCCCCCACAGACTCCCACACCTCCAGGGCCCAATGTGCCTCTGCCTCGGTTTACACCTGTTATATCCCAATGCTCCAACAGGAGAAGCACAGCAGGCCCCTAGAGCCACTCCTCAACCTCTTGCCACTCACCACAACCCCCAAGTCCCCAGCTCCCCACCTCAGGCCAAGGGCTGCGGTGCCCACCAAGGGACCCTCTGGGTATCCCGACCCCCAGCCCAGATCTGCCTGGGAGGAGGGCAGCTGCCACTGTCTGGAATGGGGTAGGTGCGTGGCTTGGTGTGCTACTGTGCCCCACAGCTGGGCCCAAGGCCCAAAAGGACCTCAAAGGGCAAGGCAGTCCCCCATCCTCGCTATGGGGCTGGCAGGTGACCCCAGCGATGGCAGCCCCTGGCCAGGACCAGACGCCCACAAGCCCACCCCTCCCCAGGCAGAACCCGCAGTGGGGACCCAGCCAGGCCCCAGGCCCAGAGCATCCCCACACACCACTGGCTGGGGAACCGAGGGGCACGCCTGTCTGCACGGCCTGTGCTCATCAGGGCAACTCCTGACCAACACAGCACAGCCCACGGCAGCTGGGCAAGGAGGCCATGATCCAGACACCGTCCCTGCTCACCTCATGTTTTGGGGATAAATGGGAACGAGCGCCTACCGCTCACAGGTTGAGTGGCAGGGGTGGTCTGAGGGGTGGATACCAGAACCACGTCCATTTCGCAGACGGGGAGACAGAGCAGGGGTTTCTCAGGGGCCTGAGCTGCTTCCTCAGGCACCCCTGGGCTCTGGGGGGCTGTAGTCCAGTGACCCGAGTTAAAGGATGCCCCCGTCCGCTAGGGCGCTGCCACCACCCCAAAAGGGACAGGGCTTCAGCCTAGCCAGCCCTCACCTGAGAACATCCTGGTGCGGGGGCCCTGGGGGGGCGTGCTCCCGCTCGGGGGAGAGCCCACGGTGAAGACCACCGGGGAAGGGCTGCTGGTGCCCCCAGCACGGGCTCCTGGGTGCAGGCTCCCTCCAAAGCCAGCTGAGGGTGCTGGGAGAGCAAGGAAGGGCTCAGGAGCATCCTGACTCCCGCCGACCCCCATCCCACAGCCTCCGAGCCGAACCCGACCCCCATCCCACGGCCTCCGAGCTCCCCCCAACCCCCGTCCCACAGCCTCCGAGCCGAACCCGACCCCCGTCCCACAGCCTCCGAGCCGAACCCGACCCCCGTCCCACAGCCTCGAGCCCCATCCCACAGCCTCCAAGCCCCACCCGACCCCCATCCCACAGCCTCGAGCCCCATCCCACAGCCTCCGACCCCCATCCCACAGCCTCCGACCCCCATCCCACAGCCTCCGACCCCCATCCCACAGCCTCCGAGCCCCACCCACCCACACACCGATCTCCATGGGCTTCTCCTGCAGGCTCTCCGTGCTGCCCGGGTCCGGGGCTTGTGTCCCAAACGCCGCCTTAAGGAGCAGGTCAGTGAGGCGGCTGGTGCTGAAAGACCTGTGGGAGTGTGCAGGGCTGTGCTGGGTGCCCGGCCCACCCCACCCTAACTGGACCTCGAGAGGTCCCTCTGCAGGCCAGACACACATGATGCACGGTCTCCTGGCCCACCTCGAGAGGCAGGCGCTCCTGTCACCCCAGCTTACAGGCGGGCATGGCGAGGCTCAGGACGGGGACCTGCTGTGGGTCTAGGGCCAGCCACAGGTGGGCCAGGCTCTCTGGCACCCAGCCACACTGGGCACCCACAGAAGGGCAAGGCTGGGCTTTTCCTGTTCTACCCCCCAGAAGTACCCAGCAGAACAATGCAGGGGAAAGAGGCTGCCCCTCAGAAGCCCGTCCAAGGCCTGTCCCCTCAACTCACCGGCCAAAGGGGCCCTTGGGGTCCTCGCCTGGCCGCAGGCCAGGGCCCAACGGCTGACCATGGAAGGGTCCCACCTCCGAGAGGTCGGGCAGCGTCCGGTTTCGAGGGGGCGTCATCACCACGCCCTGCCGGGCTAGGAGGGCCAGCAGGTTCTGGGAGCTGGGGGTCTTCGGGAAGTCAAAGGAGGGCACAGCCTAGGAGGACAGAGATGGGGTGAAGACTGCCCCGCAGGTCTGCAGCCCTGGGGCCCGGTGCCTGGGGAAGGGGCCGAGTCCGCAGGAACTGGCAGGCATGTGGGAGCAGCCTGAGCATGAGCCCAGGCGGGGGTCAAAAGGTACAGAGCTGCCTTCCTCGGTCTTTGTTCAGGACTGGCCATTCCCACACATCTTCCCCAGGGCTCTGTGCCCCTGCACACATGGCAGTGCCCATTACCTTGGTGGGGGAGCCCAGGATGGGGGGCAGGGGGTTTCGCTGCAGGAAGTCGGGCAGCTTGGGTGAGCCCCGCAGGTTCCGGCAGGACTGCAGGCCGTGGGACGGCTGGGGAGGGCTGGCCTGTGGTGGGCTGAACACAGCTCCCAGGGGGTCCGTGGGGGGTTTGGGCAGCTTGGGGCGGACGACGTGCAAGTCAGACAGGTTGGGGGCGCTGTGCAGGCGGCAGCCCAGCCCGGAAGTGCGGGGAGAGTGCTCGGGTGCAGAGGAGCCTAGAGAGAGACACGCCTCGTCACGACCTTCCGGTCCGGCGGCCCAGCCCTAGGCCCCACTGCTACCACACGGAGCCCCTTGGGGTAGACGCACTCCAAGGCCCCACTCTTTTTCTTTTGTTGAGACGGGGTCTCGCCCTGTCATTCAGGCTGGAGTGCGGTGGTATGATCTCGGCTCACTGCAACCTCTGCCTCCCAGGTTCAAGCGGTTCTCCTGCCTCAGCCTCCCGAGTAGCTGAGGCGCCACTCTTAAACCTGACCCTCAGCCAGCACAGAAGACTGGCACAGAGGGGATAAGAAACTTGCCCCAGCCCACACAGCCAGGAGGTGGAGAGGCAGTTGGCTTCTGTTCCACCAGCTTCCTTCCCACTCCTTTTCACTTGGAAAGAGCAAGGGCTTTAGACCAGGATGACAACGTGAGCGAGGGAGGTCAGCCTAGCACCCCCTCCCCCCTCCGGACTGCACCCACCTGGACGAGGGGACCTGCCACCCCGCATCTCAGCTCCCTGTGGGGAGGGCGTCCCGCTCCAGCCTGGCCGCTCAGGGATGGTTCCAACTTGGGGAAAAGAGAGATCTGTCAGGGTCCAGCTGGGACAGAGACAGCCTCCTCACCCACTGCCTACAGACGCCCCTTCCCAGGCCCCAGCCTGCAGGCGCACCTTGAGGAGATGGCGTGTAGGGCCGGCCTCCACCCAGAGACATCTTCCTGGCCAGGACGCCTCCATGCTCAGCGTGGGCAGGGGGCGAGGGGCTGGCCCTTGCAAAGCCCAGGGGGCTGGTGCTGCCTGACCTGCGGATGGCAGAGGACCTGAAGACAAGGCAGATATTAGGAGGGGAGGCCTCAGCAGCCCTGCCTGACCTGTGGACGGCAGAGGACCTGGGGACAAGGCAGGTATTAGGAGGGGAGGCCCCAGCAGCCCAGGACCCCATGCCACGCCAAGTGGCTACAGTGCTGACAGATGGCTCATCCTCTAATGCACTCTGTCCAGGTAACCGGCCACACAGTGGGTGTGTGGGAGGAGTTGGCCCCTTAGCTTTCCTGCCCGGGGTGCCAACCCAAGGCACCCTCACCCTAAAGTCTCCATCCCCTGCCAGACACCCACTGGCCCACACAGCCTTCTGTGAGTTAAAAGAAAGGTACCCTTTCCTCCCACCATTTACTTCTGTCTGTTAAAACTGGCCAAAGTCAATATTGATTTTATAAACTAGAGAGATTTTACTGATCAGAAAACTGTCAAAATAACTCTAGAAACCCAAGACATCAACAAAGTAAATGGTGGTGCTGAGTTACGCAGTGCGCAGCCTGCACAACTGCACATGGATGACGACCCTGTCCCTCTATGGGAGCCGTGGAAGGGCTCCTGCCACACAAGGCCCCAGCCACGCCTGGCTACCTGGGGGCTCCACACTCACCGAGGTGTTTGGAACTGGGTGGGTGACTGCAGGTTTCGCTCAATGCGCTGGTAGTTCTGCACCTGCGTGGGGACTGGGATGGGGACAGAGGCGCCGCACCTGCTGCTGGAGAACGGGCCAGCCCGGCTGTGGTGGAGAGAGGTCAGGATCATGACAGACACTGGGGTCACAAGAGGCTGAGGTCATGGAGCTGGGGCACCAGAAGAAAGCCTAGGCCCAGACTTCCTAGTTAGGGCAGAGGCCACCCTGAGACCCATGCCAGGTCTGAAAAGAGCCGGCTTCCATGCCTCTACACACACCAGAAATGTGGCACCTGCACCCCACCTGGACTCCCAGTCTGCACCCAGCCAGTGGGGGGCCACCCTGGCCGGGGCCCTGGCCATTCCTGGCCCTACAGGCTCGACTGTGCTGGCCCTGGCGTCCCTGGTTGGTTTCCTCATTCACCTACTCCTGTCAATGCTCCTCCCACTATAGTCCCTTCTGCAGGACGACCCAGCAGACCCCATCCTGCGAGGCCTGGGAGAAGAAGGCAGGGGCCTCTGGACACAGCAGGCCTGGGCTGGCTGCGACACACAGGAAGCCCAACCTCCAGCCGGGGGACTGTTCACAGCCCCATCCACCCAGCCTGGGGCCCTGCTTACCCTGAGGGACTGGGGGAGCTGCTGCAGGGTGGGGATGGAGATGGGGTCCGGCCGTGGCTCTCCAAGCCCGCAGAGGCCACCAGTGAGCTCCTGTGGGGCAGAAGGGAGGCCAAGGGCATTTTTTTGTTTTTTTTGGGGCAGTCTCACTCTGTCACCCAGGCTGGAGTGCAGTGGCGCAATCTCGGCTCACTGCAACCTCTGCTTCCTGGGTTCAAGCGATTCTCCTGCCTCAGCCTCCCGAGTAGCTGGGATTACAGGCATGTGCCACCACGCCTGGCTAATTTTTTGCATTTCTTTTTTTTGTCAGTAGAGACGGGGTTTCACCATGTTGGCCAGGATGGTCTCAATCTCCTGACCTTGTGATCCATCCGCCTCGGCCTCCCAAAGTGCTGGGATTACAGGCGTGAGCCACCACGGGCCAACGGCATTTACTTTTTTTTTTTTTGAGACAGAGTCTCGCTCTGTCACCCAGGCTGGAGTGCAGTGGCGCGATCTCGGCTCATTGTAAATAACACGGGCCACTTCCAAGGCCACAGTTTCTCTCCCCTAAAATACAGAGGTAAGGGATGGGGGCTCACCCACTGCACATCAGGCTGTCTGGCGGGGGTTTGGCACTGGGCGCCTCAGCCACCAGGTCACCTGCAGGGGGAGACAAGGCTGGGCCTGGAGTCCTTGCCGCCTGCCCAGGGCCACCCCACCCCACCGAGGCTCTCTGCTGGATCCCCACGCACACTCCACCTTGCAGGGGCCTCAGCTCGTACAGCGGCCTTGCGGGGGGCAGAGCCTGGGTGGTACAGTCCAGGCTGCATCCTCCCTGCCAGCCCCAGGCCAGCTCCGGGAGACCAGAGCGCTACCTGCCCCCGCTTATCCCCACTTGGACTCTGCGCCTCCTGTCTCCTCAGCCCCAGAGACCCCTGGGGCCCTGCCCCCCAGCCTTTAGCTAACTCCAGGATGGGCGGGGGAGGTCAGGCATCTACAGCCCTAAGTCTGGGCCCAACCCCCTCCAGGAATACCCAGGTTCCCACCCCCAAGGAGGCTCTGCCCTACCCCTGGTGTCCGTCTTCCTGTTGCCCTGACAGCTGGCAAAGGACCAAGGCCCTCCCCGGGTCTGTCTGGGGCTTGGCTCGGGCCTCACCACCCCCGCAGAAGCCATGCTGATGGGAGAGGCGGAGGGCTCGGCATGAGTCATTGTGTCCCTGGCAGACACGGGGACCAGTGCCAACCCAGACCTCCAGGAGCTTTGGGACAGCCAGGGACAGAGTGCAGGGCCTTCAGAGGAGCCACAGACCCCAGGCCTGCTCCAAAAGTTTAGGCACCTTCATTCAACAAACACGTGGGCAGCCCCTGGCCATTATGGAGCGGGGGGTTCCCCAAAAGCCAAGGAATAAACCCACCTGCAGGGTGTAGAGGCAACAAGAGTTGCTGAGAAACAAGGTAGGGGTACATGGCGGGGGAGGGGCATGAGGTGAGCGGCCCCCACCCATCCGAAGAGCAGCACTGTCTAAGGAGACCAGGCCTATGGCCTCCGACCTCCTACTGACCACTAGGAGGACCCGGCTTTGATTCCAGGAGTGGTTTTAACAGACACGGCCTCCCCAACCAAGCTGGGCCGATGCCGGTGGCTCCCAGGGGCCCATCCTAACTGCCCATAAGTGGAAATGTGTTACACACTGTGCATCCAACACATGCAATGCACTGTCCCCGCCGCACCTGAGGCGTCACCTCCAAGCCCAGCGTGCCCCCTGACCTGGAAACTGCGCGGGGACCATGACGAAGTCGTCTGTGTCACAGGAAGAGTCCTTGCTGCCACCAGAGTCCCGGGAGCTGTGCAGGAAGCCAGCGGTGTCAGCCGGGGAGGCCAGGGTCTTCTGCAGCTGCTGCATCTCGCCCAGGGACTGAGAGTCAACGGAGGGGCTGGTGAGCAGGTCTCAGGGACCTACACACTCAGGGGAGCAAATTCCCCCTCCTGGGATGGCCCAGAGCCCCAGTAAAGATCGGGGCGCTGGGGCTGAGAAGGGCTGGGCACGTCTTTCTTCCTGTGCTCCGCTCTTCTCTGTACTTCCAGAGCACTCCACTCAAAGGCCAGCTTTGACCTCGCAGGGACAGGCCCCCCGACGAGCCACTCTCACCATGCAGCCTGGGTGGGTTGAAGCCCTCAGCTCCCAGAAGCTCTGGGAGGCCCTGTTTTGGGGAGTTGTTCACCACCTGCCCTCTGCACCTCACTTTTCCATCGGCATAGCCAAGAGAACGAGGTACCATGGAAGGCGTGTCCAGTGGAGAGGCTGCCACCCCGGTGGGCCCTGCTCTGAGGCCAGCACCATGCTAAGGCCCAGGGCACACCATCCGTGCGGTGGTGGCTAAAGCCCCAAGTGCCCCAGGGCAGGTCTGCGGATGCCACAGCTCCCTACAGCAGGGCGCTGCCACGCTCCCCTCGCCACATCTGAGCTTTCGGCCATGATACAGGCAGACAACCAAGGTCAGAGGACCGGTCCCTGGTCACAGAGCAGGGGGCCAGGCCAGGAGAGCCCAGACATGAACTCATCACCACCAGCCACAACACCATGCCTGAGAGCCAGGCTCCCAGTCAGATGGACAGAGGGACGGGGGTTCATGGCCGACTCAGGTGCTCTGCAGACCCCTCCCATGTCACACAAGGAGTGCCATCATCATGTGGGGCCATCACCCTGCAACCCTACTCATGCTTTGAGTCCAATGGAAGACACGAGGGAGGCCAGGGGTGCAGGTGTCAGTGGGCCAAGGCCACACGCTGCTTCTGTCCACGTCAGCACAAAACCAAAGACAGGACCAGACCAAACAGCCGCCCTATCGGCCTCTGGGACCTGAGGGCTGTGGGTGTTGGGAGGGGCTGTCACCCGTTTGTGGGGCTTCAACATCTGACAGAATGAACTCATCCATGTCTTTCGTGACTCACACAGACAACAGAAGTCACAGCACGTCCCCGCGGGGGCCCAGGGCTGGAGCCCCTGACTGCTGAGTGGAGGGAGAAGCTGCCAAGCCCCTGGGGCGGCAACTCACCGGCGGGGAGGCCAGGTGGGAGGTGGAGCTGCTGCTGGAGCTGCTGCCGGACCCCGAGCTTGGGTACGAGGGCACAGGCACGGGTGGGGCTGAGATAAACATGCATAGGTCAGTCTGGGCCATCCTCCTGTCTCCTCCTCACCCTCGAGCCAACCCACAGACTGGACAAGCTCAACCATATCCCCTCCACTTCCGGCTACACCCCGACCAGCAGGAAGGAGGGAGGCTCCCTCCTGGGCCACCCTATGACTGTCACAGGGCAGCACCAGCCCCTCCAACACCCCATCCCCATCCCAAGCCTGCTGCACCATGCGAACCCCTGGCCTTGGGGTCCCCGCTGCAGCAGAGCAAGGAGCCGGGTGTCCTGCCCTCCCTGGGAGCTGGCCGCAGCTCAAGACCTGCTCCCTCTGCCCCACACTCAGTGCCCTAACCAAACCCGGGGAGGAAGGGGTGCATGCAGGGCCCATGCGGAGCCCCAGGACCCACAGAAACTCACATTTCCTGACCGAGGGGCTGGCATCGAGGAAAGGGTGATGAAAAAACTCATCTGCAGGAGGAAGGAGGAGTGAGGCCTCAGGAGGACCCCAGCTCTGACCCCAGGCCCCTGCCTCCCCACGGCCTGAGCTCCAGCCGCGTTGGGCACCTGCCCGGGCGGAGGTGGAGCCCCTGCCTGCGCTTGGCTTGTGGAAAGGGCAGTGTGCACATGGGGCTGGGTGTGAAGCCGGTGGGCCCTGCTCACATCAGCAAATGCAAGGAAGGAGGGTGGGGGACTCCAGCTGCGCCCCTGGTGGGTGCTCACCGAAGTCCATGCGGTCCTTGTGGTTGCGTTGCAGTAGGGCCAGGAGCAGCTGCCGCAGCGGGGCCGAGGTCTCCCGGGGGATGCTGGGGCAAGAGGAGGCTGGTGTGAGCAGGGCCTGCGGGGCCGGAGCCCGCGGGGGAAGGGAAGGGAAGGCGGGAGGGTGCTTACGTGGGGACCAACGTCTTGTTCTTCTCGTAGAACAGGCGCAGGTCCTGGGGGCTGCTGGCCTGCGGGGACGGGGACAGCCTGACTGCCAGGGCTGCGGCCGAGCGGGACCAGCCCACGGGGTCTCGGTGCGTTCGTCCCCAGTCGGCCCCTGCCCCAGACGCTGCGAAGCCCGGGGGAAACCGGGTGCTAGCGCGGCTGTTTGCTGCTGGAGGTATGAGCATGGGGGCGGGGAGGGGGCGCCGACGGTCTCTCGGGGTGTCCACCCCCCAGAACGCGGCCTCCCAGCCCTCACCCACTCGGCCCCGGCGCTGCCCTCACCTCTGACCAGGCAGGCGACCAGACAGGCGACTAGACAGGCGACCAGACAGGCGAGGGAGGCCTTGCCGGGGGCAGCTCCCAGTCACCGCCGGCGGCGCCGCCCTCCCTGGGGGACACCGAGGCCCCTTCCCCACTGGACCCCTGGACGCCCGCCCCGCCAGCCAGGACCCGAGGGGAGCTCGTGGGGCGCGGGCAGGGCTCGCAGGGGGCGTCTGACCGCAGCTGGCGGACACTTGCACTGACGGTGCGGCGTGGGGAGCAGGGCCAAGCCCAGTTACCTGGAAGGGCGCCTTCCCCGTCAGGCACTGGTAGACGATGGTGCCGATGCTCCACAGGTCCGCCTTCCCGTCGTAGTGCTGGGACATGATGACCTCGGGGGCCTGCGGGACCAGAAGTCGGGTCAGTGTGAGGCCCCCGCACGCCAACCACAGAAGGTGCCCGCCAGGCCACAGCCAACCAGAGCAGAGCGCACCACACGCCAGCCAACCAACCAGCAAGCCCAGAGAGGCGCCCACCCGGCACAGCCCGGCCAAGGTAAACACACCATGTACATGGGGGAGCCGCAGAGTGTGGCCGCCATCATGTTGCTCTGGAGGTACCGCGCGAAGCCGAAGTCAGCTGCGGGAGAGAAGCGTCAGGACCGGCGCCGGCCCCGGAGCCCCTCCCCGCCGGGCCCGCCTGCCTGCCCGCGGGCTGACCGATCTTGACGCGGATGCTGTTGGGGTTGGCGCGGCGGCCGGCGGGGTTGGACAGCAGGATGTTCTGCGGTTTCAGGTCGCGGTGGATGATGCCTTTGCTGTGCAGAAGCCGCATGGCGCCCGCGATCTGCTGCAGGAAGAGCCTGATGGTGTCCTCGCTCAGCGTGCGCATGGCTGCGGGGAGAGGCGGCTCAGGGCCTGGGGGCCGTGTTTCCTCCCCCAGGGGTGAGTCCCGCGCAGCCAGGCCGGTCCCGCCACACGGATGGAGAGCGCCAGGCAGGGCCGCAGGCCGGGAGGAAACCCCGGGTCAGGAGGGGCACAAGCCACCACGGGCCGCCGAGACCAGGGCGCACCTGAAGCTCCTGCGCAGAGCCCGGCGCGCCGGCCCCACCACTCAGCCCCGGGCTGCAGCTGCTCCAGAGACGGGAGGCCGCCGAAGCCCAGCCTCAGTGCCACCGCGGTTCCGCCCGGGTCCCGCTCCTGCCCCTCTTCCCGGCATCCAGACAGGTGCCAGCCGCGCACAGCCCGACCCGACCCGCAGCCCCAGTCTCAGCTACGCGCGGCCTCAGCGTCTGTCTCCCAGGCTTGGTCCGTGGGGTCCTCCTCGCGTGGGGCGAGGCGAGGGGGCCAGCGGGTCCTGTCCATCTACCAGCCCCGCACTCCCGCCCCAGCGCTATGAGGGCGACGCGGGTCTGAGCCGGCGTTTGAGCAGTCCTGCCGGCTCCCGGGTGCTCAGGCCCAAGTCCCCGGAACTGTCCCAGAGCCACCTCCAGACCCTCAGGACACCCCCAAGAGGCCGCCGGCGCCCCACCCACCCCCGCGCCCGCCGGCACTGTGGCCCGGACCCCCACCCAGAGAGCCTGGGAACAGACGGGCGCGGCCGCCCCCCTGCTGTCCTTCCCTCTGCCCCGCCCCGCCCCGTGCAGCACATCCCCTCCCATCCGCCACAGGGCTCAACTTTGGGTGGGCCAAGAGCCGCCTTCCAGCCACACTATGAAGACAACAGCCCCCACCCCTGGTTTGTGCGGCTCCCCTCGGGCTATTCTGGTCACAGCTGTCTCCTCAAGCAAGGGGGAGGCCAGCGGAGGGACTGCATCCTTAACAGCCGGGAGCAGCTCAGCTCCCTGCATCCCCTCAAGAGGCCCAGGGGGACAAGAAAGAGCCAATCTCACAATGAGCCAAGGACCCACTCGAGCCAGGCTGCCTCCCAGACTGGGCCAGTGTGGCCCTGGGTGCGGGCCCTGTGGGACCGGCTGGCAGCCCAGGTGGCGCAGCTGTGCACTCACCGTGCAGGTAGTCGGCCAGGTCCCCACCGTTGCAGTACTGCAAGAGACCAGACACGCATCAGGCTGCAGCAGGGCCCAGGGCCCACCTCCCAGCCCTGCCCAGCCTCCCCACCCCTCACACTTGGACACTACTCCCTGAGCCCGCAGGCACCTGCCCAGCCCAGGGCAGGTGTCCCCACAGTCCCTGCTGGAAGACATCAATAGTGATACTCAGCAGGCGTGGCAGCTCACGCCTGTAATCCGAGCACTTTGGGAGGCCAAGGTGGGCAGATCGCTTGAAGTCAGGAGGTTCAAGACCAGCCTGGCCAACGTGGCGAAACCCCATCTCTACTAAAAGTATAAAAATTAGCCGGGCGTGGTGGCACACACCTGTAATTACTCCCAGCTACTCGGGAGGCTGAGGCAGGAGGATTGCTTGAACCCGGAGGTGGAGGTTGCAGTAAGCTGAGATCGCAGCACTGCACTCCAGCCTGGGCGACAGTGAGACTCCATCTCAAAAAAAAAGAAAAGGTGCTCATCACCCTCCCCCCAGCCATGTCCCTCCCTGTGGGGCTCCCAGGGCCATGGCCATCAGCCTGCACTTGTCCTGGCACCACAAGGCACTCACCTCCATAACCAGGTAGACAGAATTAGCCATTTCCTGCAAGACAGAAAAGAGGCTGTGAGAGGTCCCAGTGCCACCGGGCCCCACTGCAGGGAGTCTGGCTCAGCCCCAATTCGGCCTGGGCAGGCCCTGCAGTGCCAGGACTTAGCTGGTCAGCCAGCGGCCGGGAGACGAGGACATCTCTGGGCCACGTGCTTTGTAGGTGGGTGTGTTCTGTTTTGTGGCCAGCCAGGTCTCCATCTGATCAAGGCAAAGGCCCCTGGTCCCCCCATAAGAGCAACAGCTCCTGGCAGAGGACATACCCCCTAGCAGGAAGGGTGAAGGCCAGGTGTGTGGGCAGGTGTGTGTGACCCTCAGGCCATAGAAGCTTCTCAGCTCCTCAGCCCAGGATCAAAGACGCCAACAGGGCTGGTCGCAGTGGCTCACACCTGTAATCCCAGCACTGTGGGAGGCCAAGGTGGGTGGATCACAAGGTCAGCAGTTTGAGACCTGCCTGGCCAACATGGTGAAACCCCGTCTCTACTAAAAATACAAAACTTAAACAGGTGCAGTGGCTCACACCTGTAATCCCAACACTTTGGGAGGCCAAGGCGGGTGGATCATGAGGTCAGCAGTTCGAGACCAGCCTGACCAACATGGTGAAACCGTCTCTATTAAAATACTAAAATTAGCCAGGCGTGGTGGTGCGTGCCTGTAATCCCAGCTACTTAGGAGGCTAAGGCAGGAAAATCACTTGAACCCGGGAGGAGAAGGCTGCAGTGAGCCGAGACTGTGCCACTGCACTCCAGCCTGGGCGAGAGAGTGAGACTCCATCTCAAAAAAAAAGAAGACGCCAACAGATTGCAGGTTGGCGCTGCCAGGTTGACGCAGAGGCCTGCGGCCTCCAGCTGCCCTACCCAACCTGGCTGCAGCTCAGGCTGCCATCCCTCGCCCCAATGCCTTCGGTCAGAGGCGTCTCAGCCACCCCCTCCGCTGCTGGGCCAACAAGACCTGACCAGCAGCTGCTCAGCCCTCAGCTCAGACACAGACCTGACCGGGGGTGCCACCAGTACCCCGCCCTTTCCTGCCCCCATGAAACTCAGAGTAAGCCACCGGTGCAGACACAGCACACACCCCAACGGCCAGCATGCGTACACCCTCACCTGGGACTGGGAGCCTCCCTGTAGCCCACCACTCACTCCCCGCAGCCACAGGGACGAGTCCTCATCACCCCCGTTTCACAGACAAGGAGAGTGAGGCCCAGGAAGCCACATCAAACCAGGCAGGCTGGGCTGGAGGAGCAAGGGCCCCACACACCTGACTCTAGGCCTCAGAACAGGAGGAGGAAGCCCTTTCCACACAAAGCCCCCTCCCTCTGCCCTGTACACATCCACATGCTCTAGGTGCTTACAGGGAAGCGAGTCCACACCTGTTGTAGGGCCATCCCACTTCTACCCCTGAGCGAGCCCAGGCTCTCTCAAAGCAAAGGGGAGCCGTGTCTGGAGGGGGTCTGCAGGAGGAACACCCCTCAGCGCCTCAGGAGCCGCGTCCCACACAGGACCCCTGCTCAGCCCCCAGTCCCAGGAGGCCCCAACCAATCAGAAGGCACCCCTGGTGGGGGGGACAGCCGCAAAGCCACTGGGTGATGCCTGCTTCATAAACGTGAGAAGCCCGTGTCCCAGAGCTGCCCCCGCAGAGGAGCTATGGGCTGGACGAGGATGCTGAGTGGGGACAGGCTCAGGAGAGGGTGCCTTTAGGGAGGCTAAGGCCGATGGTGCTCAGGCAGCAACCCCAGGATCCACAGACACTGCAGGGCCGGCCCAGAGGGAGACCCAGAAACCCAGGCACAGCCTAGAGAAGGTGGGACCTATCCATGAGGCAGGCCTCAGCCCACCCCACCCACAGCCTGTGCACCCCAAGCCCCGCCTGGCCTCACCTGCCTGCCCAGGAAGAGCACGTGGGGAGCCCAGGGCTCCCAGCAGCTGTGGGGAGAAACAATCCACAGAGCACAGGATGGGGCAAGGGGGACTGCAGGGACAGCTCCGGGCAGAACCCAGGAAGGAGGGGGAGATGAAGCTAGACTCAGAAATAACTTCAGGACGGCCATGCCCACTCCCTGACCTGGGCCCACCATTACCCTCCCCACAGCCCCTCCAGTGAGTGCCCATAGGTGCCCACATTTCTCCTCTCCTCTCTGGGGGCCACCTGCCCTGGATCCCAGAGCCAGGGGTTCCCTAAGACCTGACCTGCTCATCAGAGCTCCAAACCCACCAGCAAAGCCAGGACAAGCAGGGATGTGTCAAAGTCAGAGGTATCCTGGGGGAACACCCATGTGTGCAGAGCAGGAGCCCAGCACCCCATCCCCCAGCCACTCACCCAGGACCGGGCTGTGTGGGACAGGAGCTCCCTCTGGGCAGGGGGTGCTAACTGAAGCCCTGTAGCCTCCTCCCACCCCCAAACACTAAGGCAGCCACCTCTCACCCCTAGAAAGGCAAAGGCCTGGCCGGGTACGGTGGCTCATGCCCGTCATCCCAGCATGTTGGGAGGCCAAGCCAAGAGGATCGCCTGAGCCCAGGAGTTTGAGACCAGCCTGGGCAACATGGCAAAACCCCATCTCTACAAAAAAATACAAAAATTATCCAGGTGTGACAGTGCACGCCTGTAGTCCCAGCTACTCAGGACTGAGGTGGGAGGGTGGCTTAGGCCCAGGAGGCCACAGCTACAGTGAGCCGGGAGATCGTGCCACTGCACTCCAGGATGGGTGACGGAATGACACCTGTCTCAAAAAGAAGAAAGGCAGAGGCCCACCAGGGAGACCCCTGTGGCACCAGTGACTGGCCCACAGGACCCTGGCAAGGAGGCTCTTCCCCCACCCCATCTGCTGCCCACACTCTAGCCAGGGTCCCCAACACCCCTACCCAGGGCACCTGGCCCTGCCATCCCTCCAGCCACACTGGCCTCATGGGTGCTGGAACCCACCTCGCTACTGACACGTCTAGACCCCTGGCCTTGCCCCAGAGTCACAGATGTCACCCCCTAGGTCACCTTCCTAGAGACCCCTCTGCCCTCCCCACTGTGCTGGCAGCCCTCCTCTGTCCCCAAAACCTCAGGGGGCACCAGCTCCCAGGAGGGAGTGGGCAGGGGGCTGTGGGACCGAAGCACCTCCAGCCTCTTCCCTGCACTTCAAATGGTCCCTTGCAGAAACCAAGGCCTGGCCCATGCTCAGCCTCTCTCCTAAAAGGTCCTCTCCAGCAGGTGACTCAAGGCCACTGGGGGTGGGGCTGCAGGGTAGGGTGGGGGCATCCACCTCACCACAGGCATTCGGGTCTTCCCAACTCCCCTGGGACAGATGACAGCTTCAGACAGGCCCTCAGGGCTGTGGGCATCCAACTCCCTGAGCTGGGCATCGGGGCACACCAGGGCCTTTCCCGTGCCTCCGAGAGCCTCCTGTGAAGTTGAACTACACCAGCCCTGCAGGAGCCCAGGCAGCAGGCCATAACCAGCCCACTTCCCATACGAGCACACTGAGGCCCCAGAGGTTGGGAGGCGTGCCCAGGCTGGGAAATGGCAGCACAGCCCAAGCAGGTGGGCTGGAGTCCTGTCCTCACTCTGCCCAGTGCCAATGCCAAGCCAGTCACCCTCTGTGTCCCCGGAAGGACCTAGCCTTGCTGTCTCCAACCCTGGCAGAGTCAGGGATGAGAAGTGAGGACAAACAAGCCCAGGACCACCTCTGCCAGGGCTGGGGGAGCTCCTCCAGGGCAGCTGCAGGCCCAGGCCCTGCGCCACAACACCCCCCGACGGGGGCCCCCAGCTGGGCCTGTCCACCCTTCCCACAGGCAGCGACTCTCTCTAGGGCTCTTGAGGGGGGTCAGGTGAGAGCACAGCCTCACCGGCCACAGCTGACCTCCCCTGGGCCCACCCAGAACCCACACAGGGCATCGGGCTCCAGCTCTGCCTTGCAGAACCCACACAGGGCATCGGGCTCCACGTCTGCCTCGCAGCTACATTTGGTTTTCACAAGCTACCCTGGGCAGTGGGGACCGGGCAAGCTCCCAGAATCAAGTCACCCAGTTAAGACACCAGAAAGGGCCACAACTGCCTCCCTGGGCTCCAGGGGAGGAAACCGGCCACCCCAGGCAGAGCAGCTCGCCTCCCAAGACAGGGTCCGGGGGTCCGTCCCGTGGTGACACACACAGTTGTGGCCACACCGCCCATGCCCTAATCAAACACACCAGGCTCCCTGCACCATCACCCCCACCCCGGGAGGTGGGTCCCAACTTGCCGCCTATTTAAAGGGAGGAAACAGGGAACGGCTGCTGACCATTCCACAGGGCTGTCCCTGAAAAGTCCCAACACATGCATCTGAGGCTCAGAACACTTCAAAAAGACAGCAATATCAACACCCCACTGTCTCCAGGCAGCATGCCTGAGGGACCTGGGACAGCACTCCCCAGGCAGGCCGGCCCCCACACCCTGCACACACGCACCCACGGCCGGCCAGAGCCAGGTGTCCCAGGCAGCCTGGCACGGGTGTCTGGGCACGTAGGAGGCTGCCCCACCCCTGGGGTGCTAAGGTGCTTTACTTAATAGGATCCAGGCTCCCACCCTCTGCCAGCCCTACTCTTGTCTGGTGATCCTGGGCTGGGCCTGGTGAGCAGGCACTGACCTAGTTCACACCTCCAGAGCTGGCTCCGGAAAGTGGCAAAAGCCACAGCTGTGGCTGGACAGAACCACTCTGCACCCCCAGGCGGGGCTCCTGGACAGCTCCCAAAAGGGAAGGGATGCCGGCTCCACCCTAAGAAGGAAGGGCCACCCTCTGGCCCTGGGGAACCACCTGCAGCCGCCCATTGTGTATGGGCCTCCTGGGGCTGCAGCCCAAGGCTGACCTCTGCAGCCTCCCGCCTGCTGGGCCTGGGGGTCTGGACAATCCGGGAGCCAGCCGCAGGGGGTTGAGGCAGGTCCCTAGATGCAGTGAGGCAGGGGTGGGTGGCCCAACCCTTCTGAGGGCACGACCTTGCTTGGAAAAAGCAGGAAACAACCCCAGTGCGAGTTGGGGGGTGCAGGGGGTGTAAGCTGCAGAGACCCTCAGGAAGACGCCAACTCCTCACATTCCCCCCGAGACCCGGCCATCCTAGTTGGCGCACACCCCAGTAAAAACTGTTCCCAGCAGCTCTGTCCTTCAGGTGGCTGAGACCTGACCCCCAGCCATCGCGGACAGATACTGATACCAGGTGACAGTCCCACCACGGGGTGCTGCGCACAAACAAAAACCAACTCCTGTCACCCACGGAGACACAGCACCCCTCAACCTACGGCTGACATCCCACCTCCAGGCTTAAAGTCAGCATGTGGCAAAGGGAGCGTGTGGGAACCAGGAGCTGGCTCACGTGAAGAATGAGAAAGCAGAGGGGGAGGGGGGCACACAGGAGGACGGACGTGCCCTCGATAGGAGGGAGGAGAGCGGCCCGGGACGCGGGCATGGCTTTGGGCTGGCGCTTGCTACGCCACACAGGGCCTGTTGTGGTATATCTTCTCATCTGTTTTGCACTTTCCAGTATTTTTATCCCATGATTTTTTTCTTTTTTTTTTTTTTGAGACGAGTCTCGCTGTCACCCAGGCTGGAGTGCAGTGGCACAAACTCAGCTCACTGCAACCTCCACCTCCCAGGTTCAAGCGATTCTCCTGCCTCAGCCTCACAAGTAGCTGGGACTACAGGCGCCCACCACCACGCCCAGCTAATTTTTGTACTTTTAGTAGAGATGGGGTTTTGCCATGTTGGCCAGGCTGGTCTCGAACTCCTGACCTCAGGTGATCTGCCCACCTCGGCCTCCCAAAGTGCTGGGATTACAGGCGTGAGCCACTGTGCCCAGTCTCATCCCATTGTTTTCAAAGTTAAAAAAAAAAAAAAAGATATACACAACTTCGGAGGTAATTCCAGAACTGCCTGGGCCCTGGGAGCCCCTTCACAGGCCCCTGCCCAGGAGCTGGGTACCCACCCCACGGGTTTCTACTCGGCCTGCATCCTGCCCCAACTCACACTGCAGACAGCCCCCCGGCCAGACCAGGCCAGGCCTGGCAGCCCCCTCCTCACTCTGGGATGGGGAGTTACAGTCTCATGCTGGGCTGGACTGCCTGGACCCATGGTCTCCCAGGACCCCAAGCAGGGCTGGACACCTCTTGACTCAGGTCTCCACTGCAAGTAACTCACAGGCAGCGGCTCTGTCTGCAGGGCCTGAGTGAGTCACACCTGGGTGGCCCAGCAAGACCTTTAGCTGCAAGGAACCTGTCAGATGGCGTGCTGGCCAGGGGGGCCACCATCAGCAAGGCCAGTAGCCATCAGCCCTCCTCCCAGGGCATGCTGGGCAGGATCCCAGCCTGGCTCCACAGCCCTATACCCTGATTTCTGTGGTGGCCGCACTCCTGGGGCCAGGCAAGTCCAGACAGGGACACCACATGCTCAGTAAGGAGGCCAGGTGCTCCCCAGGTGCTCCAGCCGCCTCCCAGCGGCTGTGGTGGACTCAAAGAGCGTGACCCAAGGCACACACTTCCCAGGCACTCACATTTTCACAATTTTGTATGGCTAAAAAAGAAACCCAATACACAAAACCCAACACAATAAGAACAAAAATAACAACCTCAACAGTCAACAAACAACATGGCGGGGAATACCTGTAACCTATCACAAAGAAGCTACTTTGCTTCATATATAAAGGACACCTACCTTTCAAGAACATTGACAGAGCACTTACAAAGTGGCAGGCACAGTTCTAAAGACTTAACATACTCAAGATGCCATCACAACCACAACAGTTTTTTTTTTTTTTTTTTTTTTTTGAGAGAGTTTCACTCTGTCGCCCAGGCTGGAGTGCAGCGGCGCAATCTCAGCTCACTGCAGCCTCCACTTCCTGGGTTCAAGCGATTCTCCTGCCTCAGCCTCATGAGTAGCTGGGACTACAGGCACGGGCCACCACGCCCAGCTAATTTTTGTATTTTAATAGAGGCGAGGTTTCACCATGTTGGCCAGGATAGTCTCGATCTCCTGACCTCATGATCCACCCGCCTCAGCCTCCCAAAGTGCTGGGATTACAGGCGTGAGCCACTGCACCCAGCCAACAGTTTTTAAAAGGTAAGAAAACGGAGGTGCCAGGAGGCTACCTGCCCAATGTCACACAGGTAAATGTTGGAGCTAGGATCCAGCAAATGGCAGAATGGCTCAGGGGCCATGGTGTTAAGCATGGTACCCTTCCAGCCTTGGCACAAAAGGGACCAAGAGCTTGCCAGAAATATGTGCCTAACCAAGTATGGTGGTGCGTATCTGTAGTCCCAGCTACTCAGGAGGCTGAAGTGGGAGGATCTCTTGAGCTCAGGTGTTCGAGGCTGCAGTGAGCCATGATTATGCCACTGCACTCCAGCCTGGGCAAGAGAGTGAGACCCAGTCTCTTTAAAAAATATATTAAAATAGGCCAGAAGCGGTGGCTCATGCCTGTAATCCTAGCACTTTCGGAGGCCGATGTGGGCGGATCACCTGAGGTCGGGAGTTCTAGACCATCCTGACCAACACAGAGAAACCTTGTCTCTACTAAAAGTACAAAATTAGCCAGGCGTGGTGGCGCATGTCTGTAATCCCAGCTACCCGGGAGGCTGAGGCAGGAGAATCGCTTGAACCCGGGAGGCGGAGATTGCAGTGAGTCGAGATGGTGCCACTGCACTCCAGCCTGGGCAACAAGAGTGAAACTACATCTCAGAAAAACGTATATATAAAATATAGAAATATATCAGGCAGGCTGGGCATGGTGGCTCATGCCTGTAATCCCAGCACTTTGGGAGGTCGAAGGTGAGGTCCGGCGTTCAAGATCAGCCTGGCCAATGTGGCGAAAATTGTATAAATTTTTTAATACAAAAATTAGCCGGGCGTGGTGGCAGGTGCCTGTAATCCCAGCTACTCGGGAGGCTGAGGCAGGAGAATCGCTTGAACCAGGGAGGTGGAGGTTGCAGTGAGCCAAGATCGCGCCACTGCACTCCAGCCTGGGTGACAAAGAGAAGCTCCATCTCAAAAAAAAAAAGAAATACACTATACAAAGGACAGGTGGTATTTCTAACATTCCCATGCTCGGATAGGGAAGCTCATTCATCACCAATGTAAAAGAAAACCGCCCAGGCATGGTGGTTCACTCCTGCAATCCCACCACTTTGGGAGGCCGAGGTGGGTGGATCATGAGGTCAGTTCGAGACCAGGCTGGCCAACATGGTGAAACCGTGTCTCTACTGCAAATACAAAAATTAGCCTAGCGTGGTGGCAGGCGCCTGTAATCCCAGCTACTCGGGAGGCTGAGGCAGGAGGATCGCTTGGACCCAGGAGGCGGAGGTTGCAGTGAGGGGAGATTGTGTCACTGCACTCCAGCCTGGGCGACAAGAGCAAAACTCAGTCTCAAAAAAAAAAGAAAAGCAAAACCATAAGAGATGTCATTTTCTACTTCTCACATGAGCCACGATGGAAACCTCTGAGAGCCACCCTCCTGGCAAGGACCTAGGGAGACACATGCTTGGAGACAGGCTGAGAGACCAGTGGCATTGCCTCTCCGGAGGTCCATTTGGCAATAGCTACCCAAATTAAAAACCAGCATCCCTCCTACCCAAGGATTCTACTTCTAAGGATCCAGTCACAACCACCCTGATGTACCAGCATCCCAAAATAACCTCATGTCCCACCTACAGGGCCTTGGTGAAATCAGTTATGGAATCTCGGGCAACAGGCACGCCATGGCTGAAAATCACCACGGCAGACCCAATCAGGCCAGCAGCTAGCACCTCCACGATGGCTCCTCCAACCCGAGAGCACTCCCTCCTCCCTCACACAGCCCTCACAGCCCGTGCTTTCTGCTTCACAGAGGAAGAAATAGGACCGCAAACTAAAGAAGCTGTGTGTGCACATATGGCAGCCAGGACTGGGCCCCTCATCAGCGTCAGCCTGGCTCTCGACCACTGTGCTTACAGATGGTGACCTCTAACAGAGAGGGGTAAACTTTTTGAGGGTTTTGTTTTGTGTTTTTGAGACAGGGTTACACTCTGCTGCCCAGGCTGGAACGCGGTGGCAACATCACGGCTCACTGCAGCCTTAAACTCCTGGGTTTAATCAATCCTCCTACAACCTTTATAGTAGCTGAGACATGCCACTATGCCTGGCTAATTTTTTTTCTTTTTTTTTCTTTTTTTTAGAGAGAGCGAGTCTTGCTATGTTGCCCAGGCTGGTCTGTCTTGGCCTCCCACAGTGCTAGGGTCACAGGTGTGATCCACTGTGCCTGGCCGAGGGGTAAACTTTCTGATATGGATTGAGCCAGCACAGAACCTTCCCCAAGCTCTACTCTTTTAGAGACAGGGCCTCGCTCAGTCGCCCAGGCTGGATGGAGTGCAAACTATACTCTTAAGTGACAAAATTCACGGCGCAGAGAGGTGGGTGTGGCGGGGAAGGACACCGGTGAACACATCGCCTTGTAAGGATGGCTGTCCCCGGTGGCCCGGAAACAACTAAAGCAGGGGCCTGAGAACGGAGGGCAGCGGGACTCGATCGGGGGCAGGACTCTAGCCTCGACCGCACTCCCTCCCGTAATGTTTGAGGATTTTCTTTTATCACCCAAATCGTTCATTGTCCATTTTTAAAACCCAGTTATTTTTTCCTGGGTTTGGGTGCCTGCCTCAAACATTGCCTTACCGACACAGGGCAACAATCCCCACGCCTGTGGGGGCGAGGGCAGGCTAAGCTGCAGCTCCAGCAGAGCCCGGTGCCCGGAGACAGGAGCGCCTGCAGCTGGCGGCTCCAAGTGCTTCCTGAGTAGAGAAAGCCGCAGAGTTGCCAACACTGGAGGAAGTGGCAGATGCCCACAACCAGGTGTGTGTGGCTGACTGGGATGGAGCTGGGCCTGGGGATACTGGTCCCGGGTCTGCGGGGGTCGTGCGGACAGTCACAGGGCCTGGCCTGGAGATGCCCAGGACTGGACCTGGGGAGCCCTGGAGGGGAGCAGCAGGCAGTGTAGCCCAGGGTGGAGGGGGAGTCCCTCAGAGTCGCTGCCTGGCCAGGGACAGCTGTCCACTCCTTGCTGGCTCCCAGAGCCATGACGCATGTGCAGGCTGTGGTCCAGGCAGGAGGCTTCCAAACATGGAGAGGATGAGGAAAGAGGAGGAAGGGAGGGAGGAAAGCAGGGAGAAAAGGGGTGGGAAGAGGGCGGGAAAAGCAGCAGGAGGGATGGCCCAGCTCCAGGACACAGTGTGCCTGGGTTTCCAGGTACTCGCTGGACCTGGGCCCCCCCCACCCGGCACCTTGTGACAAGCCTCGGTCCCCAAGGCCACAGCAAAGCTCTGAGAGGCGGACGGAGGAGGCCACCAAAACACGGCCTGCCAGCCCTTCCCTCAGCCAGGGGCTGGGCCCTGGGCTCAGTAAACAGGTCACAGAGCCATTAGTCAGCACTTTGGCGGGGCGGATCTCCCGCCTCAGGTTCCTGGTCCCCAGGACGGCACCCTGGCTCCCACAGCCCCAGCCCTGCCTGCCCTGGGCCCCGGGACACGGAGGCAGCACGAAAGCCAGCTGGTCCCACCGCTTGCTTCTTGGGGCCAGCCGGGCCCGAGGTCATCTCCTTGGCCAGCCAGCGGCAGCCGCCTGTGCCCCGGCCCGGCCCTGACTGCCAGCGAGCAGGAGTCTCCGGCGGCCCCTCCCCCGCCCCGTCTGACGCAGAGCGAGGCCGGCCAATGCCGGCCGCAGGAGCAATGTCAACAAACACACGGCCTAGACAGGTGGGCCAGGCCGGCAGTGCTGCCAGGGCCAGCCGGGGACGCCGGACTCAGGCAGGGCCCCTAGGACTGACGCCCGGCGGGGAGGGGATGCCTGTTCAGGAGAACTCAGCCCTGCCCTGGGGCGCCCTGCGGCCCAGACACCCCCTCCCCGGTCTCACAGCTGGGGAAGTCACAGCAAGAGCCAGCACCAGCCCAGGCCTGGACCCAGGGTGGAGTCTCCAGGGGCCCAGTAGACCCCAGCCTGGACAGGCTCAACACCAGTGCTCACCAGGGGATCCAGCACCTGGGGCCACAGTCCCCCAGCCCGGTCCCCAGCAGACCGCAGCCCAGAGGCCTTACCTGGAAGTCGTACAGGGCCACGATGTTTTCATGTTTCAGTTCCTAGGACAGAAACCCAAGTTTGTTATCAGTGTGGGGAGGGGGGCTTGCCCACGCCCACGCCCACGCCCCCTCCCCCAGCACTGGCTCACCTTCAGGATTTTGATTTCCTTCCCCAGCAGCGTCTGAGACTTGGCGAGGTTCTTCTTGTTAATGCACTTGACGGCGACCTCCAAATCGTGCTTCTGAAAGCCAAACGTGCACCTTCAAGGCCAGGGCTGCCCCTCGCAGGCCTCCCCCAGACCCCAGTCCACACAGGTGGGGCCCTGAGATGATCCCGGTTGGGAATCCCGGGACTGGAAGGCCGAGTGGGGAGCCAGGTTGAGGATCGCGCTGGGGGTCCTGGGGTAGGGATCCAGCCTCGAAAGCCGGCTGTGGGACCAGGTTGCGGGGTGTCCCGGGGTGAGGGTTTGGACAGGAAAGTCGGGCTGGGGGTCTCGGAGTGAGGATCTGGGCTGGAAAGCCCGGCAGCGGATCTCGGGGCGGGAGTCTGAACTGGAAAGTCGGGCTGGGGGTCGCGGGGTGGGGATCCTGGGGTGGGGGTCGGCCTGGAAAGTCGAGTGGGGCTCTCGGGAGGCGTGGGGGGGTCCCGGGACAGGCGGGGAATCTCGGGGCGGGGATGCAGGGGCAGGGGATCCTGGGCGGGGGATCCCGGGCCGGACGGGGGCCTCACCTCGCGGTGGCGGCCCTTGAAGACCACCGCGAAGGCGCCGTGGCCGATCAGGTCCTTGCGGGAGAACTCGAACTTGCCCACGGTCTCTGTGCCGCCGCGGCCGGGCTCCATGGCGCAGGCGGGCCGGGGGCGCGGGGCGGGGGGTGGCGGGCCAAGGCGCGGGGGACTCAGGCGGAGGCGCGGGCCGGGGCGGGCGGGCCGGGGGCGCGGGGCCGGGGGCGCGGGGCCGGGCGAGGGCGCATCTCCGGGGCCGCGCGCCCCATCGGGCAGGCCGGGGCCGGGTCCCAGCCCCGCGGGCCAGGCGGGGTCCGAGGGTCGCGCTCCCTCCGGCGCCTGTGCCACGGCACTCTTCCCGGGCTGCTAATCCGAATCCGGATCCGACTCCGACTCCGACTCCGGCTCCAACTAGGGCCCGGGCTCGGCCCCAACGGAGAAACAAAAGAGCCGCGGCGCCCGGGCCTCAGAGCCTGAGACGCCCGCGCAGCCGCACTGCGCGCCGGGCCGGGAGGCGGGATGAGGGCGGGGCCTGCGGGACGGAGCGGCAGAGCCGGGCGTGACGAACAGACGGGGGGCGGGGAATGGGGCGGGGCCTGTCGGGGGGGTGGGCGGCTGGGCCGGGCCATTGCGGGGCCGGGTGGGCTGGGAGTGGGTGGGGCCAACAGCGGACCCGCCCCGGTGAGAGCAGAGAGGCGCGCTGACCCGGGAGCGGGCCACGGGGCTCAGTGTTGATTCCTTGCCCCACTCCCTTCCACGCCCCTTCCCCGCCCCTTCCCCGCCCCGCTTCTTCTCTGCTCCCCTCCCTCCTTTCCCCTCTCTCCGTCCTCCTCCCTCCTTTTCCCCTTCCCATCACCTCTCTCCCTCCCTGCCCCCTCCCTTCCGCCCCCTCCCATGCCTTCCCCCCCGCTCCCCTCCCGCCCCCACTGCCTGTTCTCCTCCCTCCTGTCCCCCCTCCCTGTTCCCCTCCCTCCCCTTCCCTGTTCCCCTCCTTCCCGCTCCCTGTTCCCCTTCTACAGGAGAATGGAGAACAGGCGTGGGAAATGTTCCCAAAACGGGGGACTGCGCAGAATTAATTCTTAGAAATAGAATGGCTGAGTTAGAGGTTAGGCATTTAAAGTTGAGTTCCATAATGCCAAATTGCAAAAAAAAAAAAAAAAATTGTAGACCAAAAAGTTGTCACCCAAACCAACGACATAGCCCATAAATCCGCTGGGGAGGAAAGGTTAGCTAGATGGGCTGCGCATCGGTCCTGTGGAACACTGCACAGAGGTAAATATACCTGTGCTCAAGGGTGAGTTCTCCAAAGATTATAATTAAGTAAAAGCAAAATATGGAACAGGGCACTGTACTGTCTGTCGTTTTAAGAAAGCGGTAGGATTGGGATGTGTGTGTGTGTGAAACGCCTGTAATGTGTACATGGTCGTTCCTAACTATAATGACAGCTAACTCATCACTTAGGCCAAGCAGCGCACTTTCCAGCGATTAGTGCATCCATTCAATGATTCCACGAGGCACTTGCTGTTATGTCCCTGTTTTACAGATGAGGAAATCAAGGCGGAGAAAAGTTGGAGAATGTGTCCAAAGTCACACCGCCGGCAGCCAAAAGAGCCCGGGGGCTCACTCACAGAAGACACAGCCAACAGCGATTGCTCTGGGAGAGAGGACCGGGGAAAAGTTAGTGCTGTTCACCGTACACGTTGCGCGCTAGTTGGAATGGCTTTCACCACGTGCAAGCACTGCTTTTGCAAATGCATGATTCTAAACAATGCTCACCAACCCAGCCTTCAGTACAGTCCTAAAGTAACAGCCCAGAAACACACACTTCAGCCAGGACCCTCCATGCTGCCTCCCAGAGCAGCCCAGCAGCTGGACAGCCTGATGCCCTGGGCTGGATCAGCAAGTCCTGGATGCCTTTTACCTGCACCCAGCTCATCCTCCAGGCCGCAGGACACACAGACTCCCGACCCTGGACTGGGGGCCAGAAGCCACCGAGCTGGAAGGGACAAGAGGTCTCCTGGCCCACCATGTTTGTTTTCCCAATAAAGAGGTTCCACAGTGCCCCGTAGTCAGCCATAGCATTCACTCACATCCTGGAGTGCCTGCTGCACACCGGCCTGCCCAGAGAGCACACGCTGCGAGGTAAGTGCTGCAGTTGACACAGTGAGAACAAGACCCGCCTGCAGGAGCTCCCAGCGCTTAGGGGTGGGGGACAAGAAGAGCAAAGATTGCACCACCCGTGGCAAAATTGCAAGAGAAAAATGAGTGAACAGGTGGCTACGTGCTGAGGTGATCAGGGCAGACCGTGAGGGCCGAGATTGCTAGAGATGGCGAAGCCTGTACTCCTGGAAAGTACTCAGGGAACCCCAGCCCAGCCCACCCTGGCCTGGAAAGCCAAGCTAACGGGGTCTTCACCCCAAACTCAAAGAAATACCCAGGAAGAGTTTAGGAGAGGGTGGGATGGCAAGATGGGATTTGCATTTGGAAACCGTTACTAGGCCCACCGAGGAAGGACATGTTTCTTTTTTGTTTTGTGCGGTCTTATTAAATTTTTTATTCTTTTTATAACTTTTAGGTTCAGTGGTGTGTGGACAGGTTTGTTATACAGGTAAATTATGTTTCACAGGGTTTGATGAACGGATTATTTCATCACCCAGGTAATAAGCAGAGTACCCGATAAGTAGTTTTTTGATCCTCTCTCCCTCCTCCCACCCTCCCACCCTCAAGTGGGACCTGGTGTCTCTTGTTCCCTTCTTTGTGTCCTATTTTCTTTTTTTTTTTTTTGAGACGGAGTCTCGCTCTTTCGCCCAGGCTGGAGTGCAGTGGCGCTATCTTGGCTCACTGCAAGCTCCGCCTCCCAGGTTCACGCCTTTCTCCTGCCTCAGCCTCCCGATTAGCTGGAACTACAGGCGCCCGCCACCACACCTGGCTAATTTTTTGTATTTTTAGTAGAGATGAGGTTTCACCGTGTTAGCCAGGATGGTCTCGATCTCCTGACCTCGTGATCTGCCCACCTCGGCCTCCCAAAGTGCTGGGATTATAGGTGTGAGCCACAGCGCCCGGCCCGTATATTTTCAGTGTTTACCTCCCACTTATAAGTGAGAACATGTAGTGTTTGGTTTTCTGTTCCTGTGTTAGTTCGCTTAGGATGATGGCCTCCAACTCCATCCATGTTGCTGCAGAGGACATGATCTCATTCTTTTTTATGGCTGTGTAGTATTTCATGGTGTATATGTACCACAGTTTCTTTTTTTTGAGACAGGGTCTCACTCTGTCACCCAGGCTGGAGTGCAGTGGCTCAATCGCCACTCACTGCAGCCTTGACTACCTGGGTTTAGGTGATCCTCCTGCCTCACCCTCCCAAGCAGCTGGGATTACAGGTGCACGCCACCACACCCTACTAATTTTTGTATTTTTTGTAGAGATGAGATCTCACTATGTTGCCCAGGCTAGTCTCAAACTCCTGGGCCCAAGTGATCCTCCCGCCTCGGCCTCCCAAAGTGTTAGGATTATAGACGTAAGCCATCGGCCCAGCGTGGTGGCTTACGCCTGTAATCCCAACACTTTGGGAGGCCGAGGCGGGCTGATCACCTGAGGTCAGGAGTTCGAGACCAGCCTTGGCCAACATGGAGAAACCTTGTCTCTACTAAAAATACAAAATTAGCCGGGTGTTGTGGTGCATGCCTGTAATCCCAGCTACTCGGGAGGCTGAGGCAGGAGAATCGCTTGAACCCGGGAGGCGGAGGTTGCGGTGAGCCGAGATCGCACCATTGCACTCCAGCCTGGGAGACAAGAGTGAAACTCCATCTCAAAATAAATAAATAAATAAATAAATAAAATTAAACAACAGACATAAGCCACCACACCCAGCCTCAGAATGTGTTTGTTTTTGTTTTTTTTTGTTTTGTTTTTTTTGAGGCAGAGTTTCGCTCTTTTCACCCAGGCTGGAGTGCCATGGCGCGATCTCGGCTCATTGCAACCTCCACCTCCCTGGTTCAAGTGATTCTCCTGCCTCAGCCTCCCAAGTAGCTGGGATTACAGGCACACGCCACCACACCTGGCTAATTTTTGTATTTTTAGTAGAGATGGGGTTTCACCATGTTGGTCAGGCTGGTCTTGAACACCTGACCTCATGATCCACCTGCCTCGGCCTCCCAAAGTGCTGGGACTGCAGGCGTGAGCCACCGCGCCCGGCCCATCTTAACCATTTTTAAGTGCACAGTTCAGTGACATTAAGTACAATCACATTGTTGTGGGCCGGCCGTAGTGGCAAACGCCTGTAATCCCAGCACTTTGGGATGCCGAGGCAGGAGAATTGCTTGAGCCCAGGAGTTGGAGACCAGCCTGGGCAACATGGTGAAACCCTGTCTCTATAAAAACATTGTTGAGGCGGGGCGTGGTGGCTCACGCCTCTAATCCCAACACTTTGGGAGGCCGAGACGGGCGGATCACTAGGTCAGGAGATGGAGACCATCCTGGCTAACACAGTGAAACCCTGTCTCTACTAAAAATACAAAAAATTAGCCGGGCGTGGTGGCGGACACCTGTAGTCCCAGCTACTCAGGAGGCTGAGGCAGGAGAATGGCATGAACCCGGGAGGTGGAGCTTGCAGTGAGCCAAGATCGCGCCACTGCACTCCAGCCTGGGTGACAGAGCGAGACTCTGTCTCAAAAAAAAAAAAAATTGTTGTATAACCGTCACCACCATCCAGCTCCAGAACTCATTCAGCTTCCAAAACAAACTCTGTCCCCGTTAAAGACTCATTCCTCATTCCCCTCCTTCAGCCCCTGGCACCCACTCTTCTACTTTCTTTTTTGTTTGTTTTTTGTTTTTGTTTTTGTTTTTTGAGACAGAGTCTTGCTCTGTCACCCAGGCTGGAGTGCAGTGGCATGATCTTGGCTCACTGCAACCTCCGACTCCCGGGTTCAAGCAATTCTCCTGCCTCAGCGTCCCAAGTAGCTGGGATTACAGGTGTGTGCCATCACACCCGGCTAATTTTTGTATTTTTAGTAGAGATGGGGTCTCGCTATGTTGGCCAGGCTGGTCTCAAACTCCTGAGCTCAGGTGATCCGCCCGCCTTGGCCTCCCAAAGTGCTGGGATTACAGGCGTGAGCCATGGAGGCTGGCCCTCTCTTCTGCTTTTGTCTCTGTGGGTTTGACTCCTCTGAAAACCTCATATAAGTAGAATCCTATAGTATTTGCGCTTTTGTGACTGGCTTCTTTCACTGAGTATGATGTTCTCCAGGTTCATCTATGTTGTAATGTTGGGGCTCAGTAATTGATATCCCAAAATAGGGCACCTTCACACGCTGAACTGAAGAAAGAAACGCTCAAGGTCTCTCCAGCCTCCCCCCACTTCTCCCAAAGTCAAAGCTTCTTTATCTGCCTAAGATCCGGACCCGCCAAGGAGAACAATTGTTTATTCCTTCCCCTCCCTGGAAGAGCAAGAATGTGGCTACACCTGAACAGATCCTTTCCCTCAGAGAACCACCTACGAGTTAACCCTTTTCCTTCAGAGAGAACCATCTAGGAGTTACTCTCTCTTCCCAGACACATTCATTCTCCCGGTGTATCCCCTCAACAGAGCTGCCCTTCTCCCCACCTCCCATAACCTGCTTTGCTTCTGACCTCCCTGAGGGTGTGGGCAGTCGCTCTGTGATTCTCCCTGAATGCACATGTTCCATAAACATGCACACTCCTTCTCACCTGCTTTTTGCGAGTTCATTTTTCCACAGTCCTTCCAGGGCTGAGCTGTGGCCTTTACGGTCCTGTGTGTCAGAACATTCTTCCTTTTCAAGGCAGGATGATACCCATTGTATGGATAGACCACATTCTCTTTCTCCTTTTTCTTTTTCTTTTTTTTGAGACAGGATGTCACTCTGTAGCCCAGGCTGGAGTGCAGTGGCAGGAGCACAGCTCGCTGCAACCTCCGCCTCCTGGGCTCAGGTGAACCTCCCACCTCTCAGCCTCCCAAGTACCTGGGACGCGCCTTCACACCCAGCTAATTTTTTCATATTTTGTAGAAACAAGGTCTCACTGTGTTGCCCAGGCTGGTCTCCAACTCCTGGGTTCAAGCAATCCACCTGCCTCAGCCTTCCAAAGTGCTAGGATTCCAGGCGTGAGCCTCCTTGAGCTGGACATTTTCTTTGTCCATTTACCCATGGATGGACGCATGGTTATTTCCACCTTTGACTACCGCGAATCATGCTGCTGCGAATGTGGGTACACAGATAACTGTTTGGGTCCCTACCTTCACTTCTTTGGAATATATACCCAGGAGTGGAATTGCTGGATTGTAGGGAATGTTATTTAATTTCTTCAGGAACCTCCACACCATTTTCCACAAGGTCCACACCATGTTACCTTCCCAACAGCAGCACCCACGCGTTCCCTTTCTCCACAGCCAACACTTGTTCTTTTCCCTTAGTTGCTTTCAACAGTACCCATGGGTGTGAACTGATATCTCATTGTGTGTGTTTTTTTTTTTGAGACAGAGTTGTGGTCTTGTCGCCAAGGCTGAAGTGCAGTGGCACAATCTCAGCTCACTGCAACCTCTGCCTCCCAGGTTCAAGTGATTCTCCTGCCTCAGCCTCCTGAGTAGCTGGGATTACAGGTGCACGCCATGCCCGGCTAAATTTTTTTTTTTCTTTTTTTTTTTGAGACAGAGCTTTGCTCTTGTTGCCCAGGCTGGAGTGCAATGAAGTGATCTCAGCTCATTGCAACCTCTGCCTCTCGGGTTCAAGCAATTCTCCTGCCTCAGCTTCCCGAGTAGCTGGTACTATAGGTGTGCACCACCACGCCCCGCTAATTTTTGTATTTTTAGTAGAAATGGGGTTTCACCATGTTGGCCACCATGGTCTCTATCTCTTGACCTTGCAATCTGCCTGCCTCGGCCTCCCAAAGTGCTGGGATTACAGGCATGAGCCACCACGCCTGGAGCTAATTTTTGTTTGGTTTTGGGTTTTTTTTAGAGACTGAGTCTCGCTCTGTCACCCAGGCTGGAGTGCAGTGGCACAATCTCGGCTCACTGCAACCTCTGCCTCCCGGGTTCAAGCAATTCTCCTGCCTCAGCCTCCTGAGTACCTGGGATTACAGGCACAGGCCGCCACACCCGGCGAATCTTTTTTGTATTTTAGTAGAGACGGGGTTTCACTGTGTTGCCTAGGCTGGTGTTGAACTCCTGAGCTCAGGCAGTCTGCCTACCTTGGCCTCCCAAAGTGCTGGGATTACAGGCATGAGCCACCGTGCCCAGCCTACATTTTTTATTTTTAGTAGAGATGGGGTTTCACAATGTTGGCCAGGCTGGTCTCAGTGATCCTCCTGACCTCAAGTGATCCACCCGCCTTAGCCTCCCAAAGTGCTAGGATTACAGGCGTGAGCCACTGAACCCGGCCTGACTGTGGTTTTGATTTGCATTTCTCTAACCACTAGTGATGTTGAACATCTTTGTGAGGACTAAACTCATATTTTTTATCTTGCCCAAATTCTTATCTAAGGGGTCTAGAGAGTCATGCCCTACAAACCATAAATTCTCATCAGATGGGTTTTATTTAATCCTATATATTGTGACTTAATTTTTTTTTTTTTAGACAGAGTCTCTCTCTGTCACTCAGGCTGGAGTGGAGTGGCACAATCTCAGCTCACTGCAACTTCTGCCTCCCAGGTTCAAGTGATTCTCCTGCCTCAGCCTCCCAAGTAGCTGGGATTACAGGCACCTGCCACCACACCCAGCTAATTTTTGTATTGTTAGTAGAGACAGGGTTTCTCCATGTTGGTCAGGCTGGTCTCGAACTCTCAACCTCAGGTGATCCACCTGCCTCAGCCTCCCAAAGGGCTGGGATTACAGGCATGAGCCACCACGCCCCACCCAGTTTGTGTATTTTTAGTAGAGAGGGGGTTTCTCCATGTTGGCCAGGCTGGTCTCGAACTCCTGACCTCAGGTGATCTGCCACCTTGGCCTCCCAAAGTGCTGGGATTACAGGTGTGAGCCACTGCGCTGGTAGCCTTTTTTTTTTTTTTTTTGAGACTGAGTCTCGCTCTGTTGCCCAGGCTGCAGTGCAGTGGCGCGATCTCGGCTCACTGCAAGCTCCGCCTCCCAGGTTCACGCCATTCTCCTGCCTCAGCCTCCTGAGTAGCTGGGACTATAGGTACCTGCCACCATGCCTGGCTAATTTTTTTTTTTTTTTTGAGATGGAGTCTCCCTCTGTCACCCAGGCTGGAGTGCAGTGGCGCGATCTCAGCTCACTGCAAGCTCCGCCTCCCGGGTTCACACCATTCTCCTCCTCAGCCTCCCCAGTAGCCGGGACTACAGGCGCCTGCCACCACACCTGGCTAATTTTTTGTATTTTTTTTTTTTTTTTTTTTTTTGAGACGGAGTCTCGCTCTGTCGCCCAGGCTGGAGTGCAGTGGCGCGATCTCGGCTCACTGCAAGCTCCACCTCCCGGGTTCACGCCATTCTCCTGCCTCAGCCTCCCACGTAGCTGGGACTACAGGTGCCCGCCACCACGCCCGGCTAATTTTTTTGTATTTTTTAGTAGAGACGGGGTTTCACTGTGTTAGCTAGGATGGTCTCGATCTCCTGACCTCGTGATCCACCCGCCTTGGCCTCCCAAAGTGCTGGGATTGCAGGCGTGAGCCACCGCGCCCGGCCTGGTTAGCCATATTTTGAAGGCTTTGCAAAGCCCTCCTTTGTGGGGAAAAATTTGCATCTGTGAAGAATCTCTATTAACATAGCTAGATCTTTTTCTTTCAGGCCCTCCCAATCCTAAAGAGATTAACTTAAAGTCTAGCATAGGAATTATTTGTCACTTACTGTCTCTCTAAGGGCAGCCATTGTAAGACCTCAAAGAAACTTTAGCCTCCACAATCTTTTCTCTTAACCTGAACATTTCCTTTCTATGGATCCCAGGTTTTTAGACAAACTCAACCAATTGTCAACCAGAAAATGTTTAAATTTACCTATAGCCTGGAGGCCTGCCCACCACCCCTTTGAGTTGTCTCGCCCTTCTGGACCAAACAGTGTCTTTCTTTAATGTATTTGATTGATGTCTCCTGTCTCCCTAAAATGTATAAAACCAAGCTGCGCCCCGACCACCTTGGGCATGTGTTCCCGGGACCCCCTGAGGCTGTGTCACAGGTCAGGGTCACTCATGTTTGGCTCAGAATAAATCTCTTCAAATATTTTACAGATTTTGACTCTTTTTGTCAACATTTGCAGGTGCTTACTGGCCACTTGTGTATCTCCTTTGGAGAAATGCCTATTCAAGTGCTTTGCCCATTTTGTAATCTGGTGGCTTGATTTTTTGCTGTTGAGTTGTGGGAGTTGGTTATGTATTCTGAATGTTAACTGCCTGCTTTTGTAAATAAAGTTTTCCTGAAGCCATGGTCTGCGTTTATTGGTTGTTTCTGCCTTCTTTAGTGCTACTGACATCGCCTTTGTAAAATTATGACTGAGACAGTGAAAGATCTAACTTAACCGACTCCATCTTCCTTCTAACCTCCAAGCTGTCTTTGTTCATTCCTGGGCGTAGGCTGAACTAACTTTGGGAGAAACTTAGCTTGTAGTTTACAGTTTAAACAAAGACGGTAACAGCCCTTTCCCAAAGCAAACCTCCTTCTTGCCTAACATTAGCCACAGGATTAGAAATTACGGTTTAGGAGCCATGCAGCTGGAGGCTACAAGATTCTGACCCTCCCTAAACTGCTCCTAAGATCAGCGCTTGAGATATTTTGCAGACCCTGCACTTGATGGATCAGCTGGCACCACCCAGATGGATAAACAGGCTCGTCAGATCTTGTGGCCCCCACCCAGGAACTGACTCAGTGCAAGAGGAAAGACAGCTTTGACTTGCTATGATTTCATCTCTGACCAATCAGCATCCTGGCTCACTGGCTTCCCCCCACCAACCAAGTTATCCTTAAAAACTCTACTCCCTTGCAGGATGCGGGTGGCTCACACCTGTAATCCCAGCACTTTGCGAGGCTGAAGCAGGTGTATCACGAGGTCAGGAGATCGAGACCATCCTGACTAACACGGTGAAACCCCCTCTCTACTAAAAATACAAAAAATTAGCTGGGCATGGTAGCATATGCCTGTAATCCCAGCCACTAGGGAGGCTGAGGCAGGAGAATTGCTTGAACCTGGGAGGTGGAAGTTGCAGTGCTCCGAGATTGTGCCACTGAACTCCAGCCTGGCAACAGAGCTAGAGTCTGTCTCCAAAAAAAAAAAAAAATCAACTTTATCGGGGGGTATAATCCACATACAATTAAAGGTTCACATTCTAAGAGTTCAGTTCAGTGAGTTTTGACAAACGTACAAACCCATTTATCCACTCCCAATCAACACAGAGCATTTCTATCGCCCAAAAGTTATCTCCCGCTCTTTCCCATTCAAACCCCACCCCAGGCCAAAAGTGATCTGATTTCAAGGCTATCAATGAGTTTGCATCTTCTAGAATCCCACAGAAGTGGACTCTGCAGCCGGGTCTCTTCGTTTGCGTCTTGGTTTGGGCCCATGTGCACTCATCCCTCTGGCTGTTTCCCGTGGCTGAGCGAGATCCATCCTTTCCCGTGACTGAGTGGGGGGGCCATCCTCTCCCTTGGCTGAGTGGGATCCATCCTTTCCCGTGGCTGAGTGGGGGGCCATCCTTTCCCGTGGCTGAGTGGGGGTCATCCTTTCTGTGGCTGAATGGAGGGCCATCCTTTGCCGTGGCTGAGTGGGGGTCATCCTTTCTGTGGCTGAATGGAGGTCCATCCTTTGCCGTGGCTGAGTGGGGGTCATCCTTTCTGTGGCTGAATGGAGGGCCTTCCTTTCCCATGGCTGAGTCGGTGGGGGGGCATCCTCTCCCGTGGCTGAATAGGGGGATCCATCCTTTCCTGTGACTGAGTGGGGGTCATCCTTTCTGTGGCTGGAGGGCCATCCTTTCCCGTGGCAGAGTGAGGGGCCATCCTTTCCTGTGGCGGAGTGAGGGGACATCCTGTCCCATGGCTGAGCAGGATCCATCCTTCCCGTGGCTGAGTGGGGGTCCATCCTCTCCCGTGGGTGAGCGGGCGTCCATCCTCTCTCGTGGCTGAGTGGGGGCCATCCTTTTCCATGGCTGAGTGAGGGCCATCCTTTCATGTGGCTGAGAGGGATCCATCCTTTCCTGTGGCTGAGCGGGATCCATTCTTTCCCGTGGCTGAGTGGAGGCCCATCCTTAGGTACCTCCAGTGAGCAGCCTACATCCTTGGAGGATGGAAAATTGATTTGCCTCTTCACAGACTTCTCTGGTTCTAGCTTTGGGCTATTTATGCGTGAAGCTGCTAAGAACATTTCCCAAATGTGATTTGTATAAATACCTAGGAGTAGGATTCCTAGTGTGAGGTCAGAGTCTGTCTAGCAGCATAAAAACAACCAAAAGATTTTCTGAGCCTCAGGGCACATGGGTGGGGCCCAGAGAGCACCCAGGACCGAAGCTGCCCAGGACCTCCCTCAAGCGCCCCAGGCTGTCCCCACTCCCACTGCTAGGAGCCTGCTCCAGGGCCAAGGGTGAGGCCCACCCTGCCTGGTGGCTCCCTCATGCCCCTCCGGCACCCCCAGGAGTGAGGGTGGGCTGCCAAGCTTCCCTTCCTCCACTTCCTTCTCTAACATGCCCACCCCTCCTTTTTTTTAAACAAAGAGGCTGGAGGCCCTAGGATCCAGCCTGGTGGCTCCGAGATCTACCTAAAGCGCCCTAGTGGAGGACAAAGATTTTTTCAGGAGATCAGAACTCTGACTTCTGCAGCTCTCTGGGGCTGGGCTGTGGAATGGAAGCAGCTTGGGACAGGAAGCGGGTGTGGCTCCTCCTAAAGGAGCTACACGTTGTTTTGTTCTCTTTTTTGACAGACTCTCCCTGTGTCACCAGGCTGGAGTGAGTTACATGATCTCGGCTCACTGCAGCCTTGACCTCCCACACTCCAGCGATCCTCCCACCTCAGCCTCCTGAGCAGCTGGGACTACAGGCGCACGCCACTCCAGCTATTTTTTTTAATTTTTGTGGAGATGGGGGTCTCACTATGTTGCCCAGGCTAGTCTGGAACTCCCAAACTCAATGAATCCTCCCGCCTCGGCCTCTTGAAGTGCTGGGATTACAGGCATGAGCCACCAGGCACAGCTAACTTAATCCTCTGAGAGGTCTTTTTTTTTTTTTTTGAGACGGAATCTCACTCTGTCACCCAGGCTGGAGTGTAGTGATGAGATCTCAGCTCACAGCAAGCCCCGCCTCCAGGGTTCACACCATTCTCCTGCTTCAGCCTCCCGAGTAGCTGGGACTAAGGCGCCGACCACCACGCCTGGCTAATTTTTTGTATTTTTAGTAGAGACGGTGTTTCACCGTGTTAGCCAGGATGGTCTCGATCTCCTGACCTCATGATCCGTCCGCCTCAGCCTCCCAAAGTGCTGGGATTATAGATGTGAGCTACCACACCTGGCCCATCCTCTGAGAGGTCTTCTTATCGTCCCTCCCATTTTCCTGAGGGGATAACAGATGCACAGAGGATCTAGCCGAGGCTCCCTGTGGCACCTGGAGGGGACTCAGGCAAGTTCATGCTCTCAGCTCTCTGACCTGCCCTAGGATTCAACCCACCCAGGTAGGGGAGAATCCGGGTGGCATCTCCAGGCTTTTGGCGCCTATCTGTGACCACTGTTTGGGAAAATGATCTGGAACATGTGAACAATGATGCGGCTCACACTTGGCTGTCACGTGGGAGCCTCATTTACTAGGTCCACCCACGAATTGCTTAATGATCTAGGACAGGCTGGCGTGATGGTTTACCTGTGTAATCCCAGCATGCTGGGAGGCTGAGTTGGGCAGATTGCTTGAGCCCAGGAATTTGAGACAAGCCTGGGCAACTTAGTAAGACCCCGTCCCTACTAAAAATTAAAAATTAGCCAGGCATGGTGGTGCACACCTGTAGTCCCAACTACTCAGGAGGCTGAGTGGGAGGATCACTTGAGCGTGGGAGGTCAAGGCTGCAGAGAGCTGAGACTGTGGCACTGCACTCCAACTCAGGAGGCTAAGTGGGAGGATCACCTGAGCTTGGGAGGTCAAGGCTGCAGTGAGCTGTGACTGTGGCACTGCACTCCAGCTTTCATGACAAAGTGAGACCCTGTCTCACTCTGAAAAAAAAAAAAATCTAGGACAAGAGTCAGCAAACAACCGGGCACAATGGCTCACGCCTGTAATCCCAGCACTTTGAGAGGCCGAGGAGGGCAGATCATCTGAGGTCAGGAGTTCAAGACCAGCCTGGCCAACACGGTGAAACCCTGCCTCTACTAAAAATACAAAAATTAGCCGGGTTTGGTGGTGGGCACCTGTAATCCCAGCTGCTCGGGAGGCCGAGGCAGGAGAATCTTTTGAACCTGGGAGGCGGAGGTTGCAGTGAGCACAGATTGCAGCATTGCACTCCAACCTGGGCAACAGAGAAAAAAAAAAAAAAAAAAAAAAAAATCAGTAAACGTTTTCAGTAAACCTTTCCTGCAAAGGTCCAGGTAGTATATACATCTTCAGCTCTGCAGCCACACAGGCTCTATCGCAACTGCTTAACACTCTGCAATGGTAGTGTAACCGCCCAAGGGGTTCACCTTGCCCACTGCTGAAACAAAGCTGATTCGTGGAGACAGGGGAATTGCAATCGAGAAAGAATAATTGGGACGGGTGCGGTGGCTCGTGTCTGTAATCCCAGCACTTTGGGAGGCCAAGGCAGGTGGATCACCTGAGGTCAGGAGTTCAAGACCAGCTTAACTAACATGGCAAAACCCCGCCTCTACTGAAAATACAAAAATTAGCCGGTCATGGCAGTGCACACCTGTAGTCCCAGCTACTTTGGAGGCTGAGGCAAGAGAATCACTTGAACCCAGGAGCCGGAGGTGGCAGTGAGCCGAGATCGCACCACTGCACTCCAACCTGGGCAACAGAGCAAGACTGTCTCCAAAAACAACAACAACAACAACAACAACACAACAAAAAAGAGTAATTCATGCAGAGCCGGCTGTGTGGGAGACCAGAGTTTTATTATCACTCAAATCAGTTTTCCCGAGCATTTGGGGAGTAGAGTTTTTGTTTTTTCTTGTTGTTTTTTTCACACACAACGTGGGTGAATCTTGAAAACATGATTCTTGTGAAAGAAGACAGACGCAAAAAGACATATTGAGATAAAGGACTAGCTGGATTTCCTAGGCCGACTAAGAATCCCTAAGCCTAGCTGGGAAGGTGACCGCATCTACATTTAAACACGGTGCTTGCAACTTAGCTCACACCCAACCAATCAGGTAGTAAAGAGAGCTCACTAAAATGCTAATTAGGCTAAAACAGGAGGTAAAGAAATAGCCAATCATCTAACACCTGAGAGCACAGAGGGAGGGACAATGATTGGGATATAAACCCAGGCATTCGAGCCGGCAATGGCAACCCCCTTTGGGTCCCCTCCCATTTTATGGGAGCTCTGTTTTCACTCTATTAGATCTTGCAACTGCACATTCTTCTGTTCTGTGTTTGTTACGGCTCGAGCTGAGCTTTCACTTGCCGTCCACCACTGCTGAATGCCACCATCGCAGACTCGCTGCTGACTTCCACCTGTCCAGGTCCGGCAGGGTGTCGGCTGTGCTCCTGATCCAGTGAGGCGCCCATTGCCACCCCCCATCAAGCTAAAGGCTCGCCATTATTCCTGCACAGCTAAGTGCCCAGGTTCATGCTAATCAAGCTGAACACTAGTCGCTGGGTTCCACAGTTCTCTTCCATGACCCACGGCTTCTAAGAGAGCTATAACACTCACAGCATGGCCCAAGATTCCATTCCTTGGAATCAGTGAGGCCAAGAACCCCAGGTCAGAGAACAAAAGGCTTGCTGCCATCTTGAGAGTGGATGCCACAATCTTGGGAGGTCTAAGAACAAGGACCCCCCCCAGTAACATTTTGGTGATCATGAAGGGACCTCCAAAGTGGTGAGTAATATTGGACCACTTTCGCTTGCTATTCTGTCCTATCCTTCCTTAGAATTGGAGGAAAATACCGGGCACCAGTTGGCAGGTTAAAAACACTGGACTTAAGACTCAGGTGTGAGGCTGTCTGGGAAAGGGCTTTCTAACAACCCCCAACCCTTCTGGGTTGGGAGCGTGGTCTGCCTGGAACCAGCTTCCACTTTCTGGGGAAGCTGAAGGCTGATTAGAGGCAGAAAGCTGTCGTCCTGAACTCCCATCATTAGCCTGTTGAGATTATGGTGTGGCCAGAAGTCTCTACTCAACAGTTGTCCATACATGCACCCCTACCTTTCCTTTTGACCCATACTTCCTGGGTCCTGAGCATGAATTTCTTGAAAGTGTAGCCGCAAAATTCTCCTTACTGCTGAATCTACTTCCTCTGATCCCTGCCTCCTAGATACTAATGCTTCAGACTTTCACTTCCTCTCCCAAGTATTAGAGCAGGTTGTATCTCCAAAGGGATCTAAGGAAGCTCTACGCTGTGTCCTTAGGCCCCTAGGCTATGAACCCAGGGAGTCTTGTCCCTGGTGTTCCCCCCAATTTAGGCATACAGCTCTTGACATGGGCAGTTAGGTGGGACCCGCTCCTACCACCCTTGCCAAGGCCTTAGAACTGATAACCCAGTATTTTAACAATTGGAACTGGGTCTACAACAACATAATAGATCAGGATATAAGTAAATTGAGTAAATAAAAGGAAGGTACATATTCCTATAGTGGCAAATGGGGGCAACGAGCGAACGTCCTTCCACTGTTTCCAAAAATCCATCTGCAAAGACAGAAAGGAGAACATAAGAGAGAAAGAAGTAGTAAAGAAAAAACAGTGTACCCTATTTCTTTAAAAGCCAGGGTAAATTTAAAACTTATAATTGATAACTGAAGGTTTTCTCTGTGACCCTATAACACTCCAATACTACTTTGTTGTCATTGTAAATAAGGGTGTAGCCCGAAAGCACTGAGGCCACTGACAACCAGTAGCCTTCCTATCAAAAATCCTTAACCCAGTAACCCCTGGGGGGCCAAATGCATTCAATCTGTAGTGGCAACTGCTTTGCTAACAGAAGAGAGCAGAAAATTAGCCTTTAGAGGAAACCCCATTGTGAGCACACCTCACCAGTTCAGAACTATCCTAAGTCAAAAAAGCAAAAAGGTAGCTTACTAACTCAAAAATCTTAAAGTATGGGGCTATTCTGTTAGAGAAAGATAATTTAATGTTAACCACTGAAAATTCCCTTAACCCAGCAGACTTCCTAACAGGGGATTTAAATCTTATTTACCATACTAAGGTCCGACCAGACCTAGGAGGAACTCCCTTCAGGACAGGACAATAGATGGTTCCTCCCAAGTGATTGAGAAAAAAACACAATGGGTATTCAGTAATTGAGGGAAACTCTGGTAGAAGTAGAGTTAAGAAAATTGCCTAATAATGGGTCTGCTCAAACGTGCGAGCTGTTTGCACTCAGCCAAGCCTGAAAGTACTTACAGAATCAAAAAACTCTATCTCAATCCTGACTCAAAAGGTTACCCACACCCTCTCTGAAATGAATTTGCATAAGAACTGTTGTTTATGGGAGTGCATCTTGATGGGGTAACTGGGGTTTATTATGAAATACTCAGGAACCCAGCCCAGCTCTAGAACTCACCCTTGGGTGTAAAGGCAATGTCGGGCACACTATTAAAGGACCACTAGAATCAATAGCCCGGACCTCTTTCTTTGTGGTCAAGAAAGGTGGGAAAACAGGTGCAGGACCTGCTACGTCGGTGAGTGTAACTAATCCAATAAGCAGAGGTCCGTGGGTGGTTACGCACCCTGGAAAGGAATAAGCATTAGGAACATAGAGGACACTCTAGGACTAACGCTCATCAGAAAATAACCAGGGGTCCTGGCATCCCTATGTTCTTTTTCCAGATAGGAAAAGTTCCCCTAAGGCAAAAACGCTCCTAAGATGTATTCTGGAGAATTCGGCCCAGCCAGAGTGTATGTGCCTTTTTCCCTCTCAGACTTGAAGCAAATTAAAATAGACCTAGGTAAATTCTCAGATAACCCCGATGGCTATATTGATGTTTTATGAGGGTTAGGACAATCCTTTGATCTGACATGGAGAGATGCAATGTTACTGCTAGATCAGACACTAACCCCTAATGAGAGAAGTGCTGCCATTACTGCAGCCCGAGAGCTTGGAGATCTCTGGTGTCTCAGTCAGGTCGATGATAGGATGACAACAGAGGAAAGAGAATGATTCCCCACAGGCCAGCAGGCAGTTCCCAGTGTAGACCCTCATTGGGACACAGAATGAGAACATGGAGATTGGTGCTGCAGACATTTGCTAACTTGTGTGCTAGAAGGACTAAGGAAAACTAGGAAGAAGCCTATGAATTATTCAATGATGTCCACTGTAACACAGGGAAGGGAAGAAAATCCTACTGTCTTTCTGGAGAGACTAAGGGAGGCATTGAGGAAGCATACCTCCCTGTCACCTGACTCTACTGAAGGCTAACTAATCTTAAAGGATAAATTTCTCACTCACTCAGCTGCAGACATTAGAAAAAAACTTCAAAAGTCTGCCTTAGGCCTGGAGCAAAACTTAGAAACCCTATTGAACTTGGCAACCTCCATTTTTTATAATAGAGATCAGGAGGAGCAGGCGGAACGGGACAAACGAGATAAGAAAAAGGCCACCCCTTTAGTCATGGCCCTCAGGCAAGTGGATTGTGGAGGCTCTGGAATACGGAAAGGCTGGGCAAATCCAATGCCTAATAGGGCTTGCTTCCAGTGCGGTCTCCAAGGACACTTTAAAAAAGACTGTCCGAATAGAAATAAGCCGCCCCCTCGTCCACGCCCCTTATGTCAAGGGAATCACTGGAAGACCCACTGCCCCAGGGGACGAAGGTTCTCTAAGTCAGAAGCCACTAACCAGATGATCCAGCAGCAGGACAGGACTGAGGGTGCCCAGGGCAAGCACCAGCCCATGCCATCACCCTCACAGAGCCCCAGGTATGCTTGATCATTGACGGCCAGGAGGTTAACTGTCTCCTGGACACTGGCGCGGCCTTCTCAGTCTTACTCTCCTGTCCCGGACAACTGTCTTCCAGATCTGTCACTATCCGAGGCGTCCTAGGACAGCCAGTCACTAGATACTTCTCCCAGCCACTAAGGTGTGACTGGGGAGCTTTACTCTTTTCACATGCTTTTCTAATTATGCCCGAAAGCCCCACTCCCTTGTTAGGGAGAGACATTCTATCAAAAGCAGGGGCCATTTTACACTTGAACGTAGGAGAAGGAACACCCGTTTGTTGTCCCCTGCTTGAGGAAGGAATTAATCCTAAAGTCTAGGCAACAGAAGGACAATATAGATGAGCAAAAAATGCCCGTCCTGTTCAAGTTAAAGGATTCCACCTCCTTTCCCTGCCAAAGGCAGTAACCCCTTAGACCCGAGGCCAACAAGGACTCCAAAAGATTGTTAAGGACCCAAAAGCCCAAGGCCTAGTAAAAGTATGCAATAGCCCCTGCAATACTCCAATTTTAGGAGTACAGAAGCCCAACAGACAGTGGAGGTTAGTGCAAGATCTCAGGATTATCAATGAGGCCACTGTCCCTCTATACCCAGCTGTACCTAACCCTTATACTCTGTTTTCCTAAATACCAGAAGAAGCAGAGTTGTTTACAGTCCTGGACCTTAAGGATGCCTTTTTCTGCATCCCTGTACATCCTGACTCTCAATTCTTGTTTGCCTTTGAAGAGCCTTCAAACCCAACGTCTCAACTCACCTGGACTGTTTTACCCCAAGGGGTCAGGGATAGCCCCCATCTATTTCGACAGACATTAGCCCAACTTGAGCCAGTTCTCATACCTGGACACCGTTGTCCTTCGGTGCTTGGATGATTTACTTTTAGCCACCCTTTCAGAAACCTTGTGCCATCAAGCCACCCAAGCGCTTTTTTTTTTTTTTTTTGAGACGGAGTCTTTCTCTGTCACCCAGGCTGGAGTGCAGTGGCGTGATCTCAGCTCACCGCAAGCACCGCCTCCCAAGTTCACGTCATTCTCCTGCCTCAGCCTCCCAAGTAGCTGGGACTATAGGCACCTGCCACCATGCCTGGCTAATTTTTTTGTATTTTTAGTAGAGACGGGGTTTCACCGTGTTAGCCAGGATGGTCTCAATCTCCTGATCTTGTGATCTGCCTGCCTCAGCCTCCCAAAGTGCTGGGATTACAGGCGTGAGCCACCACACCCGGCCCCACCCAAGCGCTCTTAAATTTCTTCACCGCCTGTGGCTACAAGGTTTCCAAACCAAAGGCTCAGCTCTGCTCACAGCATGTTAAATACTTAGCGCTAAAATTATCCAAAGGCACCAGGGCCCTCCGTGAGAAACGTACGCAGCCTCTACTGGCTTATCCTCATCCCAAAACACCAAAGCAACTAAGAGGGTTCTTGGCATAACAGGCTTCCACCAAATATGGATTCCCAGGTACAGTGAAATAGCCAGGCCATTAGATACACTAAATAAGAAAACTCAGAAAGCCAATACCCATTTAGTAAGATGGACGCCTGAAGCAGAAGCAGCTTTCTGGGCCCTAAAGAAGGCCCTAACCCAAGCCCCAGTGTTAAGCTTGCCAATAAGCTTATATGTTTCTTTATATGTCACAGAAAAAACAGGAATAGCTCTAGGAGTCCTTACACAGATCCGAGGGACCAGCTTGCAACCCGTGGCATACCTGAGTAAGGAAATTGATGTAGTGGCAAAGGGTTGGCCTCATTGTTTACGGGTAGTGGCAGCAGTAGCAATCTTAGTATCTGAAGCAGTTAAAATAATACAGGGAAGAGATCTTACTGTGTGGACATCTCATGATGTGAATGGCATACTCACTGCTAAAGGAGACTTATGGCTGTCAGACAACCGTTTACTTAAATATCAGGCTCTATTACTTGAAGGGCCAGTGTATGACTGTGCACTTGTGCAACTCTTAACCCAGCCACATTTCTTCCAGACAATGAAGAAAAGATAGAACATAACTGTCAACAAGTAATTGCTCAAACTTGTGCCGCTCGAGGGGACCTTCTAGAGGTTCCCTTGACTGATCCCGACCTCAACTTGTATACAGATGGAAGTTCCTTTGTAGAAAAAGGACTTCAAAAAGCGGGGTATGCAGTGGTCAGTGATAATGGAATACTTAAAAGTAATCCCCTCACTCCAGGAACTAGCGCTCAGCTGGCAGAACTAATAGCCCTCACTCGGGCTCTAGAATTAGGAGAAGGAAAAAGGGTAAATATATATACAGACTCTAAGTATGCTTACCCAGTCCTCCATGCCCACACAGCAATATGGAGAGAAAGGGAATTCCTAACTTCCGAGGGAACACCTATCAAACATCAGGAAGCCATTAGGAGATTATTATTGGCTGTACAGAAACCTAAAGAGGTAGCAGTCTTACACTGCTGGGGTCATCGGAAAGGAAAGGGAAATAGAAGGGAACCACCACGCAGATATTGAAGCCAAAAGAGCCGCAAGGCGGGACCTTCCATTAGAAATGCTTGTAGAAGGACCCCTAGTATGGGGTAATCCCCTCCGGGAAACCAAGCCCTAGTACTCAGCAGGAGAAATACAATGGAGAACCTCAGGAGGACATAATTTCCTCCCCTCAGGATGGCTAGCCACCAAAGAAGGGAAAATACTTTTGCCTGCAGCTAACCAATGGAAATTACTTAAAACCCTTCACCCCACCTTCCACTTAGGCATTGATAGCACCCATCAGATGGCCAAATCATTATTTACTGGACCAGGCCTTTTCAAAACTATCAAGCAGATAGTCAGGGCCTGTGAATTGTGCCAATGAAGTAATCCCCTACATTACAGGCCATACATTTTAATCCCTGTATCTTTAACCTCCTTGTTAAGTTTGTCTCTTCCAGAACTGAAGCTGTAAAACTACAAATCGTTCTTCAAATAGAGCCTCAGATGCAGTCCATGACTAAGATCCACCACAGACCCCTGGATCGGCCTGCTAGCCCATGCTCCAATGTTGATGACATTGAAGACACCCCTCCTGAGGAAATCTCAACTGCACAACCCCTACTATGCCCCAGTTCAGCAGGAAGCAGTTACAGTGGTCGTCGGCCAACCTCCCCAACAGCACTTGGGTTTTCCTGTTGAGAGGGGGGACTGAGAGATAGGACTAGCTGGATTTCCTAGGCCGACTAAGAACCCCTAAGCTTAGCTGGGAAGGTGACCGCATCCACCTTTAAACACGGGGCTTGCAACTTAGCTCACACCCACCCCGTCAGGTAGTAAAGAGAGCTCACTAAAATGCTAATTAGGCTAAAATAGGAAGTAAAGAAATAGCCAATCATCTATCACCTGAGAGCACAGGGGGAGGGACAATGATCGGGATACAAACCCAGGCATTCGAGCCGGCAACGGCAACGGCAACTCCCTTTGGGTCCCCTCCCATTTTATGGGAGCTCTGTTTTCACTCTATGAAATCTTCCAACTGCACACTCTTCTGCTCTGTGTTTGTTACAGCTCGAGCTGAGCTTTTGCTTGCCATCCACCACTGCTGCTTGCTGCCATCGCAGGCCCGCCGCTGACTTCCACCCCTCTGGATCCGGCAGGGTGTCGGCTGTGCTCCTGATCCGGCGAGGCGCCCATTGCCGCCCCCGATCGGGCTAAAGGCTCGGCATCATTCCCGCACGGCTAAGTGCCCGGTTCTTCCTAATCGAGCTGAACACTAGTCACTGGGTTCCACGGTTCTCTTCCGTGACCCACGGCTTCTAAGAGAGCTGTAACACTCACCCCATGGCCCAAGATTCCATTCCTTGGAATCCGTGAGGCCAAGAACCCCAGGTCAGAGAACAAGAGGCTTGCCGTCATCTTGGAAACAGCCCACCACCATCTTGGGAGCTCTAAGCACAAGGACCCCAACCCCACCCCCCCGTAGCAATATGACGTATGACACCACTTATATGAGATGCCCAGAACAGGCAAATCCACAGAGATAGGAAGTGAGGCCGGGTGCAGTGGCGCATGCCTGTGATCCCTGCACTTTGGGAGGCCAAGGCAGGAGGATCGCTTGAGCTCAGGAGTTTGAGCCTGCAGTGAGCCATGCCTGCACCACTGTGCTCCAGCTTGGGAAAAAAAGTGAGGCCCTGTCTAAAAAAGTAATAATGAAAATTAAAATAAAGTGGTTGTCAGGGCCTGGGGGGCAGCGCTTAAGGAGTGACTGCGAATGGGTGTGCAATATCCTTTTGGGTGATGAAACGTTTCGGAGCTGGCGTAAGGAGGTGGTTGCACAGCACTGTGCACTGCGGCTGTGTTGTGCACTTCATAATGTTTGATTTTGTGTCATGTGAGTCTCACTGAAATAAAAAAGGACGTGAGGAGGGGGAAGAAGGGAAAGGGGAGGACAAGAGCACAAAGGGTGCATAGGAAGCTTTTGCTAAAGTCACTTTTCCTGAACACCATTGCCCGGTAGTGTGGGAGTCCCGCCAGCCTCTCCACCAGGCCCGGGTGAGGGTGGGACGGAGGAGGCTGGGAGCTGTGGCCAGTGTGGCCTGAAGACAGTGGGAGACAGGAACTGCTAGGGCCAGGGACCCAAGCTTTATCCAGCATCTTCCCAGCCCAGAGAGCTCCAGCCCTTGAACTTCAGCAGCTCCCAATGAGGCCCGAGCTGGCCAGGAGCCTGCAGCCGGCCAGACTGGTTCCTGCAGAGGCCCTTAGAGTGCCCCAGGGACTTTGCAGCTTGCCTGTGACTCAGCCTGACACAAGCGGTAGCCGGCCCCATGATGGGACAGACAGGTCACCAGCCTCACAGCACGTCTGGAAGGCAGGCAGAGCCGCCACAGGCAGGAGAATCCTTGCAGGGCTGAGTCAGGGCCGGGGCAGGCTCCTGCTCCCCACGCCTCTGCTCTCCAACGTGGAATCCTCCAACATCCTCAATGCCCTGGTTCCACCAAGTAGGCGGGCAAACCTGCCCTCCCCGAATCTGCCCATCTCTGTAAATGGTGCAGTTCTACCCAAGGCCCAACACCCAGGTGAGTCTCCTGAGCTCACGCCCTCCCTCCTCCCCAACATCCAGCCCAAATGTCCATCTCCTTCACCTCCCTTCCCTAGTCCTGCCCTCCTGTCTCCATCCCCCGATCACTGCGTCTGAGCCCCTGTCATCTCTGACCTGCACCAACCCCAGACCCCTAATGGGGGCAGCCCCTTCTTTCCTCCCCATCCCCTGCACCTGGCAGCCGCGGGGCCTTTGCACTGACAGGCTCTTTGCCACTGGAGAACACGCCCTCTCAAGGCTCTCCCTGATGCCCCCTAGTCAAGTGCTGACACCAGGGGTCCATGGACCAAGGTTGGCTGCAAGGTTGGCCACTGGGTGCCTGTGAACGTGCCTGGGGGGTCACCTCTTCCTTTTTGCTAACCTCCAGCAGAAATGTAGTATTTCCTTCACTGATCCTCCCCAGGCATCATCCAAAAAAGGATACCTTGGTAGCACAACCACTGGGTTTTTTTGGTTTTTTTTTTTGAGACGGAGTCTCACTCTGTTGCCCAGGCTGGAGTGCAGTGGTGCAATCTCTGCTCACTGCAAGCTCCGCCTCCTGCGTTCACGCCCTTCTCCTGCCTCGGCCTCCCTAGTAGCTGGGACTACAGGCGCCCGCCACCACGCCCGGCTAATTTTTTTGTATTTTTAGTAGACACGGGGTTTCACCGTGTTAGGATGGTCTCGATCTCCTGACCTCGTGATCCACCCACCTCGGCCTCCCAAAGTGCTGGGATTACAGGCGTGAGCCAGCACACCCGGCCACACTGTTGGATTTAAAAACCATGGCCGGGCCCAGCGGCTCACATCTGTAACTCCAGCACTTGGGAGGTCGAGACAGGAGGATTGTTTGAGCCCGGGAGTTCAAAATCATCCTGGACAACATAGGGAAACCCCATCTCTACAAATAATTAAAAAATTAGCCTGCTGTGGTGGTGCTTCTGTGGTCCCAGCTACTTGGGAGGCCGAGGCAGGAGGATCGCCTGAGCCTGGGAGGTCGAGGCTGCAGTGAGCTGTGATCACACCACCGCATTCCAGTCTGGGTGACAGAGTAAGACCCTGTCAAAAAAAAAAAATCAATTTATGATGTTCATAGCAGTACTATTCATAATAGTAAAAAACTAGAAAAGAGGCGGGCATAGTGATGGGCACCTGTAATCCCAGTGCTTTGAGAGGCTGAGGCAGGAGGATTGTTTGAGCCCAGGAGTTTGAGACCAGCCTGGGCAATGTAGTAAGAACCTGTCTCTGCACAAAACAGAGAACTAGCCTGGAATGGTGGGGTGCACCTGTAGTCCTAGCTACTCAGGAGGCTGAGATGGGAGGATCACTTGAGCCTGGGAGGTGGAGGCTGCAGTGAGCTGTGATCCTGCTGCTGCACTCCAGCCTGGGCAACAGACTGAGACCCTGTCTAAAAAAAAAAAAAAGGTGGAAAGATCCCAATCCTCAGTTATATTTTTCTGCAGTGGAGTATTATGCAGCAGCAAGAAAAATGCATGGGCCAGATGGAGTGGCTCATGGCTGGGCATGGTGGCTCACGCCTGTAATACCAGCACTTTGGGAGGCCAGGAGGGTGGATCATTTGAGGTCAGGAGTATGAGACCAGCTTGACCAACATGGTGAAACCCTGTCTCTACTAAAAATACAAAAATTAGCCGGGCACGGTGGTGTGTGCCTGTAATCCCAGCTACTCAGGAGGCTGAGGCAGGAGAATTGCTTGAACCCGGGAGGCAGAAGTTGTAGTGAGCTGACATCACGCCACTGCACTCCAGCCTGGTGACAGAGCGAGACTCCGTCTCTAAATAAATAAATAAATAAATGCATGAATAACAGCTTCCTGCAATCACAGGATGCTTCTGAGGTGACATCATGCTGAGTGGGAAAAAGTGAACCCAGGAGATGGCAGTGGGTGTGACATCCTTTTTACAAAGTTAAAAACAATTAAAAACTAAACACGACACCGTGATGCACCTGTGATGGATACGTGTGGCATGCCCCTAGGGCTAAACCTTCAACACAGGAAGGCAAGGGACGGCAGCACAAATCAAGGACAGTGGCCGCCTGGGGAGGGAGCGAGGGTTTAGAAGGCGCAGAGGCAGATGGCAGCCATGGTTAACATCGAGTGGGCTGCTGAACCCACGGATTTTCATTATGCTACAAATCAAACAAGTCCAGGCAGTGGGGCGCGGTGGCTCACGCCTGGAATCCCAGCACTTTGGGAGGCTGAGGCGGGCGGATCACTTGAGGTCAGGAGTTTGAGACCAGCCTGGTCAACATGGTGAAATACTGACTCTACCAAAAATACAAAAATTAGCCGGGTGTGGTAGCCTGTAATCCCAGCTACTTGGGAGTCTGAGGCAGGAGAATCACTTGAACCCGGGAGGTGGAGGTTGCAGTGAGCCGAGATCGCGCCATTGCACCCCAGCCTGGGCGACAGAGCAAGACTTTGTCACACAGAAAAAAAAAAAAAAAGAAAAGCAGCCCAGGCTGATGCTGAGAGTGTGCCCAGAACCAGGATTTACATCCATCCAAGGGATGCACCTGAAGTTTGGTTCCAGTGAATTGTTTTTTTCCAAGGAACAATTTGTATAACCATATGGAGACATTTTTGTTTTCTGATACACTGCAGACTTGGAAAAGGAAGGTCACCGGTCACACATCCTATGGCTGTGTTGACGTGAAATATCTAGAATACCTACATCCATAGAGACACAAAGATAAGTGGCTGCCAGGGCCTGCGGGGTGACAGTGACCAGGTTTCTTTCTTTCTTTTTTTTTTTTTTGAGACGGAGTCTCGCTCTGTCCCCCAGGCTGGAGTGCAGTGGCGCGATCTCGGCTCACTGCAAGCTCCGCCTCCCGGGTTCACGCCATTCTCCTGCCTCAGCCTCCCGAGTAGCTGGGACTACAGGCACCCACCACCATGCCCGGCTAATTTTTTGTATTTTTAGTAGAGACGAGGTTTCACTGTGTTAGCCAGGATGGTCTAGATCTCCTGACCTCGTGATCTGCCCGCCTCGGTCTCCCAAAGTGCTGGGATTACAGGCGTGAGCCACCGCGCCTGGCCGACAGTTACCAGCTTTCTTTTCCGGCGCATTTTGAACTAGATCGAGGTGGTGATCGTGAAACACACTGAATGCGCTCGGTGCCACTGAGTTGGATGCTTAAAATGGGTAATTTTATATTATGTGAATCTCACCTAAAAAAACAGAAGGATTTTGAGGAGGGGTGGGGGAATCTGACTGTGGGCTCTGAGATGGGAGACCTCACTCACTGCTGGGGGGTACAGAGAATGTGCACAAGAAAGGGAGGCTGGGGGGAGCTCACACGTGGGCCTGGCAGAGCTGGGGTTCCCGGCAGTGGCCCTTGCCCACCTGCTGTGCCGCCCCTGCAGGGACCTGGGATGTGGTCCAGCCTTGGGGAAGGGGGCAGTGGCGGATCCCAGCCTTCTGAGGTGGGGGCGGGGGGACTCCTGCTCCGGGATCGGGCCAGGCTGTGTCTGGGCGGCCACACCCAGCGCACCTGCTCCTCACACCTGTGGGCATCCCGGGCCGGCTCCCCCTGTCTTTCCCACTGTGGGCCGTGAGGCCTGGGCCACTTCCCTTTGCCCTTCTCACACCGCTGCCCTCCTGGTGGATTGGGCCGTGGCACCAGCGTGCATCCAGCCTTCCCACCGCTGGCCTGTGGGTATCCTGCCCTTCCTGCAGGAGCCAGCCTGGCCTCAGCACCCCGTGGAGGGTGCAGGCGTCCCGGGCTGCAGCTCTGAGCTTGGCCTGTGGCTGCTTGGCCCTGCTGTGGCCCTGCTGTGGCCCTGCTGAGGGTCAGATGCCCGGGCCCTGGACCTGAATGGGAACCATTCTCAGCTGCACCCCAGTCCGCGCACATGGCCATGGGGCAGGGGACAGACCTGCATGGGGCTGAGTGGCTGCGGCTCCTGGAGACCCTGGAGGGAACCCCATGGGCTGCCTCGAGGATGGAGGATCTGATGCCACAAAGGGCTCAGAGCCAGGCCTGCAGCCTGGCCAGCAAGTGACTCAGCTGCGGCCCTGCCAGCCACAGGCCTGGGTGGGCTCATGTCCGTTCCCTGGTTCAGCACCCACGACGTAACTTCTAACCATCCTTCCATGCCCACCACACACCTCGGGCCAAGCTCAGTCATGTGAGCTCCCACCTCAGCCCTGCCAGGCTCATACTCCGCTGGAACCGCACAAGGCTGGCACTCTGTGACTTTAGGATTCAGCCGGATGTCCCCTCCTAAGGGGCTGTCCCTGATCACCTAAACCAAAGCCACGCCTCCCGGGCCCCTGTACTCCTCATCTTCCCCGGCCCACATGGCTTCAAGCTTCCATCACAGGACAACTGGCCCTGATGTTCACTCACAACGTGGAGGAAATAGGAAGCCACTGTAGCTCAAGAGGTTTACACAACTCACGTGGCCCTGGATGGGGTAATCGTTCAAACGAATCCATGTAAAGATATTTTGTGGGGACGGGACACATTTCAATATGGATGGGTCTCACACGACCTTACAAAATCATTGTGTGTGGGGATGGGACACATTTCAATATGGATGGGTCTGACACAACATTACAAAATCATTGTGTTTTTGGTGTTTTTTAGATAAGGGGTCTCACTATGTTGCCCAGGCTGGTCTTGAACCCTAGGCTCAAGCGATCCTATAGTCTCAGTCTCAGAAAGTGCTGGGATTCCAGGCATGACCCATGGTGCCTGGGCCGGAATTGTTAATTTTGTCAAATGTGATCGTGATATTGTTATGTAGGAAAATGTGCACCTTCTTAGAGAGAGAGAGAAAATATTTAGGAGAGACATGTCATGATATCTGTTTTTATTTCAAAATTGCTATAACAAGCACAAAAATAAATAAAGCAACATCCAAAGCCCTCACAATGCTGGAATCTAGGTGCGGTGCTTATAAAAGGCTGTTCATTCAACTACTTTCTTTTAAAAAAAATTTCTTTTGAGACAGGGTCTCACTCTGTTGCCCCAGGCTAAAGTGCAGTGGAGAAATCATAGCTCACTGCAGCCTCCAACTCCCAGACTCAAGCGATCCTCCTACCTCAGCCTCCCTAGTAGCTGGGACTACCAGTGCACACCACCATGCCCGGCTAATTTTTGAATTTTTTTCACAGACGGGATTTTGCCATGTTGCCCAGGGTGGTCTTACACTCCAGGGCTCCAGTGATCCACCTGCCTCAGCCTCCCAAAGTGCCGGAATTACAGTCCACTCCTTTTTTTTTTTTTTTTTTCTGAGACAGAGTCTTGCTCTGTTGCCCAGGCTGGAGTGCAGTGGCGTAATCTCAGCTCGCTGCAACCTCCACCTCCCAGGTTCAAGCAATTCTCCTGCCTCAGCCTCCTGAGTAGCTAAGATTACAAGCACCTGCCACCCTGCCTGGCTAATTTTTGTATTTTGGTAGATACGGGGTTTCGCCATGTTGGCCAAGCTGGTCTCGAACTCCTGACCTCAAGTGATCTACCCACCTCAGCCTCCCAAAGTGCTGAGATTACAGGTGTGAGCCACCGCGCCAGGCCCAGTCAACTACTTTCTTTTTTCTTTTTTCTTTTTTTTGAGACGGAGTCTCTCGCTCTGTCGCCCAGGCTGGAGTGCAATGGCTTGATCTTAGCTCACTGCAACCTCCACCTCCTGGGTTCAAGCGATTCTCCTGCCTCAGCCTGAGTAGTTGGGATTACAGGCGCCCACCACCACGCTTGGCTAATTTTTGTATTTTTTAGTAGAGATGGGGGTTTCACCACGTTGGCCAGGCTGGTCTCGAACTCCTGACCTCAGGTGATCTGCCCGCCTCGGCCTCCCAAAGTGCTGGGATTACAGGTGTGAGCCACTGCACCCAGCCAAGTCAACTCCTTTCTAAGCTTGAAAATTTTCGTGAAGAAGAAATACTGTATATGAGAAAAGAAAAAAGAACATACTGGGAATTCCTGTATGTTTACTTAAATAATCTTCTCAGACCTTTTTCTTTATTGCTATGTAATACATACATAATAATATACATAGCACATATAAACAGCATAATTAAATAAGGAACACCCTGTAAATCACCACCTCACCCAAAACTAAGAACATCTCCAATTTATTTTTTCTGTTTGTTCTGAGACAGGGTCTCGCTCTGTCGTGCAGGCCGGAGTGCAATGGCAGGATCTTGGCTCACTGCAGCTTCCACCTCCCTGGCTGAAGCAATTCTCCCATCTCAGCTTCCTGAGTAGCTGGGACTACAGCGTGCACCACTATGACTGGCTGTTTTATTTTTATTCTTACTTTTTGTAGAGATTGGGGGCGGGGGGGGTGGTCTCACTAAGTTGCCCAGGCTGGTCTCGAACTCCTGCCTCCAGCGATCCTCCCACCTCAGCTTCTTCAAGTGCTGGGGTTACAGGTGTGACCACCGCGCCCGGCCCAGTCATTTTCATTGTCATCTGTGGTCCTCCCATCCCATCCTCCCAACCTCCCCAACCAGGCTACTCATGCCTGAGTTTTGCGCTTATTATTCCTTTGTTTTTTGTTATTTCTACTGAAGTGTAACCGATTCTCAGTCAAGTGCACTAATATGAAGGGCACAGCCTGATTCATTTTTGCTCACATGCACACCTGTGTCACCACAGCCCCTCAAGATGTAGGGCATCTCAGACCCTAGGAAGCTGGCAGGTGCCCCGTCGTTCCTGACGAGTGAGTCACTGTCCTGATCTCAGCCTCTGGACATTAGCGTGCCCATCCCCGGACTGCACATAAATGGAGTCAGACAGGACTCACCCTGTGTCAGCTGCGAGACTCCCCGCTGACACTGCATCATCTCCTTGCTTCTCACTAAACAGTCTTAGCGCGTATGTGCGTGTGTATACCTAGAAGCTATCTTAGCACGTATGTGTGTGTATACCTAGAAGTGATCTTAGTGCATATGTGCGTGTGTATACCTAGAAGCTATCTTAGCACGTATGTGTGTGTATACCTAGAAGCGATCTTAGTGCGTATGTGCATGTGTATACCTAGAAGCTATCTTTTCCAGCTTTGCTTTTTTTTTTTTTTTTTGAGACAGTCTCACTCTGTCGCCCAGGATGGAGTGCAGTGGTGGGATCTCGGCTCACTGCAAGCTCTGCCTCCTGGGTTCACGCCATTCTCCTCCCTCAGCCTCCCGAGTAGCTGGGACTACAGGCGCCTGCCACCACGCCTGGCTAATACGGGGTTTCACCATGTTAGCCAGGATGGTCTCGATCTCCTGACCTCGTGATCCACCCGCCTCAGCCTCCCAAAGTGTTGGGATTACAGGCGTGAGCCACCGCACCCGGCCTGCTTGTTTTTAAGCTTTATAAAAATAGCACCATAGTATAGAAAAAAAAACACCTGTGTTTCACAGGAAAACTATGCATTTTAAATCAGAGCAGGTACTCCAGGGCTGTCAGATTCTAGCTTTTCGTTGTCTTTGAGCTGTTGTACATCACGTTGTAGGCTGAGGCAACTGACAGACAGAAATTCTTTCTTATCCACCAGGTTCCATTGTCTTTCCTCCCACCTCTTAGGAAAAAAAAAAACAGATTTTCCTGCATTTACATATTCATTTTAATATTCTGTTGTTTTTTTTTCTTTTTCTTTCTTTTTTTTTTTTTTGTTTTTTTTTGAGACAGGGTCTTGCTCCGTCACCCAGGATGGAGTGCAGTGGTGCAATCACAGCCCACTGCAGCCTTGAACTCCCAAGACTCAAGCCATCCTCCCGCTTCCACCTCTCAAAGTGCTGGGATTACAGGCTTCTTGTGTGAATTGCCTGCTCATGTTCCAGCAGGAAGCCGGGATGGAGGAGGAGCCACCCCTGGGGGGTCCAGGTTGCTGCTGTGCCCTGTGCCTGGAACAGAGTAGGCGCTCCGCCAATAGCTGTGAGGCCCAGGCATATGCCAGGGGTTGCCGTCAAAGGCATGCAGGTGCTAACAGGCCGGGGCCCCGGGCGCTGAGGTCTCCGACGTGGGGTGGAGGACAGCTCATTCGCAGCGGTAAGGGGACTCAACTCCTCGCCGGGGCTGCCCGACAGACAGCCAGGGTGGATTTCTTCACCGTTTCTTCTCAGACACGCTGGTGTTATTTCTGGTTCATGCATGCTGGGAAAGATGTCCCTGGATTGTCCCCGCCCCTATTTCACCTGCGGCAACAGATGGGGACATGGCATCGTTATGACCCTGTGAAATAAAACAGACATCTGTCCTGGCCGGCTGCTGTGGAAATGCTCTGTTTTCCAAATGCACAAAGCACTCATCTCAGATGCTCTGAGTGGGCCGTCTTGATCTTGCTGACAGGTTAGAAGCTTTGGTGCAGGCGCTGAATCGACCCACCTAAGATGCCAGCCCTGGCAGGGGGTTGCTTGGCCACAGAGCAGCAGGGGCCTGCGCGGTCCTGTGTTCCCCTCTATGCTCTCGGCCCAAGTGTCCCCTCCTCAGACCCCAGCCACTCTCGTGACCCCTAGGAGCCAGGTGCAGCCCGACCTCACTCCTGAGTCCCTCGCCCAGGCAACCTCTGGACCTATAGGAACACAGGGGTGAGGGTGGGGCCTTTGGAACCCCTTCACCTCCCAGGCCCCCAGACAGCCTCCAGGCCTGGGGTCTCACACCCAAGTGCCTTCAGAGAGGAGGAGAGCTTGCGAAATCCCTCCAGCCCCAGGCAAAGGCGGTTCTGTGCATTTATGCTTTTGAGCAACAAAGCCGCCCCCGCAGGCTCGTGGGTAAAAACTCCCCTGCTCCAGCCTAGAGGTCTGGGGTCAGCTGGGGAGGCCCAGCCCCTTCACCCCTCCCTCCCCACTTCACCCTCCCTCCCCTTTCACCCTTCCCTACCCCCTTCACCCCTCCCCCGACCCTTCACCCCTCCCTCCCCAGGCACGACTGCTGAGTCAGCAAAGACAGCCGGGTGTGTGGCAGCCCTAGTCATCATCCCCCAAACCTGGCAGCAACCGGGACGCCCTGCAGTCGGTGAGTGGGTGGGTCAGCGGGGTGCATCCAGACAGTGGGACTCTATTCAATACCAAGAGGAAAAGAGCTTCCAAACTCTGAAGACACAGAAGAAATGACAATGCACGTTACTAAGTGAAAGAAGCCGCCTGCAAAGGCCACAGACGATGATTCCAACTGTCGGACAAGCTGGGAAAGGCCAAACCCTGGAGGCAGGAAAAGAGCAGTGGTTGCCAGCGGGTGGGATGAATAGAGGGGTGAATGGGAGATATGGGGACAGTGAAACTGCCCCATGTGATGGCACCACGGTGATCTGTGTCCTCTTCCATTTGCCCAAACCCACAGCATGCACAGCGCCAAGAGTGAGTCCCAACGTGAACTGCGGACTCCGGGTGATAACGACTGTCAGAGCAGGGCTACCGTGGGTGGCCAGCTGATGGCGGGGGGCTGTGTGTGCGGGAGACACACGGAACTCCCTCTACCTTCTGCTCAATTTTGCAGTGAAACCAAAACTGTTCTAAAAAATATAGTCTTAGCTGGTTGCGGTGGCTCACGCCTGTCATCCCAGCACTTTGGGAGGTTGAGGCAGGAAGAACACTTGAGCCCAGGGGTTTAAGACCAGCCTGGGCAACAGAGGGAGACCCCATCTCTAGCAAAATAAAAATAAAAAATTAGCCAGGTGCAGTGGCACAGGCCTGTACAGTCCCAGCTACTCAGGAGGCCAAGGCAGGAGGAGTGCTTGAGCCCAGGAGGTCGGGGCTGCAGTGAGCCATGAGGCTGCCACTGCACTCCAGCCTGGGCAGCAGAGCGAGCCCAGCCCCTGCCTCCAGAGTGCCCCCTGCCCACTGTCACGCTGGCCTCCCCTCCCCACCATCCTCCTGTCGATAACTTGGTGAGGTGCAGGGGGTGTGCCCTGACCCTGGGGACCTGTGGCCTGAGTTTGAATCTTTGCTCTGTCTACTGGAGCTGTGGACCCTGAACTTTGGCCTCTTTTTGTTTCCCCAACCTGAGGCCTTGCACTAGCTGTTCCCTCTGCCCAAGTGCTCACCCCATCATGCAAGTCCTAGCTCAAATGCCACCTCCTCCAGGAAGCCCTCACTGACCACCCAGCTAAAGTGCCCCTACATCCACCTTGACCCCAACTATCTAAGTCTCATGTCAGTTATACCAGAGGTGACTTCCTCACTTGCTCTCTTCTCCCTCCGACTGTCCGATGGCTCCTCAGAGTCCCTGAGATGGCAGGAAAGCCCGGTCCCCTGGCAGCCTTGGATGAGGGGATTCAGAGCCCCTGGCGCACCCCAGACCTGTTCTGGGGCACCTAACCCGGTGGGAGATGGAAGTGCAGGGCCCAGCCCACCCAAGCATCATTGCCAATTCTGGTTCACAAAGCACTCTCCAGCCCCAGCCTGGATGGGTTCTGTGACATGCTGTGCAGCTGAGCTTCGTAGCAATACTTAACTGCTTTCCTTCCAACCTGGGTGCCGTCCACAACACACCCACCATTAACTTGGTTTTTTAGAGGCAGGGTCTTGCTCTGTTGTCCAGGCTGGATCACAGCTCACTGCAGCCTCAATCTCCATGCTCAAGTGATCCTCCCGCCTCAGCCTCCTGAGTAGCTGGGACTACAGGTGCACACCACCACTCCTGGCTAATTTAAATTTTTTTAGGGACAGGGTCTCACCATGTTGCCCAGGCTGGTCTTGAACTCCTGGGCTCAAGTGATCCTCCAGCCTGGGCCTCCCAAAGTGCTGGGTTGAGAGGCGTGAGCCTCCACCATTCACGTATGTGCCAGTAGGAAGCACACAATGTTGCTAGTTGAACTTCTACTCTGTCCATTTTAAGACACATGCTGATTTCACGTGAGAAGATGCGCATCAGAGACATGGTGAACACGGTCAGAACGAGCAACTCCCCTGTTGCATCCACTGTGTGCCTGGCATGGCTCCCCACATGCGTGTGGCTTCCTCCTGCAACCCCACAGACAGGGTAGATGCCACCACACCCAGTTTACAGATCAGAGACACTCGCTGGGCACCACCCTGTGAGTTCATGATAGAAATGCGCCTGATGCTCCAAGCGCCTGTAAACAGACCCTGGGAAGGGAGGGATCGCTGGAGGCTGTGGTCAGGGCTGGGCCCCCAGGCAGGGCAGAGTCCAGGCTGACCGGGGCAGGTCATGCTGCCAGACAGCCGTGGATTGCATCAGGGGCCCGGCTGCCACGGTGGCCTGGAGATCCCCAGGGCGTCCTGGGTGATGCAACCAGGGCGAGGCCGGCCTCAGCCTGCCTTGAGGGGTGCAGGAGCCCCAGAGCCGGGCTCATGCATCCCTGCTCCCTCCCTCCCTCTTCCCTCACATCCCAGGTCCTCCCCAGCCGGGAGACCACCTTTCCTCTGCGCGTCCTTTGGTTTCTCTTTGTGCTTGGGAAACGAGTGTTGTGACAACTAAAAGCTGCTGTGTCACCTCTCCCAGAGGCCAGCCCACCGCTCCGCTGCCTTGTTTAGTGCATTATTATTTAAACAAATGGGCCTGGCTGTGTTCCAGGGAAGGTTGATTGATTCATGCAACAGGCTGCAGGGATCCTCCTGTGGCCCCAGGACCTAGCTTGGCTGAGACCGATTGGATTAGTTTTGATCTTTCTTTCCTTTCTTTCCTTCTTTTCTTTTGTTTTCTCTTTCTTTTCTTCTCTTTCTTTTCTTTCTCTCTCTCTTTCTTTTCTTTCTTTTTAAATGAGTGATTTTTTTCTTTTCCTTTTTTTTTGGAGTCTCGCTGTGTCGCCCAGGCTGGAGTGCAGTGGCGTGATCTCGGCTCACTGCAAGCTCCGCCTCCTGGGTTCACGCCATTCTCTCGCCTCAGCCTCCCATGTAGCTGGGGCTACAGAGGCCTGCCACCACGCCCAGATAATTTTGTTTTTGTACTTTTAGTAGAGACAGGGTTTCACCGTGTTAGCCAGGATGGTCTCCATCTCCTGACCTCGTGATCCACCCACCTCGGCCTCCCAAAGTGCTGGGACTACAGGCGTGAGCCACTGCGCCCGGCCTGTGTTTTATTCTTTTGTTTGAGTCAGAGTCTCTCGCTGACACTCAGGCTGGAGTGCAGTAGCACAATCTCAGCTCACTGCAACCTCCACCTCCTGGGCTCAAGCGATTCCCCCGCCTTAGCTTCCTGAGTAGCTGGGATTACAGGTGCCCACCACATCCAGCTAGCTTGCGTTTGTTTTGTTTTTTTTTGAGATGGAGTTTCGCTCTTGTTGCCCAGGCTGGAGTGCAGTGGCGTGATCTCGGCTCACTGCAACCTCCGCCTCCCAGTTTCAAGCGATTCTCCTGCCTCAGCCTCCTGAGTAGCTGGGATTATAGGCGCTCACCAGCATGCCTGGCTAATTTATTTTTTATTTTATTTATTTATTTATTTTTGAGATGGAATCTCACTCTGTGGCCCAGGCTGGAGTGCAGTGGTACGATCTCAGCTCACTGCAACCTCCGTCTCCCAGGTTCACGCAATTCTCCTGCCTCAGCCTCCCGAGTAGCTGGAATTATAGGCATGTGCCACCACGCCAGGCTAATTTTTGTATTTTTAGTAGAAACAGGGTTTCACCATGTTGGCCAGGCTGGTCTCGAACTCCTGACCTCAAGTGATCCACCTGTCTCAGCCTCCCAAAGTGCTGAGATTACAGGCGTGAGCCACTGTGCCCAGCCTATTCTTTAGTATTTAACAGAATGCAGGACAAGTCACATATCAATGATTCGTTACTTTACACACAGGGAGTCTTCTGTTATACAACTGGTTGTGAACACCCAGAACAAAGCTCTTACAGCCTTTAGATGGCCAAAGAAATTCTCAAAGCCTGGGCATGTCTGAAAAGACTTCAACCACATCTTTTAAAAAACATAGACTCTCAGTCGGGTGCGGTGGCTCACACCTGCAATCCCAGCACTTTGGGAGGCCGATGCGGGCGGATCACGAGGTCAGGAGTTTGAGAATAGCCTGACCAACATGGGGAAACCCTGTCTCTACTGAAAATACAAAAATTAGCCAGGCTTGGTGGTGCGCAGCTGTAATCCCAGCTACTCGGGAGGCTGAGGCAGGACAATCGCTTGAACCCGGGAGGCGGAGGTTGCCGTGAGCCGAGATTGTGCCACTGCACCCCAGCCTAGGTGACAGAGCAAGACTCCATCTGAAACAAAACAAAACAAAAATAACATACACTCTCTCCCCGTTTCAGAGGACTGGGTGGAGGCTATGTCCGCCTCCCCTGGAAGCCCTCAAGGACCCACAGAAGTCTCGAGCCTGCCAGTGTGCAGCGGGGGACACAGATCCGCCCTCTGCACCGGGAGCATCATGTGAAGTCTAAGAAAGCCCTGCAGGACCAGCCGTCTCACACTTGTCGTGGAAAATCCCATCAGCACACCTCTGACTCCCACGTGGGAATCACCAGGCCATCACCATCAAACCGCCCTCCCGCAGGCAAAAACGGCAAACGCAGCCCTCCCATGCTCAAGGGAGGTCTCATCGCTCTGCCATAGTCCTCACAAATCTCCAAATACAACCAAGATGTGTCTCCCTCACAGCCCTCGTCCAAGCCACTGTCTCTCCCTGGCAAATCCCAGCCCTGCACCCTCACTGGCCCCACGTCCACCCATTCTCAGAACGGCAGTCAGATGGACCTGCAGAACCTCCGTCTCATCAGGCCCCACTCTGCCCAAAACCCTCCCGTGGCTCCCCTGAGCCCGCACAGTAAACACAGAAATCCCTGACACCCCAGCGTCTCCTCAGACTCTCCAGAGCACCCAGCACATCCCTGAAGCACCCAGGGCCTCCCCAGAGCATTCAGCACCCAGGGCTTCCTCCGAGCACCCAGCACCCAGGGCCTCCCCAGAGCACCCAGCACCTTCCTAGAGTACCCAGCACCTCCCTAGAGCACCCAGCACCTCCCCACAGCACCCAGCACCGCCCCAGAGCACCTAGCACCACCGCACAGTACCCAGCACCTCCCCAGAGCACTGTTCCAGAGTACCCAGTACCTTCCTAGAGTACCCAGCACCTTCCTAGAGTACCCAGCATCAGGCAGAACACCCAGCATGACCCAGAGCACCCAGGAGCACCTCAGAGTACCCAGCACCTCCCCAGAGCACTCAGAACCTCCCCACAGCACCCAGCATCATCCCCAGAGCACCCAGCACCTCCCCAGAGCATCCAGCACCACCCCAGAGTACCCATCACCTCCCCAGAGCACTGCCTCAGAGTACCCAGCATCTTCCCAGAGCACCCAGAACCGCCCCAGAGTACCCAGCACCTCCCCAAAGCACCCAGCACCAACCCAGAGCACCCACCACTTCCCCAGAGAACTCAGTACCTCTCCAGAGCACCCAGCACCTCCTCACAGCACCCACCACCACCACAGAGCACCCACCACTGCCCCAGAGCACCCAGCACACAGCACCTCCCCAGAGCACCCAGTACCTCCCCAGAGTACCTAGCACCTCCCCAGAGCACCCAGCACACAGCACCTCCCCAGAGCACCCAGCACCTCCCAGAGCACCCAGCGATCTCCAGAGCACCCAACACCACTGGCTGCAGGGCCTGTGTGCAGCCTCCTTCAGCTCCTGCAGGCTCGGCTTCCCTCCTCGACAAACACCGCCCCCCTGCCTCATTTTCCTACCAACATCTGATCACTGCACACTCCACCCACGGGTGACACACTCTCACAGGTACAGCCCCATCTGCTTGGCTGCCTTTTTTCCCCACTGGAATACAGGAAGATTTACAGAAGATTTCACAAGATTAAGGATTTGGCCTGTTTGGTTCAAGGCTGTGGCCCCAGCACCTGGAACAGTGCCTGTGGCTTAATAGGTGTTCGTTGAGCAAATAAAGAGTGACAGAAGGCCGGGCGTGGTGGCTCACACCTGTAATCCCAGCACTTTGGGAGGCCGAGGTGGGTGGATCACTTGAGGTCAGAAGTTCAAGACCAGCCTGGCCAACATGGTGAAAGCTTCTCTACTAAAAATACAAAAATTAGCCAGGCGTGGTGGCCTGTGCCTGTAATCCTAGGTACTCAGGAGGCCGAGGCAGGAAAATGGCTTGAACCCGGGAGGCGGAGGTTGCAGTGAGCCGAGATCACACCACTGCACTCCAGCCTGGGTGACAGAGCAAGGCTCCGTCTAAAAAAAAAGAGTGACAGAAATGCAGGCACCTGCATGGCACCAGCCGAGTGCTGGGAGGAGCCCAGGCCCCATGGAGGCTCCTGCCAGAGCCAGCGCCAACTGCCATACGACAGGAGCAAGCCAGGCCCCCCACCATGGTGCAAGTGCAGGGGAGACCAGCGGCGGAGGCCAGGCAACCTCCAGAGAGAGGGAGGGAGACAGAGAGACAGAGAGAGAGACAGGGACAGGGAGATAGAGAGAGACAGATGCAGAGACAGAGACATAGAGTCAGAGACAGGCAGAGACAAGGAGAGACAGAGACAGAGAGACAGGGAGAGGGACAGAGAGAGAGAGACAGAGAGACAGAGACAGGGAGAGAGACAGAGACAGGGAGAGGGACAGAGATAGAGACAGAGAGACAGAGACAGATGGGGAGACAGAGATATAGAGACAGAGAGGCAGAGGCAAGGAGAGACAGAGACAGAGAGGCACAGAGAGAGAGAGTCAGGGAGAGAGACAGAGATAGAGACAGAGAGACAGAGACAGGGAGGGAGACAGAGAGAGACAGGGACAGGGAGAGAGACAGATGGAGAGACAGAGATATAGAGACAGAGACAGGCAGAGACAAGGAGAGACAGACAGGGAGAGAGACAGAGAGACAAGAGACAGGGAGAGGGACAGAGATACAGAGAGACAAGGAGAGAGAAAGATAGAGACTGAGTTGGAGAGACAGACAGAGATACAGACAGAGACAGAGAGAGGCAGAGACAGAGAAACAGACTGGGGGTGACAGAGCGAGCGAGAAGGCAAGGATCCTGCTGCTGTTAAGTGGAGAAGCCGTGGGGGTCCTGTCCTGCAGTCACGGTGGAAGGACCCTGACCCGGTGGAGGTGGAGAGTGTGGCCAGCAGTGGCTCTGTCTCCTCGGCTCCTCCCATTTCTCAGCCGCAGCGGGGGTCCTGCCTGCCTGGCCTGGGCTCAGGGGGGCGGGGTGCAGAGCCACCCTGGCCCATCACAGCTTGGGGTGAAGCAGCCCAGAGCCAGCCGCCCCGCTGCAGCCACGGCGCCCTAAAAACGGCCCGGGAGCTGGGAGGGGCGGCCCTGGCTTGCGCTGTAGTCACACCTGTGGGTCCAGCTCGGCTGCCCCGGAGCGGTGTGCTCTGGCGTCCTTAGGATTCCCACGAGAGTGTCCTGCTACCTGCGGTCCCTCCGCCTGGGCAAGGGAGTGCTGCTCTCAGCCCGACCTCAGAGTGTGCCCGCTGGCTTCACACTTGGCTCCGCCCCTCCCTGAACACCTGGGCTCGGACAGCTCTCTGCCAGCTCTGGGCCTCAGTTTCCTCATCTGGGAAACAGAAGTAACCCAGTCCCTCCGCTCAGTGTCGCTGCCAGGATTCAGTGAGTTTGCAGTCGCAGATCGCAGGGCAGGCCCGGCATCTTAGCTGTCACTCATGCTGCTTTGGGGTGATCTGCCTCCCGCCAGAGCCTCCTAAGCCCCCACAATCCACTCCCCACAGGGTTTCTGAAGGAGGCCAGGAGGGTGGCAGGGAGGGACAGGTGCGGCTGGGATCTGGGGCCACCCACCCACCGGGCAGCCTTGGCCCATCCACCCTGGATGTTATGCACTGAATGTCTGTGTCTCCTCAGACATCTTTGTGTGTGTGTGTGTGTGTGTGCGTGTGTGTGTGGTTTTTAAGTTTTTAGTAGAGATGGGGTCTTGCTGTGTTGCCCAGGCTGGTCTTGAACTCCTGGGCTCAAGCGATCCTCCTACTTTGGCCTCCAAAAGTGCTGGAATTACAGGCATAAGCCACCGTGCCCGGCCACCAGTCACATTTTGAAACCATGACCGCTAGTGTGATGGTGTTAGGAGGGGGCCTTTGGCAGGCGATTTGGGTTAGATGAGGTCGTGAGGGCGGAGCCCCCACAATGAGATTGGTGCCCTGGTAGGGGGTGAAGGGACCAGCACTTTCTCTCTCGGGCTTGTGAGGACACAGTGAGAAGGTGCTGGCTTTGAACCAGGAAGCGGGCCTCTAAGAACCTGACCCTGCCGGCATCCTGACCTCAGACTCCTGCAGATTGGTGGGAAAGCAAATGCCTGTGTGGAAGCCGCACAGTCTATAGCAGCCTGTCACGGCAAGCTGAGCTAAGACACCGTGCCTCAGTTTCCCTCCCTGTAACACGGCAGCTGGAGAGGGTGTGTCCTGGCCTCAGAGGTCACCCATGTGGAAGCCGCATGGTCTACAGCAGCCTGTCACGGCAAGCTGAGCTAAGACACCGTGCCTCAGTTTCCCTTCCTGTATCATGGGAGCTGGAGAGGGTGTGTCCTGGCCTCGGAGGTCTCCCATGCAGAGGCGTTGTATAGCACCCATGGGGCTGTGTGTTTTTGGTCAAAAGCCTGGGTCACGCTAAGGGCAGCCAGTGCCTTGGCCCGGCCGTGTGGCTCAAGAGAGACCCTGGGCCTCCAGGCTGACCTCCCTGGGGTGGAAGGAAGAAGGGAAGAGGTCCTTGCCCCTCACTGGGGTGGCGTGGGTCCTCTGACCTCCTTCGGAGGGTTTTGACTGTGGCTGTGGGCTGGCGATGCCCTGCCTCCTGGGCCTGGGGGCACAGCTTCTCCAAGTTGGGCCAGCACAGCCTGAGGTATAAGCAGTGACTCTGAAAATCCAGAACGTCACGTGAAGTCTCCAGGTGTTTAGATGGTGACTCAGGCGAAGATGGAAAACTGCCTGCTGAAGACACAGAACCGAGGTCCCATCACGAGGAAGGTGCAGGCGGACAGGCCGGGGGCATGGACCACAGAAGGACGGGCCGGCAGCCCTCATAGGTGCGAGGTCACAGGGGTCGGGGAAGGCCCGGGAGCTGTGCCGGGCCAAAGAAGGCTGCCCTGGGTGAGGTCTGTCCCTGCAGCATCCTCTGATCTGAGATCCACTGGCTGCGTGTCTTTCCCAACTCTGACCTTGGGAGGACACCTGCGTTCCAGGAGACACAGAAGCGAGCTCAGGGTGGTCAGCGCCTCCCAAAGGATGCAGAGGACTCTCATGCTGCGGGTGCAGCTTTCTATGAACATGAGATCCTTTCCACAAAACAACACGCCCTGCCCGCGTGTTCCTCATCCGAGACGCGCAGGACCAGAAAAGTGTTTTGGAGCTCAGATTGTTTGGAGTTTGGACACTATATTTGCATTATACTTACAGGTTGAGCATTTTTCTCTGCTTTTCTTTTTTCAAATACTGCCACTTGGCCAGGTGTGTTGGCTCATGCCTGTAATCCTAGCCTCACCTCAGGGAGGCTGAGGCGGGTGGATCACCTGAGGTCAGGAGTTCGAGACCAGCCTGACCAACATGCTGAAACCCTGTCTTTACTAAAAATACAAAAATTAGCCAGGCGTGGTGGTGCCTGCCTGTAATCCCAGCTACTCGGGAGGCTGAGGCAGGAGAATCACTTGAATCTGGGTGGCGGAGGTTGCAGTGAGCTGAGATCTCACCACTGCACTCCAGCCTGGGCGACAGGCTCTGTCTCAAAAAAAAAAAAAAAAAAAAAAAAAGTGAAATCCCAAATGTTCTGTGTGCACCCCGAGCCCATCAGTGCTCAAAAGGTCTTGGGTTTTGGGGATTTCCGACTTTGAATGTGGGGTCAGGGTAGCCTCAGCTGCATGTGCATATCAAAAGGTGGGGGCTCATGAAATGCGTCATGGGCTGGCGGGGCTCCAGGCCCTGCCCCAGGACCCAGCACGGCCACCCCACTGCCAGAGGGAGGTGGGCTGCAGCATGGAGAGGCAAGTTCAGAGCAGCCCCCCTGCCCCGCCTACGGTTCACCTCTTCACCAGAGATAGGACCGGCAGAAGAGGCTTATGACGGAGAGTTTGGACTTCAAAACCGCAGTGAGCCCTGCCAACGTGAGAGCCCGACTCAGCAGACAAGGCCCACAGCCGGCTTTGCACTGGGGCACGACCCAGGACGTGGGGACCACGGGGCTGGGCCAGCTGCACGGGGGAATTCACCCCACAGGCTGCTGGGCAACAAAGCGTGATGAGGAAACACCACTTGGTGCAGGGCAGAGCCAGTGTCCCCGACAGACAGGAGGGAGGTCGGTCTTTCCACAGACTGGTCTGACAGGCAGGGACTCCTCCTGCTCCAGGGAGCAGATGGTGAACAGGCGGGGGACAGAGGACACGGCTGGACTCCATGAGGATGTGGCCTCTCTTCACGGGGAGGTGGCCCGGCTCCATGAGGCCTGGCCTGGGGCCTGCCTGCCCGGCCCTGGCAGCCTCATCCTGGGATGGGTGCCATCCCTGGGATGGGACAAGGGGGCTGTGGGCTTTGGCTCCTGGGTGCCAGGAAGCCTCATCTGCACCCTGGGTGGCCCCAGCCGCTCCCTATGCTGGGCCTGTGGTCAGGAACTTCCTGCTATGTGGGAGTGAATCCCCCACAGTCCAACGGCCACCTCCTCATCCTCACTGAGTCACGTTTGAGGGGGCACCCGGGCCCTCCACAGCCCAGGGCAGATGCTGGTGAGCCAGAGCCTGAGGCCCCGAACCTGTGGCCCGGGGTGCGTCTGTGCCGCAGAGACCAGAGGACTGTGCACCAGCGGGAGGACTGGGCCCTGCAGAGTGGCATCGGCTGCACCCTCTGAACAAGAGGGTACTGCAGGACAGACGCGTCACTCGCCGGCCAGAGTGGGGGCAGGCTGAGGGACTCCGCTGTGGATCTGGAGGCTGGGAGCAAAGGGAGCAAGTGACAGAGTGGCTGGAGCTAGAATCAGCCCCTTGCAGGGAGCACCCTCCCTCCCTCTTGCGCAGGGAGCACCTACCCTCCCTCTTGGGCGCACCCAGGTCCCGGTGCTCGGCCGGGCATCATGGTCTAGTGCTGCGGGGCAGACAGCGTCCCAAGTGGCTCACCCAACAACTGATGCCTTTCCTCGGGCACCTCCCACACTCAGATCTCACTGGGCCAGCTGGCGCCCCGCCCGCCCGTGATGCCCCTGCCTGTAGCACTGAGGCTCATCCCCCGCTGGGCCTCAACTCTCCCATCTGTGACAGGGGCGTGGGGACTCCTCGGGGCACGAGGACTGGAAGAGACAGCGCGGGACGGGCTGATGAACAAGGAGGAATGCGACTGCCGAGACCTCCTGGGAAGCCCCCACCCCAAGTGCAGGTGCGTGGGCCCCTGGTCAGGGTCAAGCCCCTTGAGGCCCGAGGGTACCCACTCCCATGGCCCTGGAGCACCAGGGAGCCCAGCCGAGCCGCTAGAAAGCAGGGAGAGGTCATGTTGGTCTGGAACGCGTCACAGGGGGGACGTGCCGCGGCACCATGTGGGGGGCTCGTCTGTGGGGAGGGCTGCCCCACTGGGGACCTGGGGACGGAGGCCCTGTGGGCCGGCGGGAGCACCAGGCAGCAGTGTGGGTGGGGTTGGTGGCGCCGGCACAGAGAGGGGTGGGCCCCCAGCCCGAGATGCTCCCTCCAGGGCCGGAGGAGGCTGGCGGCGGTGCGGCCTGACTGGGCACCCTTCTGGAGCGGCCACCCCTCGGCTCGTCAGTCAACACAGTCCCTCACTAGGGGACAGCTCCGTCCTTGCCACCTGAGCCTGCCCAGCCCTGGCGGACAGTGCCCTCTGCTGGCCTTCCGGTGCCAGGGTGGCCCGTCCTCATCCCGCGCCAGCACCTCCCCCAGGGACTCCGGCACAGTCCTTGCCCTCTGTGGCCAGGCTGTCCCACCGCCTCTGTCCTCTCATGGGCTCGCGCTGTGTGTCATAGCGTCAGGGCCTGGGCCGCTGTCCACAGGGCGCCTGGTGACAGTGGCGGCAGCAGCAGCAGCATGGTGGCAGCCACCAGTGGGCCTGGGGCCCCCGGGGGAGAGGATGCCCCAGAGGTGCATGAGCAGACCTCGTAACCGTCCTCCGAGCGGCTCTGGTCATGTTGTCCTGGAGGGGCGCGGGGCCCCTCTGCCGCGTCCACGCCCGCAGCCACAGATCCATCGGCCTGTGAGTCTCCACACACCAGCCAGTCCCGGGCCGTGGACTGTGGGTACCCGGGTGCCACCTCCAGCTCGCCATCCAGCACTTTCCAGTACTCCTGGCCACGGAAGAAGTAGGAGGCACCTGAGAAGAGGAGGGAGAGCTGAGCTCAGGGGAGGGCTGCAGCAGGAGGGGCTCGAGCCGGACAGCGAGGAGGGAGCGTTGGGCTCAGGGAGGGCTGCAGCGGAAGGGGCTCGAGTCGGGCCAGACAGCAGGGGGCTTGCACAAGACTGCAGTGGGGGGTCAGACCAGACGGCTGGTGGGGGGCGGCTCGTGCTAGATGGCAGGGGGTGCCCAGATAATATCTGAGATGGGGTCAGCATCTGCTCAGCTGTGGGCAGCTCTGCAGGCATGGTCACAGGCCTGGGAAGCTCCAGAGGAGCCTGCTGGGGCAGGGGATGGACCAGGAGACCCTCAGAGTCTCTTTCCCTTACTGGATATTTATTGAGGGCCCACTCTGTGCAGGGCTGTTCCAGGTGACAAGGATGCAGCGTTGAAAACAAAACAGAGGATGCTGCCGTCCCTGGAGCTGACCCTGTGGGGAGGTTTCTTCTACACTGTGGGACGTGGCAGGGGTGATGCCCAGGAGGGCGTTTGGCAGGGCTGGGGCCGGCGAGGGAGGGGCTGTGTGGACATCTCAGGAAAGTGTGCCCAGACGAGGCATGGCCAGTGCCAAGGCCCTGGGGCAGGAGCGTGGCTGGGGGAGCAGCAGGGGCGAGGGAGTGCTGAGGGCGGGGAGAACAAGGGCAGCTCGTGGGCCAGGCCTTCGGGGAGCGACTCGGGGACGCCTGCAGGGTCGGCAGCTCCAGGCGAGGGGCTGGGACCCTCAGAGCCCACACCGACCGGGGCCGTCCTCCTTTCAGGGAACCTCTTGGCTGCCCTGTAGTGATGCCCCTCTCCTGGTGGGGAAACCAAGGCCGCATGGCCCGTCCCCCCAGCTGGCACTCACCGTCGGACCAGCGCATGGCGTCGTCCAGCGTGCTGGGGACACCCCTCCACAGGGGGCTCTGGGCGGGGTAGCCGGGGTCCATGTGCCTCGTGTGGTCATCGTAGCGCCAGTACAGCTGGTCCTTAAAGAAATAAGTCCTGTCATTGTGGGCCCAGGAGAAGGCAGCGTCGATGCCGCCAGGCGGGAGGCTGAAGTCGGAGACGGGGCGCGGGTATCCTTCCTCTACGTTATTGTCCTTGAACACCCAGTACCTGTCTCCTGGGGGCGAGAGAAACAGCTGTGGGCCGGGGCTCGGCCCCACCCCGAAGGGCAGGAGGCTCCTGCCTTTCCTTCTCCTGTGTCAGCCGCCCTTGCCCTGGCCCCTCACCTGGGCTTGATGGGACAGCGGCCACACTGCAATCACCCCACATCACAGGGGCCACATGGATACTTAGTGAGCACCTACTGTGCCCAGTCCGGGCCATCCCATCCAGCCTGTGGACGCTGCCGGCCACCCCTTTACCGATGGAAACAACAACTCGGGCCAAACCGAGGCCCACGACATGCCATCCTATTATTATTATGATCATTATTTTTTGAGACGGAGTCTTGCTGTGTCACCCAGGCTGGAGTGCAGTGACTTGATCTCGGTTCACTGCAACCTCCGCCCCTGGGTTCAAGCGATTCTCATGCCTCAGCCTCCCGCGTAGCTGGGATTACAGGCGCCCACCACCACACCCAGCTAATTTTTGTATTTTTAGTAGAGACGGGGTTTCACCATGTTGGCCAGGCTGGTCTCGAACTCCTGACCTCAGGTGATTTGCCCGCCCTGGCCTCCCAAAGTGCTGGGATTACAGGTGTGAGCCACCGTGCCCTGCGTTAAATACACTTTTCTCCCAAGAAATATAGATGGCATTGAGCACTTGAAGATGGTCAACGTCACTAGAAACGCCCTCAAAACCACAATGAGACGCCCCCTCGCCCCCACTGTCAAGAACGTGGAAAGTCACCTGTGTCGGGAGGATATGGGGACGGCAGAGCCGGGCGCTGCCGGGGAGGGAGTATGAAATTGTGCAGCCGCTGCGGGAGACAGAACATAGGCTCCCCAAAACGTCAAAAATAGAATTACCACGTGATCCAGCATTCCCGCTTCTGGGTATAAATCCAAAAGAACCGAAAGCAGGGTCTTGGAGAGACGTTTGCACACTCACGCTCATAGCAGCGTCCTTCACAGGAGCCCAGAGTAGAGGAAACCCAAGTGAGCAGGCGAACGAGGTGCAGTCCGTCCGTGCCATGGAATGCCGCTCAGCCTCAGCCAGGAAGGAAATCCTGCCACGTGCCACCGCGTGTATGAGCCCCGAGGACCTTCCGCTGAGTGACACGAGCCAGGCACAGAGGGGCAGATCCTGTCTGTCCCACTGACATGGGGTCCCTGGAACACTCAGAGCCATGGGGACAGCAAGCGAAGTGGGGGTGCCCAGGGGAGGGGCGGGGCTGCCCAGGGGCGGGGCGGGGCATCCGTGTTTCACGGGGCAGCGTTTCCGTTTGGGAAGGTGGAAATCTTCGGGAGGTGGACGCAGGTGACAGCTGCACAGCAACGTGAACGTGCTTCATGCCACCGAGCTGTGGCTTCAAAATGGCTGAAATAGTAAAGTGTGCTCACCACGCCCACAATTTAAAACGACCAAAAAACCAGACCGGGAGTGGTGGCTCATGCCTGTAATCCCAGCACTTTGGGAGGCCAAGGTGGGTGGATCACCTGAGGTCGGGAGTTTGAGATCAGCCTGACCAACACGGTGAACCCTGTCTCTACCAAAAATACAAAAAATTTGCCAGGCACGGTGGTGAGCGCCTGTAGTCTCAGCTACTCAGGAGCCTAAGGCAGGAGAACTGCTTGAACCTGGGAGGTCGAGGCCGCAGTGAGCTGAGATCACACCACTGCACTGCAGCCTGGGTGATAGAGTGAGACTCTGTCTCAAAAAAATACAGTAAAATAAAATTAAAAATAAAAATAATATAAAAAGACCAGAAAAAGTCCTTTGCTGGAGACTGGAAAGGGCTGTGATGTCTGTAAATAGGGGGAGGGATTAAGGAGATGATGGGAGGACCAATGGGCCCTGCCCTGCTATGGCTGAGCAGGAACCAGGACAGATGCGCCTGGTAGGGAACCAGGCAGGGGCAGGCGACACAGGGGACAGAGGGGGAGCAGGGGTGAGACGGCCTGTGGCAAGAGACCCACATGTTCTCAAGTCTCTCCTGGCAGGTGACCAACCCCTCACACCCAGAAATGGGGCTTTATGGTAGCGAAACCTGCAGACACACCTCATCCAGGTGACCACAGCGAACATCACCAGGCAGGGCGGCTCGGGGCTCAGAACACCTGCCCTCGGTGGCATTCCTGCCAGATGTGCAAAACCAGAACCTGATCTGGAGGAGATGCCAGACGGGTCCACCTGGGGGAAGCGGCCTGAACACTTCTAATGTGTGCAAGGCAGGGGAGCCGCACGTGATGGGATCCTGCTCGGGGAGGCTCTACAGGGCACCCTGGGGCCTTTGGCAAGGTGGCCTAGGGGAGGTTAGGAGCAATTGGTCATGAGGTTTGCAAGTAATTTTCTTTTTTCTTTTTTAGTCCAGGTACTGTCTTTGGGGATTTTTTTTTTTTTTTTTTGAGACGGAGTCTCGCTCTGTCACCCAGGCTGGAGTCCAGTGGTGTGATCTCACCTCACTGCAAACTCCGCCTCCCAGGTTCACGCCATTCTCCTGCCTCAGCCTCCCGAGTAGCTGGAACAACAGGTGCCCGCCACCACGCCCGGCAAATTTTTTGTATTTTGTAGTAGAGACGGGGTTTCACCGTGTTAACCAGGATGGTCTCGATTTCCTGACCTTGTAATCTGCCCGCCTCGGCCTCCCAAAATGCTGGGATTGCAGGCGTGAGCCACTGCGCGTGACATTTTGGTTTTTTTTTTTTTTTAGACAAGGTCTTGCTCTGTCGCCCAGGCTGGAGTGCAGTGCACGATCATGGTGCAGTGCAGCCTTGACCTTCTGGCTCAGGTGGTCCTCCTGCCTCAGCCTCCCAGGTAGCTGCAGCCTCTGTCCCTTCAGGAGGGATCAGGCCTCCGGGAACAGTCACCGGAGGGCTCCCAGGTGATGGGGGTGACGGAGTCAAATGCTGAGGGCCGGGCAGGCGATGGAGTTACAGGAAGTGGTTCCCCTGACAGACACGCAGAACACCCTTTACCTCGGCAAGGAAACGGGGTCCCGCCCGTGACTGTGGGAGTGGCTGCCACATTGGATTGAATGACGTCCTCCAAACTCACATCCACCCAGAATCTCAGGACGTGACCTTACTTGGAAAGAGGGTCTTTGCAGATGTGTTAGTTAAGATGAGTTAAGATGGGATTAGGCAGGCCGGGTGCAGTGGCTCACATCTGTAATCTTGGCACTTTGGGACACCAAGGCGGGTGGATCACCTGAAGTCAGGAGTTCGAGACCAGCCTGGCCAACGTGGTGAAACCCTGTCTCCACTAAAAATACAAAAATTAGCCAGGAGTGGTGGCGGGCACCTTGTAATCCCAGCTACTAGGGAGGCTGAGGCAGGAGAATTGCAACCTGGGAGGTGAAGGTTGCAGTGAGCTGAGATCACACCATTGCATTCCAGCCTGGGCAACAGAGTGAGACTTTGTCTCAGAAAAACAAAAAACAAAAAACAAAAAACAAACAGGACTAGGGGACCTGAATCAAGGCCCGGCTTCCTTATAAGAGAAGATGCGGAGATGGGGGAGGAGACGGCCGGGTGGAGACAGAGGCGGTGGCAGGAGGGATGTGGCTGAGGGTGACACTGGATGTGGGAGAGGCCTGGGACAGCCTCCAGAGGGGACCCACCCTGCCTAGCCCTTGATTTCGGACTCGTGGCCTCCAGACTGTGAGGGAAACTCCGGGTGTTTCAGCCCAGCATGGGGGTCTCTGTCCTGCAGCCCTGCCACCCCCACCTGCCCCTGCTACTGTCTCCCTTTCCTGCCCTTCCCGGAGACTTGGAGGCAAAAGGAGTGCTTCCTGTAACACTGCCACGAGGTGGTTCCTGGAACGGTGGGCACCGGGGCCGACCAGGGAGAGGCAGGCCGGCCCTAGCAGCCACGGCCCCTCACGCTTCTGTCCCGAGCCTCCTCCAGGCCCCTGGTACTCCAGCTGCAGCCCCTTTGATGTTTTTGGGACTCGGCAGGGCTGCTCCTGCCTCGCACGGCCGTTCCCCGGGCTGGAACACTGTTCCCTAGTTTCTGCTTGTACAGCATCTCCCTAAGGAGACCTCTCCCCATTGTCCTTCATTTCTGACCACACCGAACGGCACTGGCATCAGCTCCTCCTGACTTGCGGGTGGACTGTGGCCTGACTAGAACGAGGGCAGGGCTTTCCATCGTTTTGCCCTCTGTGTGCCTACAGCGGCTGCCTCAGGACGGGGCATACAGTAGGTGCTCAGAGTGCATCTGCTGAGTGCACAAGCAAACCAGCTGCTCTGTGCTCGACCAGCCTCTGGGCAGACGTAGGGCTTACACGCAGGCTGGACCCTCTCCGTCCCTCCATGAGGCGGACAGAGGGCCCGGGAAGCCCGGAGTGCGACGGGGAGGCCCACCCACCTTTAAAGAAGACGATCTTGTGGTCGCTGGTGCGCTCGTACACGGCGTCCACGCTGTCCAGGTGCAGCGGCAGGCCCCGCCAGAAGCGGTGCATCTGTGCCGGCTGCAGGGACACCAGGTGCCGGTCCCGCGTCAGCCGCCAGAAGTACTTGCCTGGGGGCACAGAGGGGAGGGCCGGGCTGCAGAGACGGTCTGCACCCAGAGTGGGCCATGGCCCTCAGCCAACCGCCACGGGAACCCTGGAGGTACCTTTGAAGAAGAAAGCTTCACCCCGGATCTGGGCCACCGCGTCAAAGTGAGTGCTGCATCTGTGGGGCACGTCCTTCCTGGGCCTGCAGGGAGAGAGCCAGGTGGGCTGGGAGGCGGGGCCTGGGCAGCGCGGGACAGGGCATCCTGCGGCAGAGCCCCTGACCTGAGCGGCATGGGACAGGCATCCTTGTGTGGAGCCCCTATCCTTGCCTAGAGGTCTGCTAAAGGCAAATTAAAACGGGGGTGCCTGTCCACCGCTTCAGCGGGCGGGGGCCGAGATCTACGCTCTGAGCATACAGAGCGCCAGGGAGCTGCGGGGAGGGCAGGAGCTCAGGGGTGGAGACTGGTGTAGCACCCTGGGCCTGGCTGGGTGCCAAACACCCACGCCACGGGACCCCACGCCACGGGACCCCAAGCCCGGGCCTAGAATTCGGTCCTACAAGAAGCGTGTTCACAGCGACGTGGCTGTAGCGACAGAAGGTCAGGGACAAGGTGCATGTCCACCGAGAGACGACTCGACACAGAGCGTGGCTCCTTCGCAGCTTTAACCGGGAGGGTTACACGTACGGTCCTGTGACATCTGGGGCTGGGTGGCACAAGGTCACAGCTTCTACCGGCCTCTGGCAATACCAGCTCTCAAGACAACTTCACTGGGAATCCAGTTGCTGTGGGAGGGTCATGCCTCGTGGAGCAGCCCCAGTGGCCGTCCCAGTTGGGCCCAGCCCTGGCACCAGATGTGGGCCCCGGCAGTGAACATCCCTCCCGCTGGGGGCACAGGCCAGACACTCGCAGGCCCTGCCTGACTTCCTGATGCTGGGAATCCATGAGCTTGATGAAACATTCCTCAAGCTGGGCTGCTTGTCACATGGCAGTAGCTGACAGGGACGAGGGGGAGAGGAAACCTTGTCTGAAGTTCTCATTTCTGTGCAGGACCCCTGGCAGGGGAGGGCCGGTATTAGATGGGGTTTAAGAAAAGACAAAATGTCACTGGGGGCTCAGTCGGCCACACAGCTGTGCGTTTCCCAGGACTCTGAGCCACGATTTGGGGCAAATGTTGCGTGGGACAGGGATGAGGACAGACAGACCCCAGCGGGTGGTGACCGTGGGCCCAGGGCTTACGGGGCGCTGGACCGGTTGTCTGGGGGCTCCGGCAGCAGGGGAGGCTCCTCGGGCTGCGCCGTGGGAGACACAGACTCCCGCACACCTGCGGGAGACAAGGAGGAGGACGGCCTCAAACCCCCGACGCCCGCCTCCCCCCACATCCCACCAGCCCTTCTGAATCCCAGGGATGAAACCGAGGCCACTCAGCAGACAGGCTCTGTGGGGGCGCAGCTGCGATCAGCGAGACTGCTGCCCCCAGAGCTGACGTCGAGGTGGGAGTCAGACCCCTCGCCGAGTTAAACACTCAGTGTGTGAGCACTGCCCTGCAATTCCACCCCGGGGTACACCCTAAAGAGCTGAAGACAGGCGTTCCCACAGGAGCTCGTACACCAGCCTTCACAGCACTGTTCACCGCAGCCAACAGGGGTGACAACCCAGTGCCTGCTATAGGCTGCATGATGACAAAACTATTCAGCCATGAGAATAAATCCAGGTCAAATCCATGCTACCATGGGGTGAACCTGGAACACGCTATGCTCAGTGGAAGAAGCCGGGCCGGGCACAGTGGTTCGTGCCTGTATTCCCAGCACTTTCAGAGGCCAGGGCAAGAGAATTGCTTGAGCCCAGGAGTTTGAGACCAGCCTGGGCAACATGGTGAGACCCCATTTCTACAAAAAAATCTAAAAATTAGCCAGGTGTGATAGTGCATGCCTGTAGTCCCAGCTGTTCAGGAGGCTGAGTCAGGAGGATCACTTGAGCCCAGGAGTTTTGAGACAAGCCTGGGCCACATAGTGAGACCCCCATCTCTAAAAAAAAAAAAAAAAAAAAAAAAGAGGCCAGGTGCGGTGGCTCACGCCTATAATCCCAGCACTTTGGGAGGCCGAGGTGGGTGGATCACGAGGTCAGAAGATCGAGACCATCCTGGCTAACAGTGAAACCCCGTCTCTACTAAAAAAAAAATACAAAAAATTAGCCGGGCGTGGTGGCGGTCACCTGTAGTCCCAGCTACTCGGAAGGCTGAGGTCGCAGCGAGCCGAGATCGCGCCACTGCGCTCCAGCCTGGGTGACAGAGTGAGACTCCATCTCAAAAAAAAAGAGCCAGACACAAAAGGTTGCATGGCTGCATTAGAGGCCCATCTATGAAGAAAGGAGGTCAGGGGTTGCCAGGGGCTGGGGGGATGGGATGGGCGTCGGGTCTCCTTCGGTGGTAGTGGGTGATGAAAAAGTTCTGGAACCAGATAGAGGTGGCATCCACACAACCTTGTGAATGTCCTGAACGCATAGAAGTACACACCTTGAAATTGTGAATTTCTTTCTTTTTTTTTTTTTGAGGCAGTCTCACTCTGCCACCCAGGCTGGAGTGCAGTGGTGCGATCTCAGCTCACTGCAACCTCTGCCTCCCGGGTTCAAGTGATTCTCCTGCCTCAGCCTCCTGAGTAGCTGGGATTACAGGCACCTGCTACCATATCCGGCTAATTTTGTATTTTTAGTAGAGACAGGGTTTCACCATGTTGGCCAGGCTGGTCTCAAACTCCTGACCTCAAGTGATCCACCCGCCTCAGCCTCCCAAAGTGCCGGGATTACAGGTATGAGCCACTGCATCCGGCCAAAAAAGTGAATTGCATGGGATGTGAATTTTACTACAGTGGAAACGATGCATGGATGTCAGAGCATGTGAAGCGGCAAGGACGATGCTGAGGCCGGGAGGGTCCGGGCGGCAGGGGCAGCACTACTGCAGGGTGTGGTGGGCGGTGTGGAGGGCAGCTGGGGCTGGGTATAAGTGAGGTGACCGCGTCGGCCTCTGATGCACGTGTGCTGTCTCCCCGGGGCACCAGCTCCCAGGACAGGGGCTCTGCCTCACTTCCTGATGTGAACCCAGCAGAGGGGTCCCTGGTGCCTGACTTGGCTACTCTTGGGTTTCCCAGGCAATCTACATACCTCTGGGTGCCTCAGTTTTCTCATCTGTAAAGTGGGGACAGTAGTCCTACCTTATATGGCCACAAAGATCAGATGATTTAAGACGTGCAATGTGATTTGCACAGGCCTGGGACGCCATCAACCCTGCCTGTCGTAACTCCACCAGTGTCTGGGGCGCAGAGGTGGAATTCTGATCTAGGGGCTCTGGGGACGTCAGGGGTGGGCTCTGTGGACAGGCCAGAGCGTCCCAGCTGGCACGGCACCATCCGTGGAGGGAACAGCGGGGAGAGCAAACCCTCCCGGGGGGGCTCTGCTCAGGGGTGCCTGGGGTTTCTGACCCCTCTTCCAGGGGCCCTGTGTCTGGCTTCGGGGAGACACTCACCGTACAGCTGCCAGACGCGCACCTTGTCCTCGTAGGGGAGCCCGTAGCGCAGCGGGTCACCCACCGGGCCCTGGTAGTACGGCCGCATGATGGAGTGTGCAGCGGCCACATGGCTTAACCCAATGGCGTGGCCAAACTCGTGGACAGCCACTGCAAACAGGTCCATCCCGTGGGCATCTGGGGACACAGGGAGCCATGTGAACTAAGGGCAAGAAGGGCCCTGTCCCCGCGGGGAGGGACCAGCAGGCCCCCACCATGCTCTGGGGTGACCATGGGGATGCCTCGATGCCGGCTGCGCCAGAGGGATTCTGCAGGGTTACTGGGAATTAACGCGATTCCCCTGGGGGCTCTGTGGGGCCTGCTGGGCTTCCCAGGCCTGGGGTCTTTGTACCATTCATGGAGCGGCTGATAACCTTTTCTGCATAAGGCCACACAGATAACACCTTGTGCCTGGGGCCTGGGTTACATGGGGCCAGGTGTCGGTCGGATGACCTGAGGCCCAATGCTGTGGGCACTGACCCCTGGCCCCACAAGACGGGCCTGGGCTCCCAGGACTGCATGGTTCCCAAGGCTACAGTCCAGAGGTCAGAACAGCCTCTGCAGAGCTGAGACTTCTGCAGACAACGGGACTTAGCGGGAGTGACACTGAGCCGGGGCCACAGAGGCCTCGCAGGCCTCCTGCTCTGTCAGGTGCTGAGAACGTGATGAGGACAAGCTCGGCTCAGCCAGCGGTGTCCCTGCCCGACAGGCCAGCACCCAGCGAGGTCAGCCGGGCCGAGCACAGATGCTGTGAGATCGGCCTAGTGGGAAATGCCCAGCCGTGCTCAGGAGCAGCCGCGTGTGTTTTCAGCCGCAGGGTTGGGGATGGGGGGGCCATGGCTGCTCCTCAGCCTCACAGGCCGCTGGGGCTCCTGACTCTGCCCTGAGGGCTGCCCCAGACGCACCCGAGGAGCGGAAGGTCCAGGCCTCGTCATCGTCAAAGTGGGTGTCCCCGGCGGTGTGGTGGTGGCCGGGGAAGAAGGCGTGGGCCACGGTGCCGCCGGGGCCGTCGAAGGGGTAGCCGTCGTTATGGTCGGCCTTGGAGAAGTCGATCTGGATGTCGGCGGCGCTGCCCGCCACCTCGTGGAAGTTCAGGGGCGCAATGTCGCTCCAGACCTTGAGGGCGTAGTACATGAGTGCACGCACCGTGTCGTGCCCCAGTGGTGAGTCCCGTGGGAACGTCCGGACCCTGCAGGCAGGGGTCAGCCCAGAGTGAGTCACGGAGAACAGGCCACGTGCCCCAGGCCGAGGTTCCCTGAACGCCCCTCCTCAGCCCGGGGGTGCCCCTATGAGGGTCTCCCCCATCTTCCGCCTTCCTCCCCACGCCAGGAGTCATCCGATGCACTCACGGCGGTTCCAGTAGTTCACTGGGATAGATGACGGAGGGAGGGAAATGAGAGCCCAGGCAGGCTGAGACCCCCAGGCCACAGGCAAACGTCAGCTCCCGCGTGGAGCCATCAGCCCCAGGGCCCTCAACGGTGCGTCCCGTCTGCCCCATCCCCCTGCTCCCCACTGAAGGGGCTCTCTCGGTTCACCAGCCCTCACACTAGCCAGGGCCCATCTGAGATAGTTTTGACTCCGGGGGACAGCAGAAGGTGAGTGGGTCACATAGTGTCCCGCCAAATTCACGTCCATCCGGAACCTTAGAATATGACCTGGTTTGGAAATAGGGTTGGCTGGGTGTGGTGGCTCACACTTGTAACCCCAGCACTTTGGGAGGCCAGGGTGGGCAGATTGCTCGAGCTCAAGAGTTCAAGACCAGCCTGGTCAACATGGCAAAACCCTGTCTTTACTATTTTATTTTTATTTTTTTTCAGACAGAGTCTCACTATGTTTCCCAGGCTGGAGTGCCATGGCACAATCTTGGCTTACTGCAGCCTCCGCCTCCCAGGTTCAAGTGATTCTCCTGCCTCAGCCTCCCGAATAGCAGGGATTACAGGCACACATCACCATACCCAGCTAATTTTTGTATTTTTAGTAGAGACGGGGTCTCACCATGTTGGCCAGGCTGGTCTCGAACTCCTGACCTCAAATGATCCGCCCGCCTTGGCCTCCCAAAGTGCCATGATTACAGGCGTGAGCCACCATGCCCAGCCCTGTCTCTAGTAAAAATACAAAAAATTAGTTGGGCCTGGTGGCTCGTGCCTGTAATCCCACCTACTTGGGAGGCTGAGGCAGGAGAATTGCTTGAACCCAGGAGACAGAGGTTGTAGTGAGCCAAGATTGCAACACCGCCCCCCAGCCTGGGTGAAAGAGACTCTGTGTCAAAAAAAAGAAAAAAATTAGCTGGGTGTGGTCATATGCACCTGCAGTCCCAGCTACTCGGGAGGCGGAGGCAGGAGGATTGCTTGAGCCCAGGATGTCAGGGCCACAGTGAGCTGTGACTGCGCCACTGCACTCCAGCCTGGGTGACGAAGTGAGACCCTGTCTCAAAAAAAAAAAAAGAAATAGGGTCTTTGTGGATGTCATGAGGGGTTGACATGAGGTCACACTGGATCAGGGTGGGCCCTAAATCCGAGGAGCATCCTGGAGACACGGGAGAGGAGGCTGCGCGCGGACAGGGCAGGGTGGAGGCAGAGGCTGGTGATTCCATCGAGGGCTGCCAGCAACTGCACAGCTGGATAGAACCCTGGACAGATGCTCCCTCTACCTCCCCAGGGCACCATCCAGCCTACTCCTTTGCAGGGACTCCTGGCCTCCAGAGTGGGGAGAGAGCTCCTGCTGCTGTCTGAAGTACCCTGGTTTGTGGATATCTACAGCAGGCCCAGACACGGAGACATGGGGGCCCCACTCCTCACCCTGGCCACGCACCCGCCTCCACGGAGACCCCGTTCCCCACCCTGGCCACGCGCCCACCTCCACGGAGACCCTGTTCCTCACCCTGGCCACGCACCCGCCTCCACGGAGACCCCGTTCCCCACCCTGGCCACGCGCCCACCTCCACGGAGACCCCGTTCCTCACCCTGGCCACGCGCCCACCTCCACGGAGGCCCCGCTCCTCACCCTGGCCACACACCCACCTCCACGACAGGTTCCTCTTGTTCCACTTGGTGGGGGCTGGAGCCTGGCGTCTCCTGCGAGCCTGGGTCAGGACAGGGAGGTCTGGCAGGGAGCAGCGTGGGGTTTTCATCAGGGCCAGGGTGGCCTCGTCTGCAGGGAAAGCATGGAGCTCAGAGCCTAGCCCAGCTCACTCCCCACCCTAGGATCCCGAGCATCCGCAAGGGTGGGAGCCCTGACTCTGGCACCAGCCTCCGAGCCGCCCCCTCCTCCCACGTCATCTTTGGGGGACCAGCCCCAGGCTCTGAGCTACACCAGGCCAGGACCCAGGTTCATTCAAGCATAAGACGGGACTGTGCCTGATCAGAGGGGGCATGGCCGACGGGCGCAGACCTGACGGGGGCCACGGCGCTCCCGCTGCCCCCTGGAGAACTGACCCAGGATGCCGGTGGCCTCCAGGCCACCAAACTGCTGCATGGCTGTGATGGCCTTAGACAGCTCCTCTTGCGTCTGCAGCTGCCCTGTTGTGGGGTCAGCCGGGGGCAGGTAACCGAACCTGCTTAGCCACTCCTGAGGGCAGAGAGCAGGGTGAGGGGGTGCAACAGAGGGCCCGGTCCTACCCAGTGAGAAGCCTGCCACGGGCCACCACTGCTTCCGGGCAGGCCCCCTCCCAGCCCCCTATCTGCCCACAAGGCACCTCTTGTCTCTTCCCTGGGCAGCTGCCGGAAAAGTGTCTTAATAAACCTGATGTCCCTGGCCGGGTGCTGTGGCTCACGCCTGTAATCCCAGCAGTTTGGGAGGCCGAGGCAGGCGGATCATGAGGTCAGGAGATGGAGACCATCCTAGCTAATATGGTGAAACCCCGTCTCTACTAAAAATACAAAAAATTAGCCGGGTGTGGTGGCAGGTGCCTGTAGTCCCAGCTACTCGGGAGGCTGAGGCAGGAGAGTGGTGGGAACCCAGGAGGCGGAGCTTGCAGTGAGCCGAGATCGTGCCACTGCACTCCAGCCTGGGCGACAGAGCAAGACTCCATCTAAAAAATGAATAAATAAATAAATCTGATGTCCCTTAGATGGTGTGAGCTTGTGCCGTGCACGACCTGTACAACCACTCATGGCAACCCTGCCCCACCCCACGCCTCCTGAGACCGCAAAATGCTAGGGAACCTTCAAAAGGCTCTTAAATGTGGCCAGTGTCAAATGCAGGCTCTCAGCTGACTTGTGACAGGGAAGTCTAGCATCCAAGGTCTGGGACCCCAGCTGAGAAAGGCTGTGGCTCAGACACCAGTTTAAGGAATTGGGCCATGCTGTACATTCATGGGGGAGATAAGAGCCCAGGCTTGGCCGGTGCTGTGGCTTATGCCTGAGATCCCAGCACTTTGGGAGGCTGAGGCGGGAGGATCGTTTGAGCACAGGAGTTGCAGACTGTGTCTGCAACAGAGCGAGACCCTGTCTCAGAAACAAAAGCCAGGTTCCAGCCAGGCTGCCTAGGTTCAAATCCCACTCAGCCACCTCCCCGCTGTGTGCCTGGGGCAAGGCAGTCCACCCCTCTGGGCTCCTTCCTCAGAGTCCTTGGCAGGCTGGTGATGAGGACGTGAGCCAGGACGTGGAAAATGTTCACACCAGCACCTGGCGCAGGGGACAGCTCTGCTCTGAAGGGCCCACTGGGGTGGGTGCAAGGCTACCCACACCGGAGCTGAGTAGGAGCAGGAATGAGGGCAGCCCTTTAACCTGGGCATAAATCAAGCCCTGGCCCCATGCCCCAGTCATCTCTGCTACCCTGGAGGGGCCCTGGGGACAGGGGGGCCTGGATGCCATCTGTGGGGACCTGGGTGCCATCGTGGGGACCTGGGGATGGCAGGCCTGGGTGCCATCTGTGGGGGCTACCTCCACCCCTAGCTTCAGTTTCTTCAACCGCCAAATGGCGCCTGTGCCCACTTGCAGGCTGCCATGAAGCTGCTGCTCTGCCCTGTGGATACTCGCCAGCCCAGGGAACCACAGCAGGGGTGAGGCGGGCTCCAGAAAGGTACAAGCCAGGGGTGATGTGCTGGGGGCTCTGCCCTGCCTGCAAACCTGTCTTTTTTTTTTTCTCTGGACATTTAGAAAATGCTTGTGAATCGCTATTATTTACCACCTCTCATGTATTCATTGGCCAAATCATATGAAAGTGCCCATTTTTGACCATTTCTGATTTAAAATAAATACTAGTAGTTTCATGTGGCTTAACCTAAAAAAATGCATAAATGAAAAAAACATAACTTTTTAAAGAAATCCTAAAAAAAAAAAAAAGGAAAAAGAAAAAAGAAAATGCTTGTGACTCATTTATGCCACCTGCTGGGCCTCCAGGTTCTGGTCTGCAGGAGCTGGTGATGGGGTGGTCCTGGCCAACCCTCCTGCCCACCAGCAGGCAGTGCTCAGAGGAATGAGGCACCACCATCCTGGAAGTCCCAGGGGCATCAGCAACAGGCCGTGCTGGCCAGGAGGGGCCTCACAAGACACTACATGGGATCTGCACACCCCGAGATCCCCCTTCCAGGAAGCACTGAGTCCTTCCCGGGGCCCCCCTCTGTGCCTTTACCCCCTTTCCAAACCCTACTGACCCAGCCCAGCCCCTCAGCCCCTTGGGGAAGCCAAGAGTGTGTACAGAACTGGGGGCCCCTCCAAAGCTATAGGCACGACAGGACGTCAAAGTGGACGTTCATGACTGGGGTGGGCAGCTTCTCTGGAGGGGCCTTGGGGGTGACAGCCTTGGCCTTGACAAGCTGGCCTCCCACTTCCGCCCTGACCTCCAGGGTGTGGGGATCTTTGGCCCCGAGCATCCGGTCCCACACTACCTTGCACCTGCAGGGTTTACTGAGGGTGTCCCATGATCAGTCACCGCTGTAGGTGCTGGAGATGCCCATCAGCACATTCTGCACTTTTTAGTCCTTTGTTAAGATCACAGCTCAACAGGGCCACTGTGCCTCATGGTTACAATAGCCTGTCACCTCCTCCAGGAAGCACTCTGGAGTTTCCTCACATCATCTATGATATTGGATGATGACCCCCTGCCCCCTCACCAGGGAAGGGTCCACACAGGCAGGTGCCTTTCCCACCCAGGCCAGCTGCTGCCTGGGTTGGGCCAGCAGGTGCTGAGACCCCTTGGGAGGACAACTCACCCCCCAGCCTTCCCGTCTATAAGCTGAGGTCATGGCTGGTAGCTGCACTGAGTGGCCCATTTACTCTGTGGGGTTCACGGTGGCGGTTTGGGGCACCCCCCACTCTGGTCCCCAGGGAGCTGGGCAGCCTGGCCACGAGGCCACATGCATTTCAGGAAAGTGGAGCCGGGCCTGGCAGGCAGCACTCCCAGTGGCTGTGGAATGTTGCCCAATGTTTGGAAGCAGGTGGTTTAGTTGCAGGTGTGAGCGGCCAGCCTGCTTCAACTCATAGAACCAGGGCCCCAGCACCAGCCCGGGACAGGCAGCCCCGCCCATGATAAACAGGCACTGTCGCCTGTGGCCCCAGAGGCACTGGAATTTGAGCATAGAATGGCATCGAATCTTGGGGGGTGGTGGGTCTGTGGGGCAGGGCTGGTGGGTGCCTCCTACCTAACACGAGTTTGTGCTCAGGGGGCTGTGCCCCAAATCTCAGGCTAGGCATCCTGGGAGGGGCCGTCTTGGGGGCTGGAGTGAGAGGGTGGGAACCACTTCCTAGTTTGCCAGGGACACCCCAACAGAACAAGCCTTGCAGGTTTGGGAGCCACCAGCCTTCGGGTGGACACAGGTAGAAGTGGCCACCTGCCCCAGGGGGCCTCCTGAGCCCACGAGGCGCCCTCGCCCAGCCCTGACCTGTCCTGTGCTCCCAGTGTGGGTGGAGGCGCGGCTGTGGGGAGGCCTGAGCCTGCAGGGAAGAGGCGGCAGGCAGCTCACCAGGCAGCTCAGGTCCATCTGGGAGGGGGCGGCTGATTCCTGGCTAGGGCTTGGAAATGTTGACCCAGGCTAATGGGGTGGTGGTGGTGGCAAGGTGGGCTTGTTAGCTAAGGGGAGTAGGGGTTAACCAGGCCTGGAGCACAGTCCTGGGGCAAACCCCCCCACTGCAGCCAGCAGCTCAGGGCAAATGTGGCTGCCCCTCCCCACCCCTCCTCTCCCGCCAGGCCTCTACCCTGACCCACTCCCACCCACAGTGGGTAGGGGGATGCCTGCTGTAGGATGGCCGCTGGGGTGGGGGCCCAGACTCCCCGCTCCAGGTGTCCCCCTCCCTGCCCCCTGCCCCCAGTACCTACAGAGCCTGTGGATCCCACGCAGGCAGGGGGGCGTCTGATCCTGGGAACCTGCTACCTGCCCCCCTCCACGCCCACCCGCCGCCTGGTCCTCCCTCTGCTGTCGCCACGGAGACCGCTGTCTCCAGGGCAACAGAGGCTGTGGCGGGCGGGTGCTGCAGCAGCAGCAGGGTGAACCTTCCAGAAGGCCACTGGGGAGGGGGAGGGGCTGCCGGGAGGAGGGAGGAGGCGGGAGGGGGCTGCCAGGAGCTCCAGGGAGCCCCAACCCACGGCAGCCACCCCCTGGCTGATGCTGATTTCTGGAGCTGCCTAGGAGAGGCGGCCGCTCTCCTGCTCCTCCCATGGGCTGGGCCATTACCAAAGATGGGGACACAGAGGCCAGAGGCAGAGCCCTGCCCTGGGGGGCACAGGCAGGAAGTGGGCACCCACAGCCCCTGACTCTGACGCAGATGCAGGCAGCTGCCCAGGCCCACTCTGGATTCACCGTTCAGCCATGCTTGTTGTCTGACACAATGCGTATCTGTTTCCAGCCTTAAGAGGGCGTAATGCACACAGCACAGAATTCCCTTTGACGGTTTTTAGGGAATTTATGGTTTTTGGGGAGTTTATGGAGTGCAGGCCCCGTCCCCGGGCTTTGGGTTGCACTGATTGGTTGTAACGGCCCCTCCCGCCCAGGGCACCCTGGCTGGCGGGTGCATGTGTGGCCTTGCTGTGCCATGGTGGTGGCGCCTGGGCCTGGCCCCTGCAGATGAATGAGGGCCCGACCCCCATACTCATCTGTGACCCAACCTGCATGGGGCCTGGGGGCAGGGAGAGCAGGTGTCATCAGCCCCATTTTACAGATGAGAAAACTAAGGCTCAGAGAGTGTGGATAACCTGTCCACGGTCACACAGCACACGGTCAGTGATGGAGCTGTGGTGTGGTCCCAGCAACCACGTCTGACCCACTCAGCCATGCGGGGTTCCCCTGCACCGGCCTCCTCTGGGGGCTGACCCTCGGTTGGAGTGACCCCCTTGCTCCAGCCTCTTCCGCAGGGACACTGCCAGATCCCCTGAATCCGTCTGTCTGAGCAACTGGGGAGAGACTGAGACCGCGGGACCCCATCCCACTGCCCACAGGGGAAGACGGGATCGTGAGGAAGATAAATAGCAAACACCTGAACACATACACGCGTCTCAGGCGGTCATTATGTCCTGAACAGTAATAACTGCTCTATTCGATCCTAACAGCCAACAGTTATCCAGCACTACCCAACCATGCCCACGTCATTCGTGCCCATGTCCCTCAGGCACTGCAAGGCTGGGGGTGGTCCCTGCTGGAGGGTGCCTGGCACAAAGCAGGTGCTCACAGGCAACTGAGGGTTAACCTTATGAAGTGGGTGTTCTTATTACTCCCAGTTTACAGATGAGAACACGGAGGCACAGGGAGTTCGGACATGTATCCTCAGCTCAGCCCAGGCTGTTGGCTTCCGGGTCTCCGCCTGTGACCACTGTGCTGTGTGGGGGTGAGGGATGGGCTGGAGGGCTGATGAAATGGGTGCTCAGGGAACATCCTGGGGGACACGGAAGGAGCTGTCCAGGTGATGCGTGGGGCGGTGCTCACATGCTCACGGTGGTGGGGACAGCAAGTGCAAAGGCCCTTTGGCAGGGAAAACACACAGCGCAGAGGAGCGGGTGTGACAGAGTCAGGGGGCGGGGTGGAGAAGGAGGTGGGCCAGATCGCGTGGAGCCCTTGGGGCCAACATGAGGAGGGGACTTGCTTATTACTGCAGGGTCCACAGGGGAAGCCAGGCTCCACACCCCGTCCTGTCCCTGCCGTCCTGTCCCACTCAGACGGTGCCCAGGAGGGCCCGAATCCCAGAGGCGGGTGCCCAGGAGGGCCCGAATCCCAGAGGCGGGTGCCCAGGAGGCTCCCACCCACTGCGTGACAGAAACGCCGCCCTGCATGCGTCTGACACCTGCCCTGCGTCCACAGCCAGGGCAAGCGTCCCACGGGATCTGCTGCCAACAAGGAGGCAAACTCACGCATGCGCAAAGTGCCCCTGGAACCCCCAGGAAGACACTGTGTCAGGGAACACCCTGCAGTGCCCCCAGATCCTCTCCAGCCTTCCCCCTTCCCGTTCCCCCACAAGATCCTCTCCAGCCTTCCCCCTTCCCATCCCCCTCCCGGATCCTCTCCAGCCTTCCCCGTTCCCGTCCCCCCGATCCTCTCCAGCCTTCCCCCTTCCCGTCCCCCCCAGATCCTCTCCAGCCTTCCCCCTTCCCTTCCCCTCCAGATCCTCTCCAGCCTTCCCCCTTCCCGTCCCCCCCAGATCCTCTCCAGCCTTCCCCCTTCCCTTCCCCCCCAGATCCTCTCCAGCCTTCCCCCTTCCCGTCCCCCCCCAGATCCTCTCCAGCCTTCCCCCTTCCCGTCCCCCCCAGATCCTCTCCAGCCTTCCCCCTTCCCTTCCCCCCGCAGATCCTCTCCAGCCTTCCCCCTTCCGGTCCCTCCCCATCCTCTCCAGCCTTCCCCCTTCCCGTCACCCCCCAGATCCTCTCCAGCCTTCCCCCTTCCGGTCCCTCCCCCAGATCCTCTCCAGCCTTCCCCCTTCCCATCTCCCCCCAGATCCTCTCCAGCCTTCCCCCTTCCGGTCCCCCCACGCCGATCCTCTCCAGCCTTCCCCCTTCCCGTCCCCCCCCAGATCCTCTCCAGCCTTCCCCCTTCCTGTCCCTGAACCATCGGAAGCACCTCCGCTGATCGCACGGCAGCCTGTCCTCACTGGCCCCATTGCGCAGACAGGGAGACTGAGGCCCGGCACTTAGTTGGGTGGCAAAGCCCACGTCCAAGGCAAACAACATCCCCGGAGCCATGAAGACGGCTGTCAGAAGGGGACCGCGGAGCAAGGGACAGTCAGACGTCTCTCATGGCGAAATCAGGCCATGGTCTAACCCTCCTGCCTGTCTTGGTTTTGGCTGGGGGTGCTCGCCTGAAGCTCTGGGAGCAGCTGCAGGGTGAGAGGGGACACCCTGGCCCCAGCCAGGGCGATGACAAGGTCCTGAGGGCCAGGAACCCAGAGGCCACCGGCAGAAGCCAGGACATGGAGGGCGGCTGCCACCTGGCACCATCTGGCCCAGCATCCCACAACCTCAGCAGTACCCCCCACCTGCCCCGCCCCACCCCACCTCCTACAGAAGATCAAGGGAGCTGCCACTGTGCCGTGGGCGCGGTGATGACAGCCACAGGCTGTGCTGCCGAGAGGAGAAATGGAGCAGAAACTTTAGAGCAGCTTGTCAAAATCTGCCACCACACAACTGCCACCCAGGACCCAGATCCCGAGACACTCTCGCCGCGAGTCCGGGAAGTTCTGGCCAGAAGCAGGCTGCAGGCCGAGCCTGGCTTAACCAGGTGAATAGACGGGCGGCTCCGGCACAGACACTCCAGATAGCGTGCGAAGCTGCAATCGCACGGCCCACGGTGCCACCGTGCAAAAATAAGGCACGGAGAGCCGCGTCCCATCCGTGCCCAGGAACCAGGGGCGGGAGGGAGGCGGACGCCTGTGGAGACCCTGGGCTGCTCGCTGTATGTCGTACTCAAAACACAGAAAGACAAAAAACTCAGGCCCACAAGGACAAGCAGCCCCGCCAAGGACCCCCGGGGGGACAGTGCGCTCTTTTGTCCCCGCCGGGGGCTCCTGAAAGCCCGGCTCCGCAGCCCAGCAGCCTGAATCCCGGCCTTGTTCACGTGCATACGGGGGGCGCTCCGGGGCGGGCCCTCCCCTCCAGCCCCGGCTCCAGCCCTGCTGGGTGCAGCTCTGTCTGCAGCTCTGAGACAAAGGAGCACTTCTCGTCCCTGGCGCCCAGACCTGAATATCAGTCCACTCCGGGAGCGCCTCCGGCGAGCGGGCGGAGGAGGAGTCCCCGCTCCCGCCCAGATCCCGGCCTCCTCGTCCCTCCCCGCGGGGAAGCCGCCCGCCCCTGGGCCTGAGCTCGGCCCGCGGTTCCCCGAGGGCCAGCAGAGGACGCCCCGCACCGCCAGTGTGAGCAGGAAGCCGCGGCAGGACGGAGGCTCCACGCCAGGCCGGGCCCGACACGGAGCGGGGCTCCAGGCAGGGGGCTGCCCGCAGCGTCCTCCCTCTCCGGCTGGACACCGGGGCCCCACTCACTGCCCCCGGCCAGGCTGGGGAGCCACATCCTCCGCTCGGTGCTGTCGCAGGGCGCGGGGCGGGTGACCCCCGGGGTGCCAGGAGAGACCGAGGCGCAGGTACCAGCCGAGAGGAGGGCGCCTGACCCACTCTCTCCGGGCAGGGGGGCAGGTGGGTGGCGAGAAACTTCCAAACCGCACTGGGTCTGATCAGCCAACATGGCTCGGCCGGGGGTCCATCCTCCTGAGTGTGTGGGCCCCACCTTGAGTCCTTCCCTGGCATTGCCCCGGCCCCTTCTGCGGCACCCTCGGACCTGGAAGGCGGGCCTGGGTTCACCTCCCTCCACAGCTGGAGACCCCAGGCCCCCAGGGCGTGATTCTCAGTGGGGGATCCGGGAGATCCGCACCTACAAAAGGGTCTTGAGGAGGTGGAGGGGGGCACCCCAAGTTCACAGGCTGCCTGGCTGGAAGGAAGCCACTGTGGGGACCTGCAGGCACCTGGACGCGGGCAGCAGGGACAGTGGCCAGCACCCTCCCAGATGGCTTCGGGGCCTGGGGCAAACGGTGGCCAAATCGGCTTCCCATCCAGACCCCCTGGCCAAGTCCTGCCAACCACAGGGGCTGCGGGTGCCACCCAAGTGGCCCCTCCATATGCCTCGACTGCCTGAAATACACCTGCGCTGACTTGCTTGGACCCCAAGGTTTTGGAGCTCCTGAATGTCCACTGCGCTGGGCGAGGGGCCCTGCCAGGACCCCACTGGGAGACTGTCCGCGGACGAGGGCCAGGCCGAGTACTTGTGTGGGGCGGGGAGGCCTCGGCTCCTGGCCCGACTCCCTGGGTAGGAGTCCATTGAAGGCAGCGGTGGGGCAGGAGCCTCAGAAGGAACCAACGAACCCAGCGGGAGTTCACCCGGCCGCCCCAGCGGGGGGGCGCTGACCCCACGACGTGTGCTCTAAATCTTCCGGGTCCACAGGAGACGCGAGTCCCGGCTGCGGAACAGGGGAGGGGGCTGTAGGAAGAGGCCACGTCGCTGCCCCCAGGCAGGGTTTCTAAGCTGAGCTGGGGACAGCTACTGGGTGTGGAGTGAGGAAGGCTCTCCCCGCGCCCCCGGCTCAGCACTGTACCAGGGCAAGGCAGGGCCAGCCTGGCCGACCTGGGGTGGAGGGGAAGGAGGCTGAGGGCCAGGTCCTTGTCCAGTGGGGAGCTGGGGGCCAGCATCCCTGTGCCCCCAACACCCTCAACCGAGCAAACTCGGGGGCTCAAGGCTTTCGGGGTGCCCCCACTCCGTAGCCCCTGCCCTTCCTCGCTTTGTGGGTGCGTGCTCCTGCCCCCGCCACTCCCACCCGGAACGCACGCAGCGCGCAGAGCTCGGGGCGGCCGCGATGCCTGCTCTCGCCCAGCCCGGCTGCTCCGGGGCTGCTGCAAGCCGGCGACCCGGGCTCCGGGTGGGCGACCCCCTCACAACTCCACGGGCTCCTGCGGCTGCGGCGCGCTCCCAGCGCACGGAGCCGGGACGGCAGCCGGCGCCTCCCCAGGACTCGCGTGCGCTCGCCCGGTCGCTCAGCCCGCGTCCCTGCCTCAGTCTCCCCACCCAGGAAATGGGTCCAGGGCGCCAGGGCTCCCGCGCGACGCCGACGTGCACTGCTGGGGTCTTCCCGGTCCCCGCCACCCGGCCCGCGGAGACCCCCGGCTCCGGCCCAGGAGCTCCGCGCCCGTCCCGCCCGCGCGCTCACCACTCCCAGGCTGAGGTCCTCGGCGCGCGGCGCGGGTGCGGGCGCGGCGCAGCCCCCGCGGGTCCCCAGCGCCAGCAGCAGCAGCAGCGGCAGCGGCAGCCGCGAGAGTCCGGGCCCTGGGGGCGGCGGGCCGGGTCCCCGGGCTGCGCGGCGCCGCATGGCGCTCACATGGGCCCGCGGGCGGCGTGCAGGGTCCCGCGCCCTCCGCTTCGCGTTCCGCAGCCCGGCGCCCTCCGCTCTCCGCGGCGCCCCCGCCGGACTGAGCCCCGCGCGGCAGCCTCAAGCGGCGGGGCGGGGCCATGCAAATGTATGCTAACGAGGCCGGCCGCCTTAAAGGGCCCGCGCCGCCTCGGACGCTGCCACCCCCGCCCGCCCCGCCGTGTCCGCGACGGGACTGGGTCCGCGGCATCACAGGGAAGGCGTTTCCCCGGGTGTCTTAGGACGCTCTTGGGGCGGCGGGGACGCGCGGGATGGGCGCGGAGGCGGGGGTCGGGGCGCCTGCGGGGAGCTGACCCTGACTCCCCTCTCCGGCCGCGCTCCCGGGTCCACCCCCCACGGCGCCGAGGCCCGGGTTCAGACCCGGGTTCAGGCCCCGGAGCCGCCGCCGCAGCGCAGCAGGTGGGCGCTTGGTGGAGCCCGCGGACCGCGGGAGAGGGAGGGTGGGGCTTGGGGGGCGCGGGGGACTGGAGGGCGAGGGCGGGTGTTGGGGGGGCTGGGGTCCTCGGCGGAGGCTCTGCGGTCCCTGCGGGCCTGGGAGCGAGAATGTTAACTTGTAATGTTTGTTGGAGCGCAGCGTGTGCCTGGCACATGCCCAGGAGTTACATAAATAATTTCATTTACTTACAACATTTATGAGATGAAAACTATGATTTCCATTTCGCAGACAAAGAAACTGAGGCCCAAAGAAATGAAGTAACTTATGGGAGGTCCTGGAGCGGGCAAGCGGCAGAGCCAGGGTCAGAGCCCGAGCAGGCGCTTGTGTGGATTGAACTCGTGCAAGTTGCGTACAGGCTGCCCACCGAGTGGGAGATCTTGGGAGAGGGCAGGGGGTGAGGTTCAAGGGTAACCCTTGCCTTTATTCAGCTTCTCCTCGTGCTGGACAGCATGGCTTCCCCTCCTTCCCAGGCCCTCCTGCTCCACCACCCCAAATCGCAGCTGGTACTGTCAGGACTGAGGTCTCATTCTACGGACAGGGAAACTGAGGCTCGGCCCCTTTTACCAGAACTGGTCTCAGGGAAGTGGTGCCCCTCCCCTCCTGTGAGGGCCGACTCCCCCCAACCACCCCCCCCCCCCCCCCCCCGCTTCCCTGGGTACTCTGGCCCATCCTGTCCCTGCTGCCCTCAGAGCCTCCCTGGCCCGGTCTGAACAGGGTGATTCCACACCTGCTTCAGATGACCTTGGTTCGGACTGATGGGATCACCTGTAGGAGGTGGGGACTTTCACAGGACATCCCGGATTGTTTTTTCTTTCTTTCTTTTTTTTTTTTTTGCTCTGTTGCCCAGGCTGGAGTGCAGTGGCACGATCTTGGCTCACTGTAATTTCTGCTTCCTAAATTCAAATGATTCTCCTGTCTCAGCCTCCTGAGTAGATGGGATTTCAAGCGTGCACAACCGTGCCCAGCTAATTTTTGTATTTTTAGTAGAGACGGGGTTTCACCATGTTGGCCAGGCTGGTCTTGAACTCCTGACTTCAGGTGATCAGCCCGCCTTGGCCTCCCAAAGTGCTGGGATTACAGGCGTGAGCCACCGCACCTGGCCTCATCCGGGATTTTGACCAAGTGCATCAGGACAACCTGGTTTCCAGAGCAGAGACCCAGCCAAAGCGGCTGTAGTCAAGGAAAGGAAGCGTATGGGTATGGGCTCAGGAAACGGTGGCGTCCTAGCGTGTGCCAAAGTCAGGCAGGGCTGGACCAAGTCTCACAGCAACAGCGTCAGAACGCGGTTTCTCTCAGTCCATCTCTGTGTGGGGCAAAGACGGCCCAGGGCAGCTCCTGTGCATCCTTCCCCCTCAGCAGGCCCAGCCAGAGACAGACTCTTTCTCAACCAATGGTCCCAAGGCCACCTCTCTCTGGATTCTGGGTCAGGACCTGATCGTGGGGCCAGGGGCAGGGAAGTGAGCTGAAGCCCTGGGCTGGAAGGGATTCTCTACAGGAAATCAGAGGTGCTGAAGTCAGAGGAAGGGAGGGTGGATGGCAGGCAAAGCTGGGTCGAGGACTCAGAAGAGGGAACGCGGCCAGTGCCCCCACTGCATCATGGGGCTCATACACATCTGAGACTTGGAACAGGACGCTGTTGAGGGGCTGTAGCTCGGTGCTGGCAAGGGGCTTCACCGCGGGGCTTGCTGGCATTGAAGGGAGATGGCTTGTTTATGGAGCTTGGGCGACAGTGGCTTGGGATGTACAAATGTGAGAAGGGCCTTACAGGCAGGCCACTGTTCTCCCCAGAAAGGCCTGGTGGCGGCTGGTGAACTGGAGATGCTTGGTTAGACATCGGGAATTTGACCTTCCTCAAAGCAGCTGCCTGGCACCATGGCTGCTGTGTTCCCTTCAAGCCTGCCACCCCATTCGGACATCTGAAAGCCGCTGAGATCCAAGCCCCGCAAGAAATCGCTCTTCTCCCATCAGCTTTGCAACGCTGAAAAATCATGACGGCACGGTGGCTCACACCTGTAATCCCAGCACTTTGGGAGGCTGAATTGCAGGCGGATCGCTTGAGCTCAGGAGTTTGAGACCAGACTGACGAATATGGCGAAACCCATGTTTCTACTAAAAATATAAAAATAGCTGTGCATGGTGGTGTGTGCCTGTGGTCCCAGCTACTTGGGAGGCTGAAGTGGAAGGATCACTTAAGCACAGGAATTCCGGCGAGACAGAGCGAGACCCTGCCACGAAAAAGAAAGAAAGAAAGAGAGAGAGAGAAAGAAAGAAAGAGAGAGAGAGAAAGAAAGAGAGAGAGAGAAAAAAAAGAGAAAGAGAAAGAGAAAGAGGGGAGGGAGGAAGGAAGGAAGGAAAAAGAAAAACCACGTATTATCATCTGTGGAGGAGGGTGTGGGGAGTGGGCACTCAGGCTCCTGGTACAGCCCCTCGGGAGGGCCACCAGGTAGCAGCTATTACGATTCAAGAAGCACATGTTCTGCGGCCAGAATTCTTGGCGTCTGCTGTAGAGGAACGCTCCGGTCTTTGCACGGGAAGGCTAATGCAAGCATGGTGTTGCAGCGGGATTTGTAATAGGAAAGAATTCAGAAACTGCCCACGCGCCCACCCATGGCCGACTGGCTGATCCAGGGCCATGTGTCCTGCTGGCTGTGGCCAAGGGCATGGGTAGGGGCTGGAGTCCCACCTGCACCCTGTTTATGGATCCATGGCCTCACCGTGGGGCCACAGCACATGAGGAATCAGGCACCTTTCCAAGACCCACAAAGCTGCTGTGTAAGCTGGTGGCTGCCCTGGGCTGACAACACTGGGCTATGACCCAAAGACAGAAGCCAGGAAGAAGGGATTCGATCCAAGAGTATCCGCAGGGCCACTCAGACATATTGCTGGATTTTTTTCTTTTTTAAGACGGAGTTTTGCTCTGTCACCCAGGCTGGAGTGCAGTGGTGCGATCTCGGCTCACTACAATCTCTGCCTCCCAGATTCAAGCCATTCTCCTGCCTCAGCCTCCCGAGTAGCTGGGATTACAGGCACCTGCCCCCACGCCCAGCTACTTTTTATATTTTTAGTAGAGACAGGGTTTCACCACGTTGGCCAGGCTGGTCTCAAATGCCACACCTGACTTCAGGTGATCCACTCAACTCGGCCTCCCAAAGTGCTGGGATTACAGGTGTGAGTCACTGTGCCCGGCCTCAGACATACTGTTGAGCAAATTAAACAATTTATGAGAAGCAAGAAAAGCAGAAAGCAGAAAAGACCCACAATAACTGTATCTTGTATTTATGTTTGCCACGTGCACATCCACACGTTGCATCACATCTTCTGAGCCCCCTGATCCAGCCTTGCCTGCTATCCATCTCCCTTACCCTGCAATTTCCTTTAGAAAAGCCACCTTTGTCCCTGTCAGCCCAGGGTTTAGTGATGCTGCCCCATGCCTGGAGCATTAAACCTGGGCTGGGCCCATCAGCTCATTTCCAGCCCCTGGCTGGAGACTCAGGTAGCGTTGTCTGTGGACCATGAAGATGGGCAAATGACAGGCGGGCACTATTGTCGGAGCTCTGTGGGACACACGCTTGGGGCTCCTAGCTGTGACATGAAGGTTGTAGGAAAGCCAGAGGTGCCCAGCCCTGGTCTGTAGCCATCCGGGTGCAGACACTCTGACGGGCAGCTCCCAGGTGGCCCTGCCCACGGTTGCTCCTGTGGGGACCCAGGACCCTCGTGTCAGGCAGTGAGGAGGGGGTGCTGTGCCCCTGGTTGTATCGCTCAGGGTGAATTCCATTCAAGGCTCTTTGGGTGTAAGTGACAGGAAGCCCAGTGCAGAGAGGCCTGAGCACAAAACACTGTGTTTGGCTTATGTCACCCATTTCAGAGATGGGCCCTCCCTGGACCCTATGCCAGCCCCAGCCTGGTTGGTCTTCTCCTCAGCCCAGCGTCTTCGAAGTCCTGGTTCCAAGTCCTCATGCACTGGTACCTGGCTTCCCTGCTGCCACGAACACCACCAATGGAGGTCCTCAGCCCCTCGTTGTTGACTTTTAAATGTTAATTAATTAATTAATTAATTATTTTTGAGATGGAGTCTCACTCTGTCGCCCAGGCTGGAGTGCAGTGGTGCAATCTCAGCTCACTGCAGTCTCCGCCTCCTTGGTTCAAGCGATTCTCCTGCCTCAGCCTCCCGAGTAGCTGGGATTACAGGAATGCGCCACCACGCCCAGCTAATTTTGTATTTTTAGTAGAGACGGAGTTTCTCCACGTTGGTCAGGCTGGTCTCGAACTCCTGACCTCAGGTGATCCACCCGCCTTGGCCTCCCAAAGTGTTGGGATTACAGGCGTGAGCCACTGCGCCCCGCCCCACGTATCTTTTTAAAAGATAAATGTTATCGTGTGCATTTACGGTGTACGTTGTGGTGGTGTAGGGTACGTATACGTAGTAAATTGGTGGCCACAGCAGAACGGGTGAGTTTTGCATCATCTCCCAGGCACCTGTCTTCCTCCCACAGCCAGCGCAACCATGACCCATGCATTAGCAGACGCCTGGAGCATAATTATTCTCTGCAGCCCTCAGGTGCACACGAGCCCTTTTGAAGGGGCTCACCCTGTCGCCCACTGTTTTATTCTCTGTCTTTATATATTTGATCCCCACCTTTTTATTTATTTATTTTTGTGAGACAGGTTCTTGCTCTCTTGCCCAGGCTGGAGTGCAGTGGTATGATCACGGCTCACTGCAGCCTCAACCTCCTGGGCTCAAGCAATCCTCCCGCCTTAGCTTCCCAGGTAGCTGGGACCACAGGTGCACACCACCACACTTAACTAATTTTAAAAACATTTTTGTAGAGATGGGGTTTTGCTATGTTACCCAGGCTGGTCTCAAAACTCCTGAGCTCAAGTGATCCTCCCACCTTGACCTCCCAAAATGCTGAGATTACAGGTGTGAGCCACCGCACCCAATACCCCCGCCTGCCTTTATTTATTTATTTTAAAGATTCTGGATATTAGTGAGATCCTGTGATGTTTCTTTCTGTGTCTGGCTTGTCTTGCTGGCATCGTGACCCCTAGTCCATCCATGTGGCAAATGCAGGATCTCCTCTGTTTTTAAGGCTGAACAATAGTCCATCACCTCTCTCCACGTGATCATATACACCACAGTCTCCTTATCTGTCCGGCCACTGATGAATGCCCAGGTAGTTCCCTGCTTTGGCCGCTGTGGGTAGTGCTGTGGTGGACGTGTGAGTGTGGACACCTGGATGGGTGGTGAGCTGGATTCCTTCGGGTACAGGCCCAGGGGAAGGACTGTCAGGCCCTGTGGCAGTTCTATTTTTAATTTCCATAATGGCTGAAGTGCCCATACACCTTACACTCACTCTCCTCTGTAATTAACATTTTATCTTATCATGGAACGTTGGTCACAGTGAATGGACCGTAATGATACATTGTCATTAAGCATAATCCACACGTTATTCAGGTTCCCTGAGTTTTTCTCTAATGTCCTTTTTTCTGTGCCAGGGCCCCGTCTGGATCTCATGTGACATTTATTTATTTATAAAATGTATTGTTATTATTATTTTGATACAGAGTTTCACTCTTGTTGCCCAGGCTGGAGTGCAATGGCATGATCTCGGCTCATGCAACCTCTGCCTCCTGGGTTCAAGCGATTCTCCTACCTCAGCCTTCCGAGTAGCTGGGATTACAGGCACCCGCCACCATGCCCAGCTAATTTTTTGTATTTTTAGTAGAGATGGGGTTTCGCCATGTTGGCCAGGCTGGTCTTGAACTCCTGACCGCAGGTGATCCACCCGCCTCAGCCTCCCAAAGTGCTGGGATTACAGGCGTGAGCCACCGCACCTGGCCCTAAACTGGGGATTTTGTTTGTGTTGAGCACGTTTTTACTTTCTGCAACTATAAGGTTGTGTGTTTCCTGCCCCAGTCCTTGTTTTGTGTTTTTTTGTTTGGTTTGCTTTTTTTTTGTTTGTTTGTTTTTGAGGCACGGTCTCGCTTTGTTGCTCAGGCTAAAGTGCAGCGGCATGATCATAGCTCACTGCAGCCTTGACCTCCTGGGTTCAAGCAGTCCTCCCACCTTAGCCTCCTGAGTAGCTGGGACCACAGGTGCATGCCACCATGCCTGGGTAATTTTTTATTTTTAGTAGGGACAAGGTTGCCCAGGCTGGTCTCAAACTCTTGGGCTCAAGTGATCCTCCTGTCTTGGCCTCCCAAAGTGCTGGGATTACAGGCGTGAGCCACCGTGCCTGGCCCTGGGTTCCTTGTATTGGAGAATGGTATTAGAACTTCCCAACCTAAATATGAAACAGAAAGAGGCTCTCTAGAGGATATGTATATTTATTTGGGAGGGAATGTGTGTGCCATAGTAAACTATGTGTATATTAAGGGGGGTAAAGGAAGAAAAAGGGTTTTAAAGGAAAATGAGGACGCCATAATTGTTTTGAAATGAGAATATTAAGCCAATTATCCTTGGCTACGAGGAGGAATGACAAGATGATGCCAATCCGGGGTTGGACAGGCAGTTGCTGGGCAGATTTCCTTGCAGAAGTATTTTCTGGGCAAAGTTGTGTTTTTTGCAGTCTTTCGTGGTAGTTTTTATCAGGCATACAAGGCTGCGAACCCTCCCTTCATAATCTTCCCTGGCTGTATTTGTCAGGTGATTTTTTTTTACACTAATAACTCTATTTTGATTCTGAAAACTTTCCTATTTCCCCTTTTTAAAAATATTTTTTAATTTTTTTTTTGAGATGGTGTCTCGCTCTGTCGCCCAGGCTGGAGTGCAGTGGCATGATCTCCGCTCACTGCAACCTCCGCCTCCCGGGTTCAAGCGATTCTCCTACCACAGCCTCCTGAGTAGCTGGGATTACAGGTGTGTGCCATCACGCCCAGCTAATTTTTGTATTTTTAGTAGAAATGGGGTTTCACCATATTGTTCAGGCTGGTCTCAAACTCCTGACCTTGTGATCTGCTCACCTCAGCCTCCCAAAGTGCTGGGATTACAGGCGTGATCCACCATGCCCGGCCTCTTAAATTTTTAAAAAATAAATAAAGATGGAGTCTCCCTGTGTTTCCCAGGCTGGTCTTAAACTCCTGGGCTCAAGGGAGCCTGCTGCCTTGGCCTCCCAAAATGTTGGGATTACAGGTGTGAGTCACTGCACCCAGGCAATTGTTTTTTTTTGAGACAGGGGACTCCGTTGTCCAGGCTGGAGTGCAGTGGCGTAATCATAGCTCACTGCGGCCTCCACCTCTCAGGCTCAAGCAATCCTCCCACCACCATCTCACAAGTAGCTAGGACCACAGGTGTGCACCCCCAGACCCAGCTAATTTTTAAGGTTTTTTTGGCAGAGGCAGGGGTCTCACTATGTTGCTCAGGCTGGTCGTGAACTCCTGACCTCAAAAGATCCTCTTGCCTCAGCCTTCCAACGCACTGGGATTACAGGTGTGAGACACTGTGCTTGGCTATATTTCCCCCTTTGATCAAGATCTTTCTCAGGCAGCCAGATGTGGTGGCTCACGCCTGTAATCTCAGCACTTTGGGAGGCCAAGGCGAGTGGATCTCGAGGTCAGGAGTTTGAGACCAGCCTGGCCAACATGGTGAAACCTCATCTCTACTAAAACTACAAAAATTGGCCAGGCATAGTGGTGCGCGCCTGTGGTCCCAGCTACTCGGGAGGCTGAGGCAGGAGAATCGCTTGAATCTGGGAGGTAGAGGCTGCAGTGAGTTGAGATTGCGCCACTGCACTCCAGCCTGGGTGACAGAGCGAGACTCTGTCTCAAAAAAAAAAAAAAAAAAAAAAGCCAGGCAAGATGGCTCATGCCTATAATCACAGCACTTTGGGAGGCTGAGGCAAGCAGATCACCTGAGGTCAGGAGTTCGAGACCAGCCTGGCCAAAATGGTGAAACTCTGTCTCTACCGAAAATACAAAAATTAGCTGAGCATGGTGGTGCGCGCCTGCAGTCCCACCTACTTGGGAGTCTGAGGCAGGAGAATCGCTTGAACCCGGGAGGCGGAGCAGAGGTTGCTGTGAGCCGAGATCGCGTCACTGCATTCCAGCCTGGGCAACAAAGTGAGACTCCATTTAAAAAAAAAAAAAATCTTTCTCAGGCATCACTGATCAGTCTTCCTGTACTTAGCTTTTTTGTTTTTTGTTGTTTTTTTGAGACGGAGTCTCACTCTGTCACCTAGGCTGGAGTGCCGTGGCACAATCTCGGCTCACTGCAACCTCCGATCCGCCTCCTGGGTTCAAGCGATTCTCCTGCCTCGGCCTTCTGAGTAGCTGGGATTACAGACGCCCGCCATCACACCCGGCTAAGTTTCGTATTTTCAGTAGAGATGGGGTTTCACCGTGTTGGTCAGGCTGGTCTCAAACTCCCGACCTCAGGTGATCTGCCCGCCTCAGCCTCCCAAAGTGCTGGGATTACAGGCGTGAGCCACTGCACCCGGCCCTGAACTTAGGTTTTGATGTCCCAGGGATGTCCTGGTTGCTGGTCTTTCCCCACACCGGGTGGGGTTACGGTGGGTGGTGACTAGGAGTCAATGTCAAAACCCTTTTAGCCACAGTTGAGCAATAGGGGAGGTTTGGAGGGTGTGGTGCCTGGGCTGAGGCCCCCTGGGGCCCGTTACTGAGTTCAGTTTTGTCTGCTTTGGAGTCTCTTGCTGTCATCTCGACGCGCTGGGCCAGCATGATCCTGCGAGGAGTTGTACTTCAAAATTTAACAAGGAACAAACGCAAAGCTTCAAAAGGGGAAATACAAGGTAAAATTAATAGTAATGTGGCAATCCCAGTTTGCACAGTGGCTTTGTCACGAACCCAGCCGTAAAGGCAACCAAGGGAATAAATCAGATAACCTCACGGTGGGTGAGACCGGCTGCGACCCTGTGGCCTGTTTTCTTATTTTGTGCATGTGGGTCTCAGCTTTCCCAGAGGAGTTTCTCCAGGTGCAGCGTGTGGTGGCAGCAACAGCACAGGCATTTCCTTACTTAACCAGAAGAGACTAAGGGATCTCCTGGGTCAGGTTCTGTGGAGTTCCAGCAGAAGCCGCGGATCGTGGAAGTTCAGCGACACCACCGTCCTGCCCCGTGGGAGAGGTGGGCATTGAGATGGGTAAGAGCGTCATCATGACAGGAGTCCTGTTCGCCGGCGTCTAGGGAAAGCCGTCTACAGCATGAAACGTCCTATTCGCGACCTGGTTTGCAGTTCGAATGTCTCTGACTATGGCATTGGGAGGTACAGTGAACTTTTGTGTGGCCCACACATCAGACGCAAGGCTTCTTTTGGAGAATTCATCTAGTTTTAGCTGATAGGACTTCAGGAACAGAGAAGTTTCCATTTTTAGTAATTCTATGGAAGAAAGTTAGATTCGATGAATCCAGAAGAATGTAGGTGTTATGCGCGTCTGTATAAGAGGCCACCTAAACAGGCTTAGTGTGAGCAACAAGGCTGTTTATTCACTTGGGTGCAAGGGGGCTGAGTCTGAGAAAGGAGTCAGAGGAGGGTGGTGGGCCTATCATTGGTTCTTATAGGTTTGGGATAGGATAGGCGGTGGAGTTAGCAGCAATTTTTTCGGGCAGGGGATGGACGTTACAAAGTACATTCATAAGGGTGGGGAGGGTGTATTGTCACAGGGGCGGGGAGGAATGTTACAAAGTACATTCACAAGGACGGGGAATATCACAAAGTACATTATCACAAGGGTGGGGGAGGACAGGAATTTTTTTTTTTTTTTGACGGAGTCTCTCTCTGTCGCCCAGGCTGGAGTGCAGTGGCGCCATCTCGGCTCACTGCAACCTCCGCCTCCTGGATTCACGCCATTCTCCTGCCTCAGCCTCCTGAGTAGCTGGATTACAGGCGCCCAGCACCACGCCTGGCTAATTTTTTTTTTCTGTATTTTTTTAGTAGAGACAGGGTTTCACCATATTGGCCAGGCTGGTTTCGAACTTATGACCTCACGTGATCCGCCTGCCTTGGCCTCCCAAAGTGCTGGGATTACAGGCGTGAGCCACCACGCCCAGCCAAAAAATATCCTGTCTTACATGTTGTTAGATTCCTTTGGGGGTTCAGTGCTATTTCCACCTAATACAGGTCTGTAGCAATGTCAATGTTCAACCCCATCCTGGGTGGCATGGGATCACTCTTCATGGTTCACACCTTGTAAAAACCATCAGTCGTCATCTTTTTGTAGGTTTGACAAACGCTCTTTCGAATCCAGAAAAGTCAAGTAGAGAAGGAAAGTAAGGGGCCACTTACTGTGCCTCGAATCACAAGACCGCGGTGGACCAGCCTGGTTAAGACCTGTGGATGTCTTCAGCAAGAAACTTGGAGAGGCCCCTAAAGATATCGCCAGAGAGAAAACAAAGAAAGCTTCAGTCGCTCCTTCCTAAGCTGTCACGACTACTCTTTTAAATGGCCCCATGCTTGGATTTCTGTCACCACGACTGGGGGAGCCTGGGCGAGTGTGCTTTCCCTCACTGCACCTCCCATGGGAGCCCAGGCTGCTGCGCCGTCCTCAGACTGTTGGGATGATGAGCGGACGGTGAACTCCCACCACCTGCGCCTGTGAAGGGAGCTCCGGTTGAGGGGCTTTGCTGGCTTCGGGTCGGGGGCTGCCGTAGTTCTGTGTTGGGGAGATGGTGTGGACTGCGGCAGAGCCAAGCCTGAGCCCCACGCCAGGATGAGTGGAGTGCCCGGAAAGCATTCTGATTTCCGGCCTGGCGTGTCTTCCTTCCATTACACTGAAAGTTTTACCCAACAGCTCGTTTAAGTTTTTTTTCTTTTTGAGGTGGGGTCTCGCTCTGTCGCCCAGGTGATCCTCCTACCTCAGCCTCCCAAGGAGCTGGGACTACAGACACACACCACCACATCCTGCTCTTTTTTTTTTTTTTTTAATTTTATAGAGATGGAGTTTTGCCATGTTGTCCAGGCTGGTCTCAAACTCCTGAGTTCAAGCTATCCACCTACCTCAGCCTCACAAAATGCTAGGATTACTGGTGTGAGCCATCATGCCTGGCCAAGTTTTGTTTTGTTTTGTTTCTTTAAATTTTAAATTTAATTTGATTTTTAGAGTTGGGATCTTGCTCTGTGGCCCAGGCTGGTCTCGAATTCTTAGCTTTGAGCCATCCTCCCACCTGGGCCTTCCTAAGCAGTGGAATTACAGTTGTGAGCCACTGTGCCTGACCTCACTGAGGTTTTTATCACAGAATGATAACAAAAGCGCCATGCCCACAGTTTTGTAGGTAGTGAGTGCTGTTGCTAGGACATGCTCCTGGTTAGTTTGGCTTCAGATACTGTATTTTTCCATGTTTCTACAGTGAGCCTGGCCTTGTGTGACTTCTGTGAAATATCCACTTCTCCACCCTCTTTGTTCTCTGCCAGTTGTAATTTCTTGAGTCATTTCGTTTTTGTTGCAGGAAATCAGGTTTTTTTTTTTTTTTTTTTTTTTTTTGATGGAGTCTTGCTCTGTTGCCCAGGCTGGAGTCCAGTGGTGCGATGTCGGCTCACCGCAATCTCCCTCTCCCAGGTTTGAGTGATTCTCCTGCCTCAGCCTCCCAAGTAGCTGGGATCACAGGCACCCGCCACCACACCTGGCTAATTTTTGTATTTTTAGTAGAGACGGGGTTTCACCATGTTGGTCAGGCTGGTCTCAAACTCCTGACCTCAAGTGATCCACCTGCCTTGGCCTCCCAAAGTGCTGGGATTACAGGTGTGGCCACCGCGCCTGGCAGGAAATCAGGTTTAAGGGACTTGCCTGTGAGTGAGTGTGACGGCTGGAGCCTCTCAACAGTGCAGACTGCTGTAAATGAAGACTGTGGAATGGCGAATCTCATTGTTCATCTGGGGCCATCAGACTGATCAGCTGTACATAGTCTATAGGATATTCACATTAATACATTTACATAGATATAACTTTAAAGAAGATTTACTATAACAGCTAAAATTATGACTAATGATATTAGATTTTAAGTTTTATACAATTTTTAAACATTATTTATTTATTTATTTTTTTGAGATGGAGTCTCGCTCTGTCGCTCAGTCTGGAATGCAGTGGCGCAATCTCGGCTCACTGCAACCTCCGCCTCCTGGGTTAAAGTGATTCTCCTGCCTCAGCCTCCTGAATAGCTGGGATTACAGGTGTGCACCACCACGCCTGGCTGATTTTTGTATTTCTAGTAGAGATGGGGTTTCACCATGTTGGCCAGGCTGGTCTTGAACTCCTGACCTCAGGTGATCCACCCACTTCAGCCTCCCAAAATGCTGGAATTACAGGTGTAAGCCACCATGCCCAGCCATGAAACATTTGTATTAATAACATAAATGTAACTGAAAGAATGCCTAATATAATTTATTATTTGATAATGTCTCTCACATAATTTACTAAATAAGCCTAATAATTTAATGCCTCTACAAAATGAGAGATAAGTTTTTAAGGTTCTCCTGGGGCCCAGCTAGAAAATTCCAAAGTTAAGCCTAGGTCAGAAAAACTTAATTTAGAATTTTGTTCTTGGAGAAGCTGCTAAAGATGTCAAAAGGTTTAAAACAATTGAACGAAACGTGATCATAGGTCACTCTGAAATAACAGTCGTTTATTTCACTGAAGTGATAATCAAAAGACTTTGAAAGCAAGACAGAGATAGTTACACAGCACTGGCTGGGGCAGCACAGACACTAAAATTGGAGTGACACAGAGGAGTCAGCAGGGCCCTTGCGCAAGGATGACATACAAATTCGTGAAGACTTCCATATTTTTTAAAATAATATAATTATAAATATTAAAAAATCGTTTGTTGGCCAAGTGCGGTGGCTCACTCCTGTAATCCCAGCACTTTGGGAGGCCAAGGGGGGTGGATCACCTGAGGTCAGGAGTTTGAGACCAGCCTGGGCAACATGGCAAAACCCCATCTTTACCAAAAAATACAAAAATTAGCCGGGTGTGGTGGGGGGGCGCCTGTAATCCCAGCTACTTGGGAGGCTGAGGCAGGAGAGTTGCTTGAACCCAGGAGGCAGAGGTTGCAGTGAGCAGAGATTGTGCCACTCCACTCCAGCTGGGGCAACAGAGCAAGATTCTGTCTCAAAAAAAAAAAAAAAATCACCATTTCAGGGTGTACACTTCCCTGCATTTAGGACATTTACAAGGTTGTGCAGATGCCACCTTGTGACTGTCCTAAACTCCACCACACTCCAGCCTGGGCAATAGAGCCAGACCTTGTCTCAAAGAAAAAAAAAAAGAGTTTTTTTAAAAAGGTTACGTGGATGTAACCTTTTATTTATTTTTGTTCATTTTTTTCCAGACAGGGTCTCAATATGTTGTTGCTCAGGCTAGAATGCAGTGCTGCAGTCTCAGCTCACTGCAACCTCCACCTCTTGGGCTCAAGTGATCCAACCACCTCAGCCTCCCAAGTAGCTGTGCACCACCGCACCTGGCTAATTTTTTGTTTATTTTTTGTAGAGATGGAGTCTCACTATGTTGCCCAGGCTGGTCTCAAACTCCCAGGTTCAAGCAATCCTCCTGCCTCAGCCTCCCAAAGTGCTGGGTTTACAAGTGTGAGTTGCCACACCCACTCGTCTTTCTTACAACAATTACAAAAAATATTGGCTGGAATGCCAAAGCTGTGAGTTTTATCTCAACCCCATTAGAAAAGTCAGCAGATTCAAAGTAAGCAGAAAAAAAAAAAATAGAGAACTTAGAAGGCTCTCCACATTAGCCCTATAGTTGAAGGCTTGTTTTTTGAAGAGACTGTTTGAATAATGATAATTTGAGCTCTTAATTTTTCTTGATGTAATTTGTCCACCAGTTAAAAAAATATGCATGAGAATGGGCTATAATATGTAGGTGTCGGGAGTCCCAGAAAACTTGGCATGTCTTCATATTTAAGAATCCCATTCCGTTTCTTATTAATATCTTTAGAGCAAAGAAAATTCTGTAAATCCTGTCAGAGAATGTTTGGAGTTTGACCAATGTTTTAGATGGTGGTGACTGGCCCAGCAGCTTTAAAAAAGTTTTTTCTTTGTATCTTCTAGTATGTATTTTTTCCAGTTATGAATTCAACGTGGAACCCAGTTGTTTTTAATTAGCCACCCTGTGCCCACCATTTAGAATGTTTATTTTTGTTCTTGGAAGATTTTTAGAAACAAAGAAGGGAAAATGGCCAAATCATGCATTTAACCAAACTATAATCAGGATTTGCAAAAAATTTTGACCCAGGCATGTAGATCAAATGAAATATTCAGCTAGGAGCAGTGACCAAAAGTGAATTTACCAGAGAAGACCTCGCACCTCGCACCTGGCACCTCGCATCTCGCAGATGGAATCTGAGTTCTCTAGAAACCAAAAAGACACTTGTCTTTCTTTTTTGATCCTAGGAGGAATGTAAGGGCGTTTATTAAGGCAATCTTATAACCAAACCAAATCTGGAATACAGTGGAGAGCTTCTACCTAAAAAGAGGGAGGCCTGGCCTGAGAGAAGATTCAGCAGGGCAGAAAAGGCAAGAGGCAGAAGTGAAGAGCTCAGGTGGGAATCGCCAGTTCTGAGAGCCACGGCTTCCTTCCAACAGTGACCGCTTTTCAGGTCCCACTTCTGACACCATTTATCTCAACGGAAATATCCGGGAGAGGCTCTTTAAAAGAAAACTGAGATGGAGTTTCACTCTTGTTGCCCAGGCTGGAGCGTAGTGGCACGATCTCAGCTCACTGCAACCTCTGCCTCCCAGGTTCAAGCCATTCTCCTGCCTCAGCCTCCTGAGTAACTGGGATTACAGGCATGTGTCACCATGCCTGGCTAATTTTTTTTAGTAGAAATGGGGTTTCATTATGTTGACCAGGCTGGTCTTGAACTCCTGATCTCAGGTGATCCACCCACCTTGGCCTCCCAGAGTGCTGGGATTACAGGTGTGAGCCACTGCGCCCGGCATGAAAATGATATTTATTTGGGAATGGGGAATTTCAGTGGGAATACATGTGCCATAGTGAACTATGTGCATTATTGGGGCTGGGGGCTGGGGGTGAAGGAAGATGAAGCCTTTACAGAACGAATGAGGAAGATGACATAATTGTTTTGAGATAATTATCTTTGGCGGGCCGGGCACGGTGGCTCATGCCTGTAATCCCAGCTCTTTGGAAGGCCGAGGCGGGTGGATCACCTGAAGTCGGGAGTTCGAGACCAGCCTGACCAACATGGAGAAACCCCGTCTCTACTAAAAAATACAAAATTAGCCAGGTGTGGTGGTGCGTGCCTGTAATCCCAGCTACTTGGGAGGCAGAGGCAGGAGAATCGCTTGAACCCAGGAGGCAGAGGTTTTGATGAGCCAAGATTGCAGCATTGCACTCCAGCCTGGGCAACAACAGAGAAAATACGTCTCAAAAAAAAAAAAATTATCTTTGGCTACAAAGATCAATAATAAAGGCAATGCCAGTCCAAGGTTAGACAGGCAATTGCTGGGTAGATATTTTCACAATAGTTTTGTGTAAGGTTTCAATGGCCTTTGTGCAAGGTTGTGTTTTTTGCGCTTTTATTTTTTCATTTTTTTCTTTTTTTTCATGAATCCATCTCAGTCCATTTTTGCAGTCTTTTCTGATAGTTTTTGTTTTCAGGCATTTATGCACGACAGCCTTTCTCTTCATGGCCTTCCTGAGGCCTATTTGCCAGAGTGTTTGGTTTTATTTGTTTTTTTAAAACAGAAGTGATTCTGACAACTTTCACAAAATCAAGATCTCGGCACTAGGTGTGTTCGTTGCTGCTTGGGCCTCACTGGTCAGCTGAAAGAAATGTGTGTGTACTAAGCCCTGCACATACTCATACACAGATATTTTCCTATGCAACCACCTGTAGCTATGTTCAGCTGCACGTGAGTTCACACTGACGTCTCCAGCCCTCCTCCATCACCACATGGACCATGCTAACCTCTCCCCTTGCTTATCCGTCACCCTGGGAGTCTCTTTGTCCCTCTCTCTTGCTCTCCCTCATCCCAACTGTGGAGCCCAGGAAGCAGCTTCCTGAGTCCCTCTAGGGCCTCCCGCTGCTCTGTGCACTCTTGCCCAGGCCCCCCTTGCTGTGGACTTGACTCGGGCCTCTCTGCTTCCAGCCTCCCCACCCTACTCTCCCCAAAGCACATTCTGAGAGCTCTCTGAAGCACACGCAGGCCTGAGGCTGAGCCCTCTTTTGCGTCCCTTTCTTCCCAGGATACTGCTTGGGGAAAGGACGTGCTCGGGACCCATCTGTCAGCTGAATGGAGGCCGGGTGGTGCCCGGCTGGCACCCAGAGGGCACTTCATCCGCATGCATGCTGAGCCCCTACGGGGTGCCAGGCTCTCTGCTGTCCTGGAAGCTGGGGCCAATCTCCGAAGAGAACAGAGCTGCCACCCTCCAGAAGCTGGTGGGTCCTGGGTGGTGGTGGCCGAAAGGGACACTGGTTACTGCAAGCTTGTTTCTGCTTTTGCACTTTTTTTTTTTTTTTGAGATGGAGTCTCACTCTGTTGCCCAGGCTGGAGTGCAGTGGTGCAGTGTCGGCTCACCGCCACCTCCGCCTCCCGGGTTCAAGTGATTCTCCTGCCTCAGCCTCCCAAGTAGCTGGGATTACAGCCGCCCGACACTATGCCTGGCTAATTTTTGTATTTTTAGTAGAGACAGGGTTTCACTATGTTGGCCGGGCTGGCCTCGAACTCCTGACCTCAGGTGATTCACCTGCCTTGGCCTCCCAAAATGCTGGGATTACAGGTGTGAGCCACCGCGCCCGGCCGCACAATTTTTCAAGAGCTGGCAGGACCTGCTGTACTAGAAAAGAAACCTGGGTTATTTCCAGGTTAGTAGGGGCATCAGCTGGCCTTGTTTCCACGGTCGTCTCGCAACCCACGGCAGAATCCGTCCAAGGGGAAGACAGAGGTGGCTCAGCTCTGCAGAGTTTGAGATCTGAATCAACGGAAAATCGTCTAAAGTGCTTTCTCAAACTCTTTTTCAACATTTCACTTTCATGTTTCCCTAAGCTGCCCCCGCTGAATAGCTAATGAACTTGTAATTAAAGCAACTTTTCACATGGTGAAAAGCCGCATTCCACCACCCGCTCGGGCTCTCAGTCCGGGGCTGGAACCCAGCCTGGCGCAGCAGGTGTGCAATCCCTGACGCTGGTGTTTATGGAGTGGGTAGAATGGCTGGCCCTCCAGGACACCGCCCCTGTGCACCTTCTTGTGGGAACACCTTCTTGGGGGCTGACCTGGCCCCACGAGGTACACCAGGGTGCTGGCTGCTTTCAGCCAGGGGAAGAGCGGCCGTATTGTGCTCAGTGAAAGCCCAATTCCCTGCAATTTGGATTCTGAAAGGAGTTGAACAGCATGGTACTGGTACCAAAACAGAGATATAGATCAATGGAACAGAACAGAGCCCTCAGAAATAACGCCGCATATCTACAACTATCTGATCTTTGACAAACCTGAGAAAAACAAGCAATGGGGAAAGGATTCCCTATTTAATAAATGGTGCTGGGAAAACTGGCTAGCCATATGTAGAAAGCTGAAACTGGATCCCTTCCTTACACCTTATACAAAAATCAATTCAAGATGGATTAAAGACTTAAACGTTAGACCTAAAACCATAAAAACCCTAGAAGAAAACCTAGGCAATACCATTCAGGACATAGGCATGGGCAAGGACTTCATGTCTAAAACACCAAAAGCAATGGCAACAAAAGCCAAAATTGACAAATGGGATCTAATTAAACTAAAGAGCTTCTGCACAGCAAAAGAAACTACCATCAGAGTGAACAGGCAACCTACAGAATGGGAGAAAATTTTCACAACCTACTCATCTGACAAAGGGCTAATATCCAGAATCTACGATGAACTCAAACAAATTTACAAGAAAAAAACAAACAACCCCATCAAAAAGTGGGCGAAGGACATGAACAGACACTTCTCAAAAGAAGACATTTATGCAGCCAAAACACACATGAAAAAATGCTCACCATCACTGGCCATCAGAGAAATGCAAATCAAAACCACAGTGAGATACCATCTCACGCCAGTTAGAATGGCAATCATTAAAAAGTCAGGAAACAACAGGTGCTGGAGAGGATGTGGAGAAATAGGAACACTTTGACACTGTTGGTGGGACTGTAAACTAGTTCAACCATTGTGGAAGTCAGTGTGGCGATTCCTCAAGGATCTAGAACTAGAAATACCATTTGACCCAGCCATCCCATTACTGGGTATATACCCAAAGGACTATAAATCATGCTGCTATAAAGACACATGCACGCGTATGTTTATTGTGGCATTATTTACAATAGCAAAGACTTGGAACCAACCCAAATGTCCAACAATGATAGACTGGATTAAGGAAATGTGGCACACATACACCATGGAATACTATGCAGCCATAAAAAATGATGAGTTCATGTCCTTTGTAGGGACATGGATGAAATTGGAAACCATCATTCTCAGCAAACTATCGCAAGGACAGAAAAACAACCACCGCATGTTCTCACTCATAGATGGGAATTGAACAATGAGAACACATGGACACAGGAAGGGGAACATCACACACCGGGGCCTGTTGTGGGGTGGGGGGAGGGGGAGGGATAGCATTGGGAGATATACCTAATGCTAGATGATGAGTTAGTGGGTGCATCACAGCAGCATGGCACATGTATACATATGTAACTAACCTGCACGTTGTGCACATGTCCCCTGAAACTTAAAGTATAATAATTAAAAAAAAAGAAAAGAAAAAAGGCGGAGGCAGCCTGGGCCCCGTGCCGCACCTGTGCTGGGATGGGCGTCGACGCGTCCCTCCTGCCCTGGGACCCTCTGGAGCGGCCGGGGCCCCAGCCCTCCCTGCCCTCCAGGGAACCGCCCGCTGCCTGGCGGTGATTCCCGTGGTTAAGGCAGGAGAACTGGCTTCTGCTGCTCACGGGAAAGGGGCCTAACGCAGCGTTCAGATCTCCAGTCAAAACGCAGCAGCGCCGAGGCTCTGGCCGAACAACGCGGGAGGCGAAAGCAACTGGGAGGCGCCTGGTTCTCCGGGCAGCTCCCGGCAGCTGAGGAAACGGAGGCGGAAGAGGCCCGGGCGGGGAGCGCAGCTCAGGGCGGGTCGTCCCCCGCCTGCCTCACACCCCGCCCGCACGGCCTTCTGTTCCTTCTGTTCCTTCTGTTCCTTCTGCTTCCGGGTCCCAGCGGGGCGCAAGCTTCACCCCGAGAGGGTTCTGTCTGGGTTGAGTAAGGTTTCTAAGACGCCAAGCGGAAACAGTTCAAAGATCTAATGCAAATGTCTCTCTCTTTTTTTTCTTTTTGACACAGGGTCTCACTCTCACCCAGGCTGGAGTGCAGGGGCGCGATCTCGGCTCACTGCAAGCTCCGCCTCCCGGGTTCAAGAGATTCTCCCACCTCAGCCTCCCAAGTAGCTGGGACTACAGGCGCCCGCCACCACGCCCAGCTAACTTTTTGTGTTTTAGTAGAGACGGGGTTTCACCATGTTGGCCAGGCTGGTCTTGAACTCCTGACCTCAGGCGATCCATCCGCCTCGGCCTCCCAAAGTGCTGGGATTGCAGGCGTGAGCCACCGCGCCCGGCCACAAATGTCTCTTTAGAAAGTTTATTTAGGGCCGGGCGCGGTGGCTCACGCCTGTAATCCCAGCACTTTGGGAGGCCGAGGTAGGCGGATTACTTCAGGTCAGGAGTTCGAAAAAAAACAAACTAATTAGCTGGGCGTGGGGTACGTGCCTGTAATCCCAGCTTCTCCGTCTGGAGGCTGAGGCAGGAGAATCGCTGGAACCCAGGAGCCAAGATCGCACCACTGCACTCCAGCCTGGGCAACAGAGTGAGACTCCGTCTCAAAAAAAGAAAGAAAAAAAAAAGTTTAGGTCGAGTTTGGTGGCTCAAGCCTGTAATCCCATCATTTTGAGAGACCGAGGTGAGTGGATCACTTGAGGCCAAGAGTTCGAGACCAGCCTGGCCAACACAGTGAAACCCCCAACTCTACCAAAAAATACAAAAATTAGTGGGGCGTGGTGGTGCATGTCTGTAGTCCCAGCTACTCAGGAGGCTGAGGCAGGAGAATTGCTTGAACCTGGGAGGTGGAGGGTGCAGTGAGCCAAGATCGCACCACTGCACTCCAGCCTGGGTGACGTAGTGAGAACTTGTCTCAGAAAAAAAAAAATTAACAACAGCTTTATTGATATAATCTACATACTATACAATTCAACCATTTAAAGTGTACAACTAAATGTTTTTCAGGGGCCTGGTGTGGTAGCTCACACCTGTAATCCCAGCACTTTGGGAGGCTAAGGTGAGCAGATCACCTGAGGTCAGGAGTTTCAGACCAGCCTGGCCAACATGGTGAAACCCCGTCTCTACTAAAAATACAAAAATTAGGCTGGGAGAGGTGGCTCACACCTGTAATCCCAGCACTTTGGGAGGCCGAGGCAGACAGATCATGCAGTCAGGAGTTCGAGACCAGCCTGACCAACATGGCGAAACCCTGTCTCTACTAAAAATACAAAAATTAGCCGGGGGTGGCATGGCCTGTAATCCCAGCTACTCAGGAGGCTGAGGCAGGGGAATCGCTTGAACCCAGGAGGCGGAGGTTGCAGTGAGTCGAGATTGTGCCACTGCACTCCAGCCTGGGCAACAGATGGAGACGCCATCTCAAAAAAACAAAAAAAAGCAAAAAACAAAAATTAGCTTGGCGTGGTGGCGGGCACCTGTAATCCCAGCTACTCAGGGGGCTGAGGCAGGAGAATTGCTCCAACCCAGGAGGTGGAGGTTGTAGTGAGCCAAGATCGCGCCATTGCACTGCAGCCTGGGTGACAAGAGGGAAACTCTGTCTCAAAAAAAAAAAAAAAAAAAAGGTTTTCAGTGTATTCACAGAATTGTGCAACCATCACCAGCCTGTTTTAGAATATTTTTAGCACTTCAAAAAGAACCTTGCAGCCATCAGCAGTCACTCCTCATTTCTCCCCAATCCCCCCAGCCCTAGGCAACCACTAGTGCTTACGAATGTACCTATTCAGGACATTTCACATAAACGGGATCTTAGGTAGATGCTGAGAAGTAGGATTGCCAGGTTGCATGTTCAGCCTTTTGAGGAAAAGCCAGGCTGTTTTCCAAAGCGCTGTACCATTTTACATCCCACCTGCAGTGTAAGAGCGTTCCAATTTCTCCAACACCCCTGACTCTTGCCAACACCTGTGCTGTCTGCTTGATTACAGCCGTCCTAACGGGTGTGTGGTGACGCCTCACTGTGGTTTGCATTGCCCTTCCCTGATGGCTAATGGTGTTGAGCCTCTTTTCCTGTGCTGATTGGCACCTGTATATGTTATGTGGAGGAATGTCTATTCAGATCTTTTGACCATTTTTTAATCGCGTTATTTTCTTTTTATTACTGAATTGTAAGAGTTCCTTACATATGCTAGATACGAATCCCTTACCAGATACGCGATTTGCCGTTTTCCTTCCATTCTGTGAGCTTTTCACTTTGATGTGTCCTTTGATGCACAAAAGTTGTATGTTTTGATCAAGTCCAATCTGTCATTTTTTCTCTCGTTGCTCGTGCTTCTGTGGTCCTGTTGAAGACACCACGGCCACCACGTTTGCAAAGGTTTAGCTTCTAACGGTGGTCCGTAGCTTCCACTCTTACATGTCGGCCTCTGAGCCAGTCTGAGTTCACTTTTGCACATGGTGTGAGGGAAGGATGCAGCTTCGTTCTTTACACGTGGCCACGTGCCTTCCCAGCACCGCTTGTCGGAATCAGCACTTTTTTCTCCCCTGAATTGCCTGGGCTTTCAGTTCTGTCCCATCGGTCAGTTCTGCACGGTCCGGGTCCCTGCGCTGTCCAGTAAGTTTTCCAACTGTGAATTGTGAGTCTTCCAACTTTGTTCTTTTTCATGAGTGTTTTGGCTATTCTGGGTACAAATGCTTTTTTTTTTTGAGACGGAGTCTCGCTCTGTCACCCAGGTTGGAGTGCAATGGTGTGATCTCGGCTCACTGCAACCGCTGCCTCCTGGGTTGAAATGATTCTCCTGCATCAGCCTCCCGAGTAGCTGGGATTACAGGCACGTGCCACCACACCCAGCTCATTTTTATATTTTTAGTAGAGATGGGGTTTCACCATGTTGGCCAGGCTGGTCTCGAACTACAGACCTCAGGTGATCCACCTGCCTTGGCCTCCCAAAGTGCTGGGATTATAGGAGTGAGCTACTGCACCTGGCCAGGTTATACACTTTTAATTTTGAAACAAATTTATTTTAAAAAATTGTGAAAAAAGAATATTTTGTGATATGTAAAAATTCTATGAAATTCAGATCTCAGGGTTCACACATAAAATTGTATTGGAACACAGCCACACCCGCTCATTTACATGTAGTCTCTGGCTGCTTTTATGCAACCGCAGAGTTGAATAACAGAAACTGGATGCTCTGCAAATACTAAGATGTCTACCATCTGGCCTTTGCTGAACGTTTGCTTATGCTAAAGACGTTTGTGCAGATATGAGAAATGACTTAGGTACAAGGTTTTTAGAGTAGTGTTAGAGTAGGATCAGAAACAACCCAAATATGCCCCAGAAGAGAACTGGTGAATCAGCGATGCATCATTTATAAAATGGAATATTACACAGCTATGAAAAGAATGAAGAACTTCCCCAGCCCAGAGGCACCCAGGGAGATAGGACTCGATACAAGGTGGGAACCTGGATGGGATCCTGGGACAAAACGAGGACATTAGGGAAACAAAGGGAATCTGAAGTATGGACTTTCAGTAATAATAATGTATCAATATTGATTAATTCATTATAACAAGTGTACCATCCTAATGTAAGGTGTTGCCAGGCGCGGTGGCTCACGCCTATAATCCCAGCACTTTGGGAGGTCGAGGCGGATGGATCACAAGGTCAGGAGTTCAAGACCAGCCAGGCTAACATAGTGAACCCTGTCGCTACTAAAAATACAAAAATTAGCCGGGCATGGTGGTGGTTGCCTGTAGCCCTAGCTACTTGGGAGGCTGAGGCAGAAGAATCGCTTGAACCCAGGAGGCAGAGGTTGCAGTCAGCCAAGATGGCACCGCCATACTCCAGCCTGGGTGACACAATGAGACTTAAAAAAAAAAAAAATGGTGCTAATACAGTGATATAGTGGAAACTGGGTGCCGGTATATGAGAACTGTGTACCGTCTTCACAATTTTTCTGTAAATCTAAAACTGTTCTTAAAAAAGGTTATTATTCTTTGGGAGGCGAAGGTGGGCAGATCACTTGAGGTCAGGAATTTGAGACCAGCCTGGCCAACACGGTGAAACCCCATCTCTAGAAAAATATAAAAATTAGCCAGGCGTGGTGGCGCGTGCCTGTAGTCCCAGCTACTCAGGAGGCTAAGGCAAGAGAATCGCTTGAACTCAGGAGGCAGAGATTGCAGTGAGCCGAGATCGCACCACTGTACTCCAGCCTGGGCGACAGAGTGAGACTCCATCTCAAAAAAAAAAAAAGTTTATTATTAAAAAAATAGGGAAGTTCTTTATGTTCAGATAAGGAAATGACTCTAAGACATACAGTAACTGCAAAAGCAAGATGAAGCTGGCACAGAATGGAAATGATAACACACTTTCCGTGTATAAAGATGTGTATTGGGGCTGGAGGGGGAGAATATATTTGCATATTTGCTTGTATTTATACAAAGGAACTTGGAAGGATTCACAAGAAATTCCTGTGTAGCCACGTGAGTGAATCACTTATTCAAGCCAAGTAAAACCCCAAATGTTGGCCCTGAGGTGGAAGTTTTCAGCATTCTTAGCGACTCCTCCCACCCAGTGACCTGCCTGGCCTCGTCAGCGCCCCGTTCCCAAGCCCTTTCCCTGCCTAGCCCCCTTCTCACTCACAGCCCCCAGTGCCTGTCTGGTTCCGTGAAGCTGGTGGAGCGACCTGGCCCTCTCAGCTTGCATTAGGGCTCAGATAGCTGAACGATCCAGACACGGGTCACACCCAGGGACACACAGGGCAGTGATCCAAGCCACGCACCAGGAAACATCAAAGCAAATGGCTTCTGACAAAAGCCAGCCTTACTAAACACAGGTGAAGGAGACAATCTTTGGAGAACAATTTTATTAGCACAGTTTAAGAACCTTAGAAATGATACAGTAAAACTACTATAAATCTGTCCTAAAGAAGGAAAGAATATTTTTGTTGTTGTTGTTGTTGAGACAGAGTCTCACTCTATTGCTCAGGCTGGAGTGCAATGGCGCCGTCTCGGCTCACTGCAACCTCTTCCTCCTGGTTCAAGTGATTCTCCCGCCTCAGCTTCCCGAATAGCTGGAATTATAGGTGTGCACCACCATGCCCAGCTAATTTTTGTATTTTTTGGTAGAGATGGGGTTTCACTATGTTGCCCAGGCTGGTCTCGAACTCCTGGCCTCGAACTCCTGGCCTCAAGTGATCCACCCACCTTGGCCTTCCAAAGTGCTGGGATTACAGGCGCGAGCCACCATGCCCGGCCCCAGAAGGAATCTTTTTAAAGGGGAAAAACTCTAGTTTCCCAGCAGCATCCTTGCCGACAGTGAAAGGCAGGAAGCTGTCTAGATGTCCATGGCAGGAGAGTTAGGCCCAGGGAGGGTGGGGTTGCATCTCACATGGGTGAGGGGTCCAGCCAAAGTCACCCTTGGAAATTTCTTCAATCACCAATAAAGTAAGACATTCGGGGTTTAACATAACAGTCCCTAGCGGTGATAAAACTTTTTTTTTTTTTTTTTTTTGAGACTGGAGTTTCATTCTGTCGCACAGGCTGGAGTGCAATGGCGTGATCTCGGCTCACTGCAACTTCTGCCTCCTGGGTTCAAGCAATTCTCCTGCCTCAGCCTCCCGAGTAGCTGGGACTACAGGTGCCCGCCATCATGCCCGGCTAATTTTTGCAATTTAGTAGACAGAGTTTTACCATGTTGCCCAGGCTGGTCTTGAACTCCTGGCTTCAAGCGATCCTCCTGCGTTGGCCTCCCAAAGTGCCGGGATTATAGGCGTGAGCCACTGTGTGCCTGGCCGGTGGTGAGGAATTACTACAGTGTCATACACACAGTCATGTGTCTTGTATACACTATGCAAAGTCTAATTTTACAGTTTTTTTTTTTTTTTGAGACAGGGTCTCACTTTGTTGTCCAGGCTGGAGTGCAGTGGCTCATTCATGGCTCACTGCAGCCTTGACCTCCCAGGCTGAAGCTATCCTCCCACCTCAGCCTCCTGAGTAGGTAGGACTACAGGTGTCACCACGTCTGGCTAATTTTTGTATTTGTTGTAGAGACGGAGTCTTGCTCTGTTGCCCAGGCTGGTCTTGAACTCCTGGCCTCACGTGATCCTCCTGCCTTGGCCGTCCAAGGTGCTGGGATTAAATCACTGTGCCTGACCCAGTATTTTATTTTTAAAGATGGGGTCAGCTAGGCGTGGTGGTGCGCACCTGTAGTCTCAGCTACTCAGGAGGCTGAGGCAGGAGAATCTCTTGAACCCGGGAGGCAGACGTTGTAGTGAGCTGAGATCATGCTACTGCACTCCAGCCTGGGTGACAGAGTGAGACTCCATCTCAAAAAAAACAAAACAAAACAAAACAAAACAAAGATGGGGTCTCCCTTTGTCACCCAAGCGGCAGCACAGTGGCGTGATCACAGCTCACTGCAGTCTCGACCTGCTGGGCTGAAGTGATCCTCCTGCCTCCGTCTCTCAAGTAGCTGGGACCTCAACTGCGTGCACCACACCTGGCTCCAGTATTTAGAGTGCATGTGTGCTGTTGACTTTACCAGGGGGTCTGTGCAGAGTGTGACACCACTGTACTCATTTCCGGGGGACACTGGCCATCATGAATGGCAACTCTGGAGACGAGTGGTTAGAGGGCTGGGTGGGTAGTCTTCGTAGTCTTCCTTGCTCCAGGCACTGATGCCTGCTCCCTTCTACCAGGGAAGTGCCCCAGCCCTTCCAGCACCAACGCACCAAACAAAAACATCACTATATCAGGGCGTGGTAGGTCCCTCAGGATTCCCCGATGTTCCAGACGCTGGCCAAGTCTGTGTTGCCCTCTCCGACGATCCTAGCTGCCGCCGGCATAAACGTCCACTTGGCGGTGCACGGGTAGAACCACGATCCTGCTGACGTCCGGTCCCACGTAACGATCTCCCTGCATCAAGATGCAGATTTCTGGCTCATGATCCCCGACCCTTTACAGTGGAAAACGACCCAGCAAACAAGGAGGGTGTGTAAAACTTGGAGGCGCAAACCTGAGGCAAAGCAAGGTCACCTCTGCACACACAGAGCCCACCTCAGGAGCAGTGCCCAGAAGCCATGGCAAGCACGAACAGCCACGGCAAACACGGGCCACGGCAAAGACGAGCCACGGCAAACATGAGCCACAGCAAACATGAACAGCCACGGCAAACACAGGCCACAGCAAACACGAGCCACGGCAAACACGGGCCACGGCAAACACGAACAGCCACAGCAAACACGGGCCACGGCAAACACGGGCCATGGCAAACACGAGCCACGGCAAACACGAGCCACGGCAAACACGAGCCACGGCAAACACGAGCCACGGCAAACATGAACAGCCACGGCAAACACGGGCCACGGCAAACACGAACAGCCATGCCTGAACGGGCCCGGTTGCATCTGATTGCGGAGGCTAAGCAGGGTTGGGCCTGGTTAGTACTTGGATGGGAGACCAACTGGGAGTATCAGGTGCTCGAGGCTTTTGGCAAAAAAAAAAAAAAAAAAAAAAAGACTACATACGTACAAAAACTTTTCCATGTAAAAAAACCTTCAAGTCAAAACAGCGATGACAAATTGGGGCAAACATTTACAAAATAACTAATACGAGAAGGCTAAGTCCCCTAACATGTAGAGAGTTGTTATGATTGAAAAAGAACTCCATCGCCACACACAGGAATGGACATGGTTGAGTTCACAAAGCAATGGAAACGCATTTTGAAACAGAAGGGAAACTGTGCCATTTGACTCATCACTGAAGAAATGCAATAAAAATCAAGACCTTTCCATCTTTCTGATTTAGCAAAGATAAAAATGTTTGCAGACGCTGCACCAGGAGGATGTGGGCAGCATCTGCCCGAGGACGGTCACCACAGCACTGACCCGGCAGCAAAGGCCACCTGCGACCCGGAGCAGCCACTGGGGAGCCCTGCACTGAACCGCAGTGCGCTGCTGCGGGAGGAAGCCAGTGTCTTCCTGGAGACGGCTTCACGTCCAGGTGCGGAGGGGCCGATGAGCATTTGTGGGATGGATGGCTACTGCAAGCCGTGGGCGGGGGGACCCTGAGTGATGTCATCTCAGAAACCAACGCATCGGGAGATGCATAGAGTGCTACATGAAGTTGGCCACTGGTTGTGAGAGGAACCAGGTATATGGTACCGTGGGGGTGGGGGTGGCAGAGGAGCCTGGCTGTGCAGGGTGCAGGCCACACGACTTTGCCCTCTGCCTCATCCAGGGCCTGTAGCATTTCTGAGTGGTTGTGGGCAGCTGTGGGGCCTGTGCCTGTGTGTGTGCCTGGCCCCACCCACCCACCTGCCCCAGCTTGCCCACCTGCCTCACCCACACTGGCCTTCGCGGGCAGGCAGCGTCTGGACCCCAAGCGCCATAAGGAGGAAAAACCGTAATTCAATTTCTGGGTTTTGGTAAATTGGCAGAACTGACAATGGAACTTGACCTCGGCACAGCAGGCGTTTAAGTGAACGCCAGGGAGTGTCCTTCCTGTGGGGACAAAAGTGTCACTGTGACCTGCCTACAGCAGACAAGCAGCAAATCCTCATTTCTGGTGTAAGGACCTTACGAGCCCCAACTCCAGGTGGCCGGACCCTCAGCTACACACAAATTGTGTTTCCACTGGGGGGCCGAAGCCTGCAGTGGAGTCCCGGGCATCTGCACGTCAGGAAAGGCGCCAGGAGCAAGCAGCCGGCGCTCAAGGCAACATGCGGTGCTCAGCATGGTGAGGCGGGGCTGGGCTGCTCCCCTGCTGTGCACCACTGCCGCAGGGAGGGCCTGTCCGGCAGTTGCAGCATGGGTGCCGGCAGGGACACATGCCCACGGGGAGCTGACGGCCTGGGAAGAAGGGGTGTGCGGTGACCGCAGGAGGCGTGGAGACGGGGAAGGGGAGTCCAGTGGCTGCTGTCGGAGGGCTGGGGGCCCAGGACAGGGAGGCCCAGTGCTGCCCACCTGTCCCTGCCACACCTCCATGACTACACGTGTAACAGATGACAGACGGTCAAACAGACCCAGAAGCCAACCAAGGAGAGAAGGAAGAAACCACGCCAGGGTCTAGCTAGAAAAGGTGTTTCCTCCCATTTTATTTCATAATACATTTTCACAGAAACATGATATATTTACAAATATACAGGTAAGAGACTGCTGGTCAGAAATCTTAAAACTCAAAATGTCATCAAAAATTAATTTACAAAAGCCACCAAGGGTCCATGGAGGCGGCCAGGTGGATGGTGTGGCCGGCGTCTGCGTGAGCCTGCCCAGAAGCCCACGCAGCCTCCCGGCTCTGCCTCCGCTGGCCCCGTCTCAGGAAGCGCTGGTTTGCAGGTTTTTGGAAGCTGCAAGCATCGCTCTGACTTTGGCCATGAGATCCTGTGCAGGGCGAGACACAGAGGAGAACCTGTGAAGACCTGGCCAGACAACCCACGTGGTGAAGAAATTCATCAACGAGTTGGTGGTCAAGACCAGACGGTGCTAGCACCGTGGGGGCGGCGGAGGAGCCTGGCTGTGCAGGGTGCGGGCCACACGGCTTTGCCCTCGGCCTCACCCAGAGCCTGTGGTATTTTGCCCGAGATCCCTGTCCCATGACAGGGACAGGAGGGACAGGGAATGAAAATTAGCAACAGAGAAACCACGAGGCCCCTTGATGAAAGGCTGGGAGCGGGAGGGGGGCGTGCCCACTGACCTGAGTGATTTTGCTCTGCACGGAAGAAACGATTGCTGAAGAGATCTGGGCTTCTTTTTCCTGAGAGACTCCCCTAATGCAGAGAGAGAGAGAGCAGAGCTTACAACCGTGTGAAGATGCTGAGCCAAGGCCAGTGAACAGCATCCCCACCTCCGAACCCCAACTCTAGAACTGAGAAGTGCCCACTGCATCTGCTTCCAGTATCTTTTTTTTTTTTTCCAGACAAGAGTTTCACTCTGTCACCCAGGCTGGAGTGCAATGGCACGTTCTCAGCTCACTGCAACTTCTGCCTCCCAGATTCAAGCAATTCTCCTGCCTCAGCCTCCTGAGTAGCTGGGATTGCAGGCGTGTGCCACCATGCCCGGCTAATTTTTGTATTTTCAGTAGGGACGGGGTTTCACCATATTGGTCAGGGTGGTCTCGAACTCCTGACCTCAGGTGATCCACCCGCCTTGGCCTCCCAAAGTGCTGGGATTATAGGCGTGAGCCGCCGCGCCCACCCCTCCAGTATCCTTCAATAAAACTTGGCATCATAAACATGCTGTGTTATACTCATCTGAAATGTTTACAAATTGCAATCTAACTCAAAAAGATTTTCATATAAAATTACCTTAAACACAAAGGAAAAAAGAAACAAAGAAAGGAAAGACTCAGCAGAACGGTGGAGCCTTCCCAGAACCACGGCCTTGGCTGTAGGTGCCCTCGGCCTGTGCATGAGGCGTCTGTGTGCTGGAGCCAACACCCCCTCCCCGCAGCGATGCTCAGCCTCCTACACTGATGTACATTTTATCATTATTACATTTTCAGAAACAGGGTCTCTCTCTGTCACCCAGGCTGATGTGCAGTGGTGCCGTCATGGCTCACAGCAGCCTCCACCTCCTGGGCTCAAGCAATCCTCTCACCTTAGCCTCCTGAGTAGCTGGGATTACAGACGCGTGCCACCTATTTTTAGTAGAGACAAGGTCCTGCCATGTTGTCCAGACTGGTCTCAAATTCCTGCCCTGGCCTCCCAAAGTGCTGGGATTACAGGTATGAGCCACGGCGCCCAGCCTGATTTACATTTTAACTCTAAAGGTGCCACCTCTTAGATTCTAATCCATCTCAAATTAGCTGAGGCCTCTGCCACTAGAATGGAACAGTTGCGCGTTACTCCCATGATTGACATTTATGGAAGCAATCAGTTTAAAGGGAGCAGCTGTTCCCAGATGCTGCCCTCTCTGGTCCCCCCAGGGTGTGGGTGCCTGGGCAGCGGAGGGTGTCTGACTTGAAGTCATTATCACCTAGCCCGGGACTGGGACGCCCACGTCTGTGCTGCTGCCCAGGTGTGATGCCCGGTGACAGGTTGGCGTCATTTGGCCCTGGCCGTTGCAGCCTGGGGACCTGCTCCAGCCACGGCAGCCTGGGGACCTGGTGACAGTTCCCGGTCTACTGGTCATTGCACAGCCCAGTGTGCCTGGTGGGCATCAGGCACGTGTGTGACACTTGGGCTGCTTCAAGTGGACTGCTCCACTCCTGGGCTCTGCAGGAGGGTCTCCCCAGTACAGGACCTGCTCCTCTGAGCGCTCATGGATTGTGAGAAGCCACATCTAGGGCGACTTCCTTGCTAGAGGGGGTGCGGTTTGGCTTTGTGGCTGGCGCCCCCTGGACACAGGCGAGTACTGACATAGGCAAGGACTCAGGGAGGAGGGAGAGTCCTGCTGGCCGCCCCTTGCCTTTCCCCAGAGAGAGCTGCTGGAGGACAGGGGTTACCTGGAGCGCTCCTGGCTGGAGCCCCGACTCTCCACAGGGGAGACGCTGGCTGAGTGCGCCGAGTGGGCCGCGGGGGCCGCGGGCCGGGGCGCTGCCTGCTTGCTGGGTGACACCGACTGAGACCTGGCCTTGGACTTGGTCCGCGACCGGGACCGCCTCTTCTTCTTCTTCTCGTGGGGACTTCTGAAAGGCAAGAGTTTCTGTGAGAGATGCAGCTTTGGTTTAAAGGCAGGGCACAAAGGGAGAAGCTCGGATCTGAGCCAGTTTTTGGCTAAGAGTTCATCAAGGCACAATTCAGGGACGGAACCACTCCAAACCCATTAACTTCTCTTAAAGCTACTTATTTCATTTAACTGATAACAGATGACGCGTCCCCATTTAGGACCTCAAGTAAAATATTTGTGGTATTTAAGATGCAACCAGCATTTTATTTACATGTAAAATACCTAAGATAAGCCACCACAGGCAGTTCATAGTGCTTTGCCACTTATGTTTCATCAATAAAAATTTCCAAAAAGATACAGGAAATTTATTAAAGTATCAATACATCAAAGTTTAGTGTTCCTTTTTTTTGAAAAAACAGACAAGGTCTCGTGCTGCTGTCCAGGCTGGAGTGCAGTGGTGCCATTACAGCTCACTGCAGCCTTCACCTCCTGACCTCAAGCAACCTCCTGCCTCAGCCTCCCAGACAGTTAAGACTAGGGGGCGCAGCTTCTGGTGCTGCTTCTTCCTTTTTCTTAAGAGATGGGGTCTCACTCTGTTGTCCAGGCTGGAGTGGCACTTCTTCCTGACCTGCCAGTTGTCCGCCGCTTGGTGATACCGCTTAGCCTCTGGGCAGTGGAGCCTGCTCTGTGGGCAGCAGCTCAGCTCTGACTGCTGTCCCCTGTCCCCTTGCTTCCCAGAGTCCACGTCACCAAACTGGCAATCCCGCACCAGAAATGCTTTCCAGACATTCTGGCCTGCACCTGCCCTTAGATCATCCTTCTCTCCTGCCTGGAGAGGCCGACCCTTCGGCTTCCACCTGGTCTAGCTTCATTCCACACCTGAGCCACGTGGCTGTCTTGGCCACTCCCCTACAAACACCTAAGAGAGTGAACATGTACTTGGTAAAGGCAGACAGGCCTGAGCCCTTCCTGTGAGGCCCTCCAGGCCCTGAGGTGCCCTACCTGGCATCTTCTTTCAGAATTCGTCTGTAACAGACGCTGCAGCCTGCGCTTCTGGCCCTGAGTACAGTGTTTCTTGGAGAGTCTTTGCATGGGTCATTTGCATCACTGATTTCCTTCCTTCCTTCCTTCCCTCCCCTCCCCTCCCCCTCTCCGCTCCCCTCCCCTCCCCTCCCCCTCTCCCCTCCCCTCCCCTCCCCCTCTCCCCTCCCCTCCCCTATCCCTCCCCTCCCGTCCTGCTTGCTGGTGCCTGGGCAGGACAGATCCCAGGAGTAGGGCTGCGGGGCCCTCTGCTGCAGAAGCTGCCAGGGGGACTCCCTGGCTCAGCCTCACGCTCGTTATCCAGGTGGACCCAAACTGCTCAATGTGCCAACCTGAAGGGGGAACCGTGGTTCTCTGCTGGTGTCTGACTCTCTCCTGGGGTTGCTATTTGCACAGCTGCAAGCGTCTGGCCTCCCTTATGATTCTGCGTGCCACGAAGCCCCTTCCCAGCCTGGCCTCCTCTGCCTTCCAGGGAGACCTCCAGGGCCTGTGCACAGGCCCAGTTACCCCAAGCCCTGCCCCTCATCAGGGCCTCCGGACTTCATGCATTTCTTGTGCCACCCCCCGATATCTGGGACATTCTTGCTTAATGGCTGGGGCTGTGCTCAGAGTCTGGGGTGCAGACCCCATCGAGGGGCTGTGCCCTCTACCCATCTCTAGGACCTCACCAGTGTCTGGCCCTGCAGAACTTAGACAGAGCTGCGGTAGCCAGGGACCACAGCATGCCCTGGTAGGGACAGCCCCGATATGCAGGGGGGGACTGAGCGTTTCTGTCCGGGCTCCCTTGTGTGGTTCTGGGCGTGAGCAGACTGTGTTGGTGCCAGTGAAGTGACCTAAGCAGCAGCGCCAGACCTGTGGCGCTCCCACCCAGCTCCATTCAAACAAGGCGGGACCTGCCAGAGACGGTGCTCGCTGGCAGCTTAAATCCAGCTGCTGGAGGGGCTGTCCCTGGTGAGCTGGGCCCGGGCAGATGACTTGGCATCTTCTGGAAGCCTGCCTGACGTGCCCAGTGAGGACAACATGTTGTTTACTGTTCAACACACGCATGTGGGACCTGCACGAAAGAGTCATTTTTCTAAACTGCAAAATGTTTTGTGAAATTGTTGTCTGTAAACACATGCCAGGATTTCAAAGGAAGCGGCAAATAAATAAAACATATACCAGCATGTGACATGTGTCCAAAATGACTTACTCCCCAAATCCAGCTGAGTTTATGTGGCTGCATAATGAACAAAAGGCAGGTTACTAATCCTTAACTGCAAACTGGTTCAATTCTGCTACAATCTGATCTAAGCCCTTGCTGAAGGAATGGAGCAACTCATTCATTTTTTTTTAAAGCACCGAGGTGCCACTGTCCATTGGGTGAAACGCTGTCCTCGGTGCTGCCGCTGAGCTTGGCAAGTGCGCACACCCTGACACCTGGGCCTTATCCACGCAGGGGCGTCCCTTCATTCCAGAAGGCTCCTCAATGCCACTTCAAGTCCGTCTATACCCCTTCTCCACCCTCAGCGTTCCCCACTGCTCTGGTTTCTAGGACACAGCTTAAAGCTCTATGTAGACAAACCCCACGCTATGTCTGTGTTTGTTTGTTGGTTTGGCTTCTTGGTTTTCTGTTGTTTGTTTCTCAGTTTCCCTCTGTTGCCCAAACTGGAGTGCAGGGGCATAATCCCTGCTCACTGTAGCCTTGACCTCCCAGGCTCCAGTGATCCTCTTGCCTCAGCCTCCCAAGTAGCTGGGACGACAGGCAGACGCCACCACAAATGGCTAATTTTTTTTTTTTTTAAGTAGAGATGGGGGTCTCTACCAAAAAAAAAAAAAGCCTGCAAATCCTGGGCTCAAGCAATCCTCCTGCCTTGGCCTCCCAAAGTGCTGGGATCACAGGTGTGAGCCACTGTGGCTGGCCTGTGTCTGGCTGCTTTTGCTCAGCAAAGCATGTCTGAGACTCCTCCACGACGCAGGGTGATCCTCAATTTGTTCCTTTTACCGATGAATAGTATTACAGGACAGGACGCTACCATTATCTGTTGATTCATTCTCCTGTTAATAGAGATTTGGTTGTTTCCAGTTTTCGGTAATTATGAATCAAAGTGTTTTTGGTTAAATGTTGACTTTATAGAGGAGTTCACAGCTAGGAACAGGACAGCTGGTCAGGGAGTAGGTGTGTACTTAACGTCACAAGAAACTGCACACGTTTCCCAATCCAGTGTCTGAGAGCGCAGCCGCTGGGCCCGTGCCCACTCTCCCCCGAGCCCGTCCTGGTTTTTAGGGACGGGTGACCCCCGTCTAGTCCTGTCTCGTTGGTTGCATCAGCACGTCCCTGACTGGTGACTCATGCCGTTCCACATCTTTCCATGTGTGTACCGGCTATTTAAGAGATCCTTCTGTCAAGTCGGCTGGCTTCATCTGCCCCCTTCTAATTGGGTCCTTTGTCTTTTTGGTACTGACACAGGCTTTTGTCAGAGACACATGCAGCAAAGCCTGCGGCCTGCCTATTCATCTTCTTAACTGTGCCTTTTGAGAGAAGTTTTTAAACTTCAATGAAGTCTAATTGGTTTTTTCCTCTTATCAGAGGAGTTTCTACATCTTAAGGAATCTTTGCCACCCTCAAATTCATGAACATATTCTGTGTTTTCTTCAAAAAGCTTAATGGTTCTAGTTTTTGTTTAGATCTCTGATCCGCCCTGAATTAAATTTTGCATACAGCATGCAGTGCACTTTTTCCCCATTCCGATATCCAGCTGTTCATGCAAGTTTTGTTGGAAAGAGTTTCCTGGCTGGGTGCTGTGGCTCATGCCTGCAGTCACAGCATTTTCGGAGGCCAAGGTAGGAGGACTGCTTGAGCCTGGGAGTTCAACATCAGCCTGGGCAACATAGCGAGACCCTGTCTCTACACACAATAAAAAAAAATTAGCTGGGCATGGTGGTGTGTGCCTGTGGTCCCAGCTGAGGTGGGAGGATTCCTTGAGCCCAGGAGGCTGCAGTCAGCCGGGCTGAGTCGAGATCACACCACTGCTGCACTCCAGCTTGGGCAACAGAGTGAGACCCTGTCTCAAAAAAAAAAAAGACTTTCCTTTCTCTTTTTCCTCACTGAATCGCTGTGGCTGTGGTCCCGGCCCCCTGCCCTTTGGGTATGGAATTTTTTTTCTGTACTTTCTATTCCATCCCACTGCTCTATTGTATCCTCATGCTGACACCACACTGCCTTGGTTACTGTAGCTTTCTGGTAAGTCTTGAAATCCTGCTCTTTGTCAAGGAGGTTGTTTTGGGTCTCCCAGGTCATCTGCATTTCCACACACGCTTTGGAGTTTGTGTGCCAATTTCTAGAAAAGCCGTGGGAGCTCTGAGTGGGACTGCACTGCATCTCTGCGTCAACTTGTGGAGAACAGGAGTCTCAGTAATACTTAGTTGGCTAATATTTTGTGAAGTATTTTTGCATCTATGTTCTTGAGAGTCCTGGTCTGTGAACATATACTTATGGGCACACACAGCACTGGTCTGTGAACACACATGCATGTGCACCAGTACTGATCTGTGAACACACATGTGCACACACAGCACTGGTCTGTTAACACGCATGCACACCAGTACTGATCTGTGAACACACACGGGCGCACACACAGTACTGATCTGTGAACACACACGTATGCACACACAGTACTGGTCTGTGAACACACACGGGTGCACACACAGTACTGATCTGTGAACACACACATATGCACACACAGTACTGGTCTGTGAGCACACACATGCACACCAGTACTGATCTGTGAACACACACGGGCGCACACACAGTACTGATCTGTGAACACACACATATGCACACACAGTACTGGTCTGTGAACACACACGGGTGCACACACAGTACTGATCTGTGAATACACACATATGCACACACAGTACTGGTCTGTGAACACACACGGGCGCACACACAGTAATGATCCGTGAACACACACGGGCGCACACACAGTAATGATCTGTGAACACACACGGGTGCACACACAGTAACGATCCGTGAACACACACGTGCACACACACAGTACTGATCCGTGAACACACATGGGCGCACACACAGTAATGATCCGTGAACACACACGTGCACACACACAGTACTGATCCGTGAACACACACGAGTGCACACACTGTACTGGTCTGTGCACACACACGGGTGCACACACAGTAATGACCAGTGAACACACACGTGTGCACACAGTACTGATCCGTGAACACACACGGGTGCACACAGTACTGATCTGTGAACAGACAAGGGTGCATGTGCACACCCCCTCCCCCAAACACAGAATCCTTATCTGGCTTAGGTATGAGAGTTATGATGGACTCAAGAGATGAGATGGGAAGTGTTCCTTCATCTATTTTTTAAAAAAGAGTATCCCTTCTTTCTTTCTTTTTGTTTTTTGAGACGGAGTCTTGCACTGTCGCGGGCTGGAACGCAATCTTGGCTCACTGCAACCTCCGCCTCCCGAGTTCAAGTTATTCTCCTGCCTCAGCCTCCCAGGTAGCTGGGATTACAGACGCACACTACCACACCCGGTTAATTTTTTGTACTTATAGTAGAGACAGAGTTTCACTATGTTGGCCAGACTGGTCTCAAACTCCTGACCTCGTGATCCACCTGCCTCAGCCTCCTGAAGTGCTGGGATTACAGATGTGAACCATCGTGCCTGGCCCCTCCTTTCTTGAATGTTAGAATTCACTGGTGAAGCCATCTGGGACTGGAGTTTGGTGGAAAAGTTTCGTTTATTTTTCTTTGAGATAGAGTCTCACTTTGTCACCCAGGCTGGAGTGCAGTGGCACGATCTTGGCTCACTGCAGCCTCCGCCTCCCAGGTTCAAGCAATTCTCCTGCCTCAGCCTCCCGAGTAGCTGGGATTACAGGCACTTGCCACCACACCTAATTTTTATATTTTTAGTAGTGACGGGGTTTCACCATGTTGGCCAGGCTGGTCTTGAACTCCTGACCCCAGGTGATCCACCTGCCTTGGCCTCCTGAAGTGCTGAGATTACAGGTATGAGCCACCGCGCCAGGCCAGGTCTTGCTCTTTAATCCACTCCACAATCACTGCCTTTTAACTAGTCTTTAGTCTTCTTACATTTAATGTAATTATTTTACAGATGGTTTTAAGTCTACAATCTTGTTTTTATTTGTCCCATTTGTTCTTTCCCCCACCTGCCCTTTTCTGCTGTTTCATGAATTTAAGAAAGCATCTAGAATCCTACTTTATATCTGCTATTGGCTTTTTAGCTACATTTTTGTTTTTAGTGGTTGCTCTAGGGAATTAGGTTATGCATCCTTCGCTTAGCAAAGTCTACCTGGAATTAACATTTCATGTATAAAGGCAGATCTTTACTGCAGCAGTGAACTCCCATTCACTCACTCAACAAACAGTTGTCCATGTGCCTCGTGCAGTGTTAAGTACTAGAAACTCAATGGGAAAAACTTGTAACTAATCATTCATTGTATTTGCTACAATAAGATAACCGGGACATCTTGTTGAAGTGTGCTACCAGAAGATTTGGTCAATATTCTTGTGAAAAGCCCTGGATGTGAACTCCTAGGCTCAAGAGATCCACTCAGCCCTCCAAGTAGCTGCGGCTGTAGGTGCCCGCCATTGTGCCTGGCTGAAAAACACTTTTATGACATACTCAAAATAACTTTCATGAATGTTGTTTTATATATTTCCACACTGTACCAAATTTTACTCCTAAAAATTCCTCATACGTCCACATCTGGATTTTCAAATATTCACTAAAAGGAACCAGAGGTCCTTGAAGAAATGGTAGATTCCAGGGCTGGAGCAGGGAAAATGCCCAGTAAACCTGGAACATCTTGTACCAAACGCAAGAATGCAAAGAACTATGGGAGGTGTCAAAAGAACAGAACTGACTTGGAAGGGTTGCCACTGGCCAAACTGGAGACAATGTCACCATCTAATAGAATAATAATAGCAATGGATTATCACACAACAAATAAAAAATCAAAACCAAAAATGCTCCTGAGTCCACGGTGAGATTTAAACAAAGGGGCAGGGTCTTCAGCATAAACACAGAAGGAAGAAGAGAGGGGGAAAGTCACTATTTTGCAGTCAGCAGTGTAAGAACTGATTCAGGCAGGGGTCACCCAGGGATGCTGAGACAAATGAGAAGACAGCTGCTGGGAGCAGGAGAGCCGCGCTGCTTCAGTGTCACCTCCTGGATTCCTCGCTGGTGGGGAGACGAAGGGGCAGATGCAGACTTAATCAAGTGGTCAAACTTAGCATCATGAATGATGGGACAAATGGACACTTCTGTGTGTCCTGATCTGTGATGCAATGGGAAGCTACGCAATGTCGCCTACGCAGCCAAAACATTTGCCCTGAACCCAGCCACGGGGACACAGCAAGACGAAGCCCAACTGTGGGACCATCTATAGTGGAGCTGGCCTGGAATTCTCAGGAATGCCAAGGTCATGAAATACACACACGAACGGAGGAGGGAGGGAGGGGAGTGGATGGGATGGGCGGGATGGGAAGGGGTGAGAGAGAGCAATGTGGCAAAATGTCAGCTCTTGTGGAACTGAGCTACAGATTTTATGCATATGGGTGTTTATTGTACACTTTTTTTTGAAAGAGAGGGTTTCACTCTGTTACCCAGGTGGGGGGTGCAGTGGCTATTCACAGGCACGATCACAGCCCACACTACAGCCTCCAACTCCTGAGCTCAAGTGATCCTGCTATCTTGGCCTCCAAGTGCTGGGATTATAGGTGTGAGCTACTGAATCTGGCCCCATTGTACTATTTTAAAAACTTGCCTATAAGTTAAAAAAGTTTCCAAGTGAGAAGTCAGTGAAAGAATCAGGCAATAATCAGTTTACAGAAATGACCCTTCAGGGCCGGGCATGGTGGTTTATGCCAGCACTTTGGGAGGCTGAGATAGGCAGACTGCTTGAGCTCAGGATTTTGAGACCATCCTGGGCAACATGGCAAAACCCTGTCTCTACTAAAAATACAAAAAATTAGCTGGGCATGGTTCCATGTGCCTGTAGTCTCAGCTACACAGGAGGCTGAGGTGGGAGGACGAGTTGAACCCAGGAGGTTGAGGCCGCAGTGAGCTGAGATTGTGCCACTGCACTCCAGCCAGCGCAATGGGAGTGAGACCCTATCTCAAATAAAAATAAAAAAGAAAAAGAAAAAAAGCAGCAAATCTCGGTAGTGGGCATTTCCCTGGGTTTGGTCTGGTGCTGTCACAGCATTAAAGTGACAGCAACTTGGTAGCTGAATTATGTGCACTAAGCCACAGCAAGGAAGTGGACGCCCGCTCTGAGACAGGGACACGGGCTGGCTGTAGGATTAATATAATGATTGCTAATAAAACATATTCTGTACCAGGCATGGGAGCTCATGTCTGCAATCCCAGTACTTTTGGAGGTTGAGGCAGGTTGATCACTCGAGGCCAGGAGCTTGAGAGCAGCCAGCCAGGCATGGTGGTGACAGCCTGTGGCCCCAGCAACTCAGGAGGCTGAGGTGGGAGGATGGCTTGAGCCCAGGAGGTAGAAGCTGCAGTGAGCTGTGATTACGCCACTGCACTCCAGCCTGGGAAACAGGGTGAGACCCTGTCTCAAAAAAAAAAAACGCCCCCAAAAGAAAACAAAACCAAACCCATATTCTGGATTTATAGACTAACTGGGGGCTTGTAATTAAGAATACAAAATTAACCAGTAATTACACACGTATTCACCTCTATTGAGTTCCTAGTGAATCACAGTTTAACACTCCGCAGACTTTGGTTTGCAGGTTTAATTCCGTCTGTCTGGGCACGGCAGCTCAGGGCTCAGCACTGCACTGAGTCTAACCCTTTGCTTCTCTTGTGTGACCTGTTAGTGCTCGGTGAGAATGTCAGCAGGTCACGCGAGTCTGGCGTCTGAGTGTGCTGGCTGGCCATCAGGACGCTGCTACTTCCAGATACAATCACTACTTGCTCACACGAGGTCTCTCTTAAAGCAAAGGTTAATGTGAAGGCAAAGCAAGGCCTCTTCTGTTGAGACGGAATTAATTTCTAACCATGCCCTTCACATATACCAAAGGTGATGGTGAATTTCTGATGTGAAATTACTTGTTTAAGGGATGGATGCTAACATTTTAATTTTCATCAGATTGTATGAGAGCAGACATGAATGCTCAGTGTAGGATTACTAAGGAACAAAATGTAATTTATAAACAGAGCCAGGTGTACATGAAACATTGCTGGTATCTATCCGCTTTATAGTTCCTTTGCTAATTTTTCTGTTTTAAGAAAAAAATCACATCTTGTCAACGGAGGGAACCGTGGTACTAGGCCAACCGCAGCACGGTCTTCTTGCCCAGGGTGCTGTGGGGAGGACCTGCTGTGGCTCTCTGCCTAGTGTGTGCCTTGTGGCTAGGCAGTGTGGGTGATGGCTGGGACCATCCGTCCCAGGAGCAGGAGGGTCCCAGTGTGTGGGTGATCCTGGCAATGTAAGGCTCGTCCTCTGGAAGGCTCTGGGACCCTGAGTGTCCTGACCCCCATGCACTTAGCAGTGCCGTGTTATGAAGCTCAAGGCTACGATGTGCAATGCTCCATCCTTCTCTGTGTAGCTCCAGACGCAGACACGGTCCACCCACACAGCCAGGAGGCTGCACGAACTCCACATGGGGACACAAAACAAGCTCCTTGTGCTTGGAAAGAGTGGAAATGCACGGCTGCCCCACGCAAGGCACTGGGTGGTGACATCAGTGGGTGAGAACCAGAGGAGGCGCTCGTGAGATGGCACCCCCACGGCCGAGAGGGTAGTGCTCACTGGCGGCACCAATGGAGGTGGCCGTCCACAGCTACTGGAAGCCGGGGTGAGCGGACAGATGGTGGACCTATTTCCTGAAGTGAAAGGTGGAACCTCTACTGAGTGCCAGGCACTGAGTGAGGGGTGAGCCCGTGGCACCCTGGGCTGTCAGAGGCCCTGCCAGGCACCACGGCTGGGGCTTCTACTTGATGAACATGAATGCTAACCTCCCTCCATCTCCTGCTCCAACCAAGACAGGCTCTCCTTAGTGGTCAAGAGGTAAGCGATGGATGCTCCCTGCCCTCTAGGCCCCAACAGGACTCTGTGGCCTCTCCTGGGAGCTCCAGCCTGGGCCGTAGTCACCGTCACACAGCAGCCAGGCAACCACAGTGACTGCCCTTGAGACCAGGAGGCTTTAGGACCGGAAGCTTGCATTTTCCTTCTGTTTGTGCCTTCCTGTCCTCTCCACCAGCAGGTAGAGGGGCAGCAGCTGCATGTGGACCCAGCCGAGGTACCAGCACAGTGGAAAGCTGGACACGAAGCCAGGCCGTGCAGAGCCCCGGTGGGTAAGTGACCCCCGCCCACCAGACACAGGAGCTCAGTGTGATCAAGTGTCAACAGTGATGGCCATGCCACTGGGGGTGGGGGGGTGGTGGGGGACTCAGCACCTCCCTCTGGTCATCCACAGCTCTGCTCACAGATACCCGACCTTCAGACGCCCTTTCCACCCAGGGAAACCTGGCCCACATCCAGCACCTGCGTGCACACCCAGTGGCCTACCTGGAGCGGGTCCGCTTCCTACTGGCCCCAGGGCTGCGGCTCACGCGGTAGGCAGTGGGCACACTCCTCTCTTCCCTCCGTCTCTCAGGGGAGTGGGCTCTCCTCCGAGGGGACCGGGAGCGGGACCTGGACAGGGGAGGAGGCAGTGTTCAGCTCTGTGGCCTGGCTGGCGGGACGTGTCATGCTTCCTACTGCCCTGGCAGAGATCAGGCCCCGTCTGCAGAGGCTGCTCCTCAGGGTGGTGCCTGTGTAGACCCTGAGGCTTCAGAGAACCCCTGCCACACTTCACTACTTTACCGACAACGAACTGAAACCCGAATCCAATCTCAGAGGCAGAGATGGTCTCTCTCCCGTTCCACACACTTATCGCACCAAGGACAAACTTTTAACCAACATGCAACTGGCGTGGAGGCTGGAGCTGCTTCACGTGGTCAATGGCAACCAATTCCCCATGAGCCACGGTCTGAGTATGCAGTTCATGACCACCTCAGGCTGGCGCTTCCTCTTCCTTCCTCCTGCCTCTGCCCATTTTATCTCCCTATACATTTCAGCTCATTGATGTTTCTACCAACATGAGGTAAGAAAAGGCAATCAAACTCCAGCGAGTCATGTCTACCTGTCTGAATACCGGCAGTAAGAAACCCAACGGTAATGAAGCTAGAGGCCTACCTGGAAATTTCTCCTGTTCACACTAATCTTACAGCCTCTCAGCACAGATACTCAGGAACAGGCTGTGGTGCGCTGGCATGAAGCCTGAAACCTTCAATCCAATTTGGAAATGCCAGTCTCACGACAGCTTCAGCTAACTTAAGTTTATGCGATTTCACAGATGCAAAGCCACCCATTAACACTGATTCCTCCTCCTCATGTGCCTGGAAAGGACTCGTCCCTCTCCTGTGGTGACATAATCCACACGCGGCCAAGGACCCTGAGACCCGCGCCCCTCCAGGGGTGATGCTCTTTAGTGGAGGCCCCTTAGCGATGAGTTTGGGACCTTCATTTTAGTTCTTTGTTCATTCAGTAAAGCTACTATTTTGGGAAGACCTGCAATGAGCACAAATCTGGAAAAAAAACACCATTTATTTCCATTTTGTTTCCATGACAACTCATTCAAAAACAATATAAAGAAGAGCGGTTTGATTTTGCCATTTGAAAAAGTTCTACGTTGAATCATTTTCATGACAATAAACCGCAAATGCCACAGGCTGTGCTTCTGCAGATCAGCTCGGGATCACTCAGACCCCGGCATCCTGGAGGGCCAGGAGTGGCTGCCCTTTAACGGACAGAATCGTTTTGATTTTTTCCCAGACCTTTCCTAAGATTTACAGAACAGATGATAAAGGCGAGGTCAGTTAGACACCTTGACGTTTTACCAGGTTTTCCCTCAAAAGAGCTCGCGGAGTCAAATCTGGTGGTGGTCGAGGCTGCCTGATAACTTCCTGGCTCGGCTGCCGCTGTCACTGACGCGCTGCTCTGACAGGGCTCCGCGCGCAGCGTCCCTGGGGAGGCTGTGACTCTGTGACACGGAGGCACACACTTCACATTCAGAATAAAAGGTGCTGGGCTGGGCGCTACCAGAACTCTGAAAAAAGCTCTGCTTATTCAAAGCTATAGCGGCTGGGGAATGCTTACACGTAGAATTCTACAATAAACTCAATAATCAGGAAAAATAAGTTAGTTTTTAAGGCCTGCAAATTCTTAACTTTGAAATACAATACCATTTTGTCATGGCTATTAGTAATAGAATTCTTTAAAGGGAAGTGGCTGTTACCAGTAGATTTTCAAGTTATCTGGGGAAAACGCCCATCTTAGAACGAGGGGCTACATACCATTAGACAATTCTCTAAGTTTGACTTTAGCTAAAGAAGCTTTAATGCTTTTTATTCTGTTAATTAGGCTTCTCATATTGACCCCACAACATGGTGCAAGAAACAGGAGTTCCATTTAATAAGCAAATCATCCGTATAATGTGACCAGGGGCCTTCTTAAAGATGAAATGGTCTGAATTAAACACTTGCAAGCATAACGTGACTCACAGTTTTTTTTTTTCCTCAAAAAAGCATAATGGTTTGCTTTCAAATAGAAACATAATGAGACTTTTTTCAATGATAACAGTCCAGAAATTTTATCTGAATGACAGTGGTCATATTCATAAATAGCCTCTTTTCTCCAACATTTAACCATTTCATCTACTCCACTTCCTCCATTCACGTCTCTACCCACGGCCTTTCTGTCACGGAATTCTCTGTGCAGATGACTCAGCATCAAGGTCTGGGCTCTACCAGCAGCTCCCGGGGCTGAATTTTCCTCAAGTTGAAACTGGATCTGATTTCACCTGCAATTCCTCCTCGTGTCCCAGCCCGGTGACAGCCACTGCAGCTCCCCTCCTTCCTGGACTGCTCAGTGCAGACACCCTCTGGTCTTATCTGTGTTTGGCTACAATTCACTTTGATTCACTTTGCAAGGGATGGAACGACGGTCCTCACCTTGGCATGATCAACACTACCACTTGGGGAACTGCAAGCATCTGGTTTCCCCCTTTAAGGGGCAGGATTAGGAGATGAGTCATCGCTTTTACGGATTTGCTATGCAATTTATTGTGGGTAAAAAGGGCAGTGAGGAGCCACAACTTTCAACCTAAAATAGAAACCCAGTGTGGCCTGAGTCCCTTCTGAATGCTAAACAAGACTCCTAAGAAAAGTCTTCCAAATCCCCAGTCTCCTTCACCAACCCCAAGTATTTAGGGAGCTAATTTCTACAAAGAATTATATATATATATATATATATATATATATAAAATGTTTTTTTTTGAGACGGAGTCTCACTCTGTTGCCCAGGATGGAGTGCAGTGGCGCGATCTTGGCTCACTGCAAGCACCGCCTCCCGGGTTCACGCCATTCTCCTGCCTCAGCTTCCTGAGCAGCTGGGACTATAGGCACCACCACGCCCGGCTAATTTTTTGTATTTTTAGTAGAGACGGGGTTTCACCGTGTTAGCCAGGATGGTCTCAACCTCATGATCCGTCTGCCTCAGCCTCCCAAAGTGCTGGGATTATAGGCGTGGGCCACCACGCCCGGCCAGAAATATATTTTTATCATATAGCTCTCTATACTGGAAGATATCTTAAAATGACAACATTCAAAGATCTATCTAGAACTCCCAGAAGCCCAGGCTAACTCTGAAGATGCATTTAGATAACTAAATGAACACAAGAGACTATCTTAGCAAAAGTTTTAAAAATAAACTTAGTTTCAAGCTGATACTTATTAAAATTTAATTTCAGGTTGTAAATGAACTACATGAGTACTTCTTCATTCCATTAACATAGAGAACCAGATACAATATCAAAATACAAATGAAAACAGACAATAAAAGTATTTTACTTTAATCTTTTTTTTTTTTTTTTTTTAGACGGAGTCTTGCTCTATTGCCCAGGCTGGAGAGCAGTGACACGATCTTGGCTCACTGCAATCTCCACCTCCCGGGTTCAAGCAATTCTCCTGCCTCAGCCTCCCGAGTAGCTGGGATTATAGGCGCACACCAACACGCCTGGCTGATTTTTGTATTTTTAGTAGAGATGGGGTTTTACCATGTTGGCCAGGCTGGCCTTAAACTCCTGACCTCAGGTGATCCACCTGCATCAGCCTCCTTAAGAGCCGGGATTATAGGCGTGAGCCACCGTGCCAGCCTCAATGTTGATGTAAAAGACACTAAATACTACCTTGTCGTAACTAGTATACTTTTTGAGAAGCAACATAGTGATTTTCCAAAACTAAAGATTCTTCCATGACTAATTTGCCTTTGGAGATCCAGAGTCGCCCATAACTTAGACATACTAAATACATGGGACTTCAACCACAGGAACAGTATAGCCATTAAATAAATATTCGTTGTGCTGTAAGAAGGCTTTCTAATCTTAACTTTCTGTATTTTATATAGAATTTTAGTAATTTAATATATAAAACAAAATACATTCCATGTAGCATCCTACCCAATTAGAAATATTAACAACTGCGGTATTCTACTGTGGGCTGGCAGCAGTCATGAAAAATGATCAATTAGGTCTGTTCAGGCCCAAGTGACAAGTCCGATCCATTCTGAGTGGAGGCTGCGTTTGTAACAGTTTATTCTATCTGATAACAACAGCATTAACACTTTCAATATTTTGGTTAAAATTTAGTTATCTTTTATACTCCAATAATTCATATTACTGAGGAGATCACCACCCCTCCCATTTCTAACTTGCATTTTAAAGCCACTTGGATCCCTGGAAATGATTATTGCTGGCAGAGCTTGGATGGAGGAGGCAGGTTTGCAGCCAGTTTAGAAAAATGCAATCCTACTAAATAAAACACGCACTCACTGTTCCCAGAAGAGCTGAGGCAGAATTCCACAAGAAAAGGTTATGGTGAGAAACCACCAGCTTCTTCTTCTTCTTGTTCTTTTGTCATAGAGAATATGTTGATCAGGCTAGATTCGATCTCCTGGGCTCAAGGAATCCTCCTGCCTCTGCCTCCCAAGCATCTGGGGCTTGACTAGCTTGTTTAACTTATGTCCTCAGACTCCAGAGACCACGGCACTGCCGGTCTCTGCACCCAGCTATGCCCTTGGCCCTGTGGAGGGGAACCAATGCCAGGGGCCAGCACCCACGGTAGAACTTGCTAGACAATCCAACACCTGGAAGGTTTTGTTTTATAATATTATTTTCATTTTATAATAAGCTTGCACTTTGCCTTCATATTTTGTCTCAGTTGCAAAATCAAATGCTTTTAAATCCCTTATTTAACTAAAATTAACTAGAAGTATGTAGATACTACCTCCTTGGCCATGGAGACTAATTAAAAATTGGAGTGTTCTGGAAACACTTTGCTCTGCTGACGCTGTAAAGTGTTTTAAACGTAGGTCGGATTAAAATTGGTAGCCTACCATCACGGTGGAAACCACACTCAGGTAACTTTTACCTTAATTTTTTCTTTTAACTGAAAGTTACAAACAAATGAGTAGGATTTTGCTTCTTGGACTTGTCAGCAGTGAATATATAAAAATAATATAGGCCGGGCGCGGTGGCTCACGCCTGTAATCCCAGCACTTTGGGAGGCCGAGGCGGGTGGATCATGAGGTCAGGAGATCGAGACCATCCTGGCTAACACGGTGAAACCCCGTCTCTACTAAAAATACAAAAAATTAGCCGGGCGAGGTGGCGGGCGCCTGTAGTCCCAGCTACTCGGGAGGCTGAGACAGGAGAATGGTGTGAACCCGGGAGGCAGAGCTTGCAGTGAGCAGAGATCGCGCCACTGCACTCCAGCCTAGGCGACAGCGAGACTCTGTCTCAAAAAAAAAAAAAAAAAAAAAAATAATAAGATATATTTGCATATGTGAAGTAATATGTAACTAAAGCTATTCTAAATTATTCAAAAATATGTAACTCTAAATCGATTCTAAAATAAATCATTCAAATAATATGTAAAATGACCTTTTCTACTATAGACCAGTCAACAAAAAGGATGTACAACTTAGAAACCTGAAATTCCAAGTGTTAGGTGAAGCCTTTCAGCTCTGAATATGCCAATGTGGGAAAAGCTGGGGGCCACGGCATCACCTGTCTTTAGAGGTGAATGGTAGGATACCCGGAAATATCAGACATCACATCCGCTGTGTTTGCAAAAACTCCCCACATGAAAGCTGAGCTAATTTCTTACGCTAAAGAAACACCATGAACAGCTCTTACAATGATCGGTCCCCCAAGGTTTGGGATTTAGGAAGGAATTATGCTTCCTTTTGAGCCTGTAGAAAAGGAAAATTGGGAAGAATTTTACTGAATGTGGTTACTAGGAGGGCTTGTTTATGCCTATCTTCAGCTATGTAATGTCGTAAGAAACATATTCAAGTGGGAAATTTTTTATTTTAATCATTTAATTGCATTTAGAGGCAAGGTCTCGCTCTGTCACCCAGGCTGGAGTGCAGTGGCGTGATCATAGCTCACTGCAGCCTCAAACTCCTGAGCTCAGCTCAAGCAATCCTTCCACCTCAGACTCTACGCTTGAGCTCAGGAGTTCAAAGCATCCACTGCCATGCCTGGCTAATTAAAAAAAAATATTTTGTAGAGATAGGTTTTCACTATGTTGCCAAAGCTAGTCTTGAACTCCAGGCCTCAAAGTGATCCTCTCATCTTGGCTTCCCAAAGCACTGGAATTTCAGGTGTGAGCCATTGTGCCTGGCCTCAAATGAGAAATTTTTAAAAAGCTTCGATATACAATACAAGTTCCTGGGAGCCTTCAAAAATTGAAGATATATTAGCAAAACTGTTCATTTGATTAGAAAATAGCAAGGTTTCTTTTTTGCGTGTATAAGGGTATGAAGTGATGAAACGTTTAAAACACTCGCAAAAATGTAGAGTGAAAGATCAAATTGATTTATCATGGAGTCAAATCCAATTTCACTGCAGAGGAGTGTAAATGCTTGTCAAACTTTAAGTGTTGGCCAGGGTAAAAATAAGGAAAGCAGGCTGGGCACAGTGGCTCACGCCTGTAACCCCAGCACTGTGGGAGGCTGAGGTGGGTGGGTCACCTGAGGTCAGGAGTTCGAGACCAGCCTGGCCAACATGGTGAAACCCAATCTCTACTAAAAAAACAAAATTAGCTGGGCGTGGTGGCACATGCCTGTAATCCCAGCTACTTGGGAGGCTGAGGCAGAAGAATCACTTGAACCTGGGAGGCAGAGGTTGCAGTGAGCCAAGATCGTGCCATTGCACTCCCACCTGGGAAACAAGAGCAAAAACTCCGTCTCTAAATAAATAAATGAATAAATAAATAAATAAGTAAAGAAAGCAAGCATATTGTTTTTAGGATATATTCAGAGAGGCAAATGTGTAAAATTACACTTAAAAAGCCCGTAAAGCTCCCAAGGCATGTGTATTTTTCCCACAGAAACATAAGAGCTAACACCAATTCCAGAAGAAAAACTAGATGAGCACAGTCAGTGCGGCGTTAGAGAAACCGAGGAGAGTCAGCCAGTGTTCAGCAGCGAACCCAAGGTGTAACGGGGTTCTGAAAACAGGGCAAGCTGTGCCAACCTCCTGTAGGTCAGCCACTGTTTTGTTTTTAAAAAGTGGTTTTCACCAAGATGTAAATTCTGTGACTCTTAAATGTTTTTACATTTTTAATTTCTGCTGCCAGAAATGTTAACCTGCTTTCTGAAAAACTGGCTCCTCATCAAGAAGGCCTTTGGTTTAATAGTGACTCCTGGAGGGAGGGTGGAGAGGAAACATTCTGCACCAGCGCCGCCCTCTTCACACACACCCACCCGCGCCGCCCTCTTCACACACACTCACCCGCGCCGCCCTCTTCACACACGCTCACCCGCGCCGCCCTCTTCACACACACTCATCCGCGCTGCCCTCTTCACACACACTCACCGTCGCTGCATCTCTGCACACACGCTCACCGGTGCCACACGAAGTGTGTGCAGAGTGTGGCACCGGTGAGTGTATGTGCAGAGTGCGGTGCCGGTGAGTGCGTGTGCAGAGCAGAGAATCCAAACCCAGAACCAGTGCTAAAGAGTTCTCCTGTCTTGCAACTTTACACATTTGAGACAAATTAGCATGGGAAACTTCACTTATACAAATAAAACAAAAGACCCCCAGCACACCACCCTGTGAATCTTTCACACAATCGGCAAATGTGGTAGGCTTGCTTCCAGGAACCATTAGAATTTAAACAAACCAATTTTTAAAAACCTGGCAGTAGTTTATGAACTTTGAAAAGTTAAGTATAGGCCTGCGCGGTGGCTTAGGCCTGTAATCCCAGCACTCTGGGAGGCCAAGGTGGGTGGATTACCTGAGGTCAGGAGTTTAAGACCAGCCTGGCCGACACGGTGAAACCCCGTCTCTACTAAAAATACAAAAATTAGCCAGGCGTGGTGGTGGGCACCTGTAATCCCAGCTACTCAGGAGGCTGAGGCAGGAGAATCACTTGAACCTGGGAAGCGGAGGTTGCAGTGAGCCAAGATCGCACCACTGCACTCTAGCCTGGGCAACAAGAACAAAACTCTGTCTCAAAAAAGAAAAAGTTAAGTATAAAACAAACAAAAATCTGAAAAAGATCTTACTTGGACTTGCAGGGCACACATGCACATGCATACACGCGTCTGCTTAATGAAAGCGGCACTGATTTTAAACGTTCTACCTAGCTCTACTGGGTGTCCTGTGAAGGACATGGGGGTCATGAGGGTACCAGAGGTGCTGCCCCCTTCACACCCACCTCGACCGCCGCACTGTCCGATAGGCACTGGGAAGAGAATGCTTTGCTTTTGAGTGTGATCTAGACCTGGACTTGGATGACGAATGGTACTTGGGAGAACGTGATCTTGTTCGAGATCTTTTTTTGTGCTTTTTCTTTTTCTTTTCTTTCTCTTCTTCTCTCGGTGGATCTTTGCTTTTGCTCGAAGGCCTATCGGGTGGTTTAACTTCTAAAGTAGGCAGAGGCCTGCCTCCAGTCAGTAGAGGGCAGGGCGTAGTGCTGGATTCCTAAGAATAAAAGGAAAATCTGGGTGTTAACAGGGAAAACAGAACATTGAAGATGTATATCTATAAAATTTCAACTTTGGGCCCCTCACACCAACAAACACAGCAACCATCTCTTAGAAAGTCTCCTCCTGTGGCTATCCAGAGTGACCTCCTTGTCACCTCCCAGGATGCAAAAGGAGAAAGTGAACCCTCTGGTTCCCGAGCATTTCCACAGGCAGCACTCTCTTCCCAGCCCCCAGGCTGTGGACAGCCGGAGCCAACAAGAGGAGCACAGTATTAGAGTATTAGAGATGCTACGCTGGGAAAAAATACGTTCCTTTTTAGTTCACCCATTGTGGAAGTCAGTGTGGCCATTCCTCAGGGATCTAGAACCAGAAATACCATTTGACCCAGCCATCCCATTACTGGGTATATACCCAAAGGATTGTAAATCATGCTGCTATAAAGACACATGCACACGTATGTTTATTGTGGCACTCTTCACAATAGCAAAGATTTCGAACCAACGCAAACGTCCAACAATGATAGACTGGATTAAGAAAATGCGGCACATATACACCATGGAATACTATGCAGCCATAAAAAATGATGAGTTCATGTCCTTTGTAGGGACATGGATGAAGCTGGAAACCATCATTCTCAGCAAACTATCACCAAGGACAAAAAACCAAACACCGCATGTTCTCACTCATAGGTGGGAACTGAACAACGAGAACACATGGTCACAGGAAGGGGAACATCACACACCGGGGCCTGTTGTGGGGTGGGGTGAGCGGGGAGGGATAGCATTAGGAGATATACCTAACGTTAAATGATGAGTTAATGGGTGCAGCACACCAACATGGCACATGTATACATATGTAACTAACCTGCACGTTGTGCACATGTACCCTAAAACTTAAAGTATAATAAAAAAAAATAGTTCTTAAGGAAAAACAAAAAAAACAGTTTTAACTACCAGAGGAGAGATTCCTCAAACCTCCGATGTTAGGTTTTTAAATGAGTATCGGCACTACTCTGACAATAATTTTTAAAGAAGGTCTAGGCTCCCCTTTGATGTTTTAAAACCTCTCCATCTGAGTGTTACATACATACAGAAGAGCATATGAATCTTCAATGCATGCTGACACATTTCCACCACAGCGCATCGGAACCAGATCAGGAGACAGCACCCTTCAACAGCATAGGCCTGCAGCCTGCCCCTCTTTACCCAGAAAGCTCACTCTCTCCTCACTTCAAGTGAATTTTAAATTATAGCTGTTAAACATTTCACACCTTTAGACACAGTGAAAAATCTGCAATTTATCCTTTGTGCCTCGAAGAAATTCAGGTTAGGTGCTGGGGTGGGACCCAGTCTCCCAGGCTGCCCCCAGCTGCTCCCCGGGGAGAGCTCCAGCCCAGCCCGCGGCAGTGTGCGCAGGACGGCATCTGTGAAAGGCAAAGTGGTAAGGGGGCTTCCCTCCCTTCTTTCCTCTCCTTAGGTCCGCTGTGGCAAGGCCAACTGGCTGCGGGAAAACACTGTAGAAACGATTCTTCTACAGTTATGCTTCTTGCTTTGGCTTTGAGATCAAAAGCAATTCAGCAGAGCCCTGGTGGGGCAGGCCCCAATTTAAGATGAGTTTCCACTTGAGCTGGCTGCTTTATGATGGCACGGTGATTTCTCAGCCCTCTGTTCAGCCTCCTTGCTGTTTCCGTTTACACTGTGCTCTCTAATGCCCCTCCCTGGTTGTGGGTGTGCGGCGGGCAAGAGGGCAGGGATGAATTCCTCCTTGGGATCTGATGGCCGCTATGAGGTTCATCTTTAAGTCTCTGCCTAAATTATCTCCAGGGACATTTTGGCAAAAAAATCCACTTTACTGTGGGACAGTTCTTATCAAAAAGGTCTTTCTCATTTAAAATTCTGTTAAGTGTAACAATATTTTTCAGGTCAAACTTTTAAATATTTTATTATTTTTGTTTGTTTTGAGGCAGAGTCTTGCTCTGTTGCCGGGGTGGAGTGCAGTGGCGTGATCTCAGCTCACCGCAACCTCCGCCTTCCGGCCTCAAGTGATTCTTGTGCCTCAGCCTCCTGAGTAGCTGGGATTACAGGCATGTGCCATCATGCTCAGCTAATTTTTTTTTTTTTTTTTGTATTTTTAGTAGAGAAAGGGTTTTGCTATTTTGGCCAGGCTGGTCTCAAACTCCTGGCCTCAAGTGAACTGCACACCTCAGCATCCCAAAGTGCTGAGATTACGGGCGTGAACCACCGTGCCCAGCTAAAATATTTTATTGCTTACATAATTCTAACACACAAACGTCCAATGACAAAGCAAGCTCTATATCCAAGAACACCCCCACTCTGGCATTAGTCAGGATTTGCCCACAAGCAATGCTAAATGATCCTTTAAATTAAACATACAATAAATAAAAAGGTAGTAAGCTTTACAACTTCAGAGGCTCAACATCCTAGCTATGGCCTCTCCCATACACACCGAAAGGGAGAGGGCTTCCATTCTGCAAAGAGCAAAGAACACAGGTTTGCGAGCTGAGCACATCCTCTGAGGCGAGCCCTGGGTGGACACCAGAGAAATCAGCTGATGCACTAAAAAAATGCCAGTATCCACGGCCTCTACATCAGGAGCACACGCTGCGCAGAAAGCAAGCCGGCCCAGGGGCTGAAAGACGCCATTGGGAACCTCAACACGGGCACCTGTGAGTGTTCGGGAAGTCAGAGCTGCTGCAGGTCCTTTCAACAAGGCCCGGGATTTCCCCAGGAAAACAAAGAGAGAGCTGAAGAGAAGGAGAGCTGAGACACATACTCCACCCTCGAGTAAGGAGTTTGTTCTGTGACGAGAAGGAAGAGAAACACGTCTTTGCTGTCTTTTTCTGGTGAAGAACTCTCCTCATTTACTCTCTCCACGCTCACAAAATCACTGCACTAATTTGGTGTGTGATTGGTAAGGCGCTGTGTTAAAACAGAGGGGAGATGGAAAAACATGGTCCCTGGCAAACGTCTGTGAAAGACAAAACCAAACGGGCGCGAGACGCCATCTGAGGCACAGTCAAGACAAACAGGAGTGCGAGGAGTCAACTCTCCAGCTGAGTTTCTATTCATATTTCTACTGCCAACTTAATGATTTGAGCCTCCAAACTTTTTTTTTTGCCTTTATCCTAACTAATGCCTGTCATTAATAATACTTATCTCACCACTGTGCTTAAAGACTAGGGCTCCATTTTGAAGCGACGGGACAATCTGAATCAACACTTTCAAATGTCACTTGTAATCAAGTCCAGGTCTATTTATTCCAACAACACGATCATCCTTCACCATGAAGGTGAAAACTAGAGCTGTTGTGACCTCTGCCAGGCTGAATTAAGATGGTTCATTATGTTGACATTACTGCTTTTTTCAGCTTCAAGTGCTAAAAGTGAACAAGGACTGATGCCAAACACAGCTTCCCAGAAACCACAGCTGCCTTTGAGATGCATTTTTAATATTCCAGCAAAAATGATCAAAACGGAAGTCATGTTTGAATGTAGGGGGGCAGACGTACATTGGTTTAGGTAGAGTCCGGGACAAAGCAAATAACTTCTGAAAAATGGTCATTTATGAGAGCATTAACAGCTTACCGCCGGCCACTTCTGTAACACTGGAAATTAACATTGATTAGTCCCCCTGTGTCACGATGAAGTATTTGGCAACAAAATTAGCACATGAACCAGCAACGATTATTTCCTACTGTGGCAAAACAAACCGCTCAAAAGCAGACTGACTTTGTATCTGATTGTATTTGAAAATAAAAGAAATCTTATTTGTGAAGGACACTACATTAACTATGAAAGGGATAACCAACACTGCGGCGTTGCTCTCCATCCCTTCACCCAGCCCCACTGCCCTACCACGTCCTGCCCAGGTGCATCCTCCCACCCCTGCCTCCACTCTGCTCCAGCGCCCCGTGCCCCGCAGCCACACTGTCTCAGCGGAAATGCGGCTCTCATCCTGTCGGTCTCTCGTGCTCACTTATTCTGGCGTCCCAGGCTCTCCACAACTGGCCTCCCATTGTCATTCCGGTTCTGCCTGAGAAAGTGTCTTCCTGAGTGGGGCCACCTGTCCTTTACCACTTGTGGGTCTTTGGCCCTCGTGGGCCCTCACTATTCTGGTAAGCTCCTCAAGGCCTCGCCTGAGCCCCAGGTCCCGGAGCCGCCACTCTCCTCCTGGCTGTGCTGTCCTGATGGAAATGCCCATGTGTGAACAGCAACAGCTCAAATGCAGTCATGGTCACTGGTTAACAAGCAAGCTTCTAATGCATATCCCAAAGCACCTCAGCACCTAGCACACAGCAGAGATTCAGCAAACACAGGCAGGTTTCAGTTCCTATTTCCTTTTCAAACTCTTACTGGAATTGTAAACTTGGCAGATCAGTAACTTGAAAACATTTGTGGGCTGGGTGCAGTGGCTCATGCCTGTCATCCTAGCATCTTGAGAGGCCAAGGCGGGAGAACTGCTTGAGGCCAGGAGTTCAAGACCAGTCTGGGCAATATAGCAAAATCCCATCTCTACCAAAAATACAAAAAAATTTAGCTGGGCATGGTGGCAAGTGCATGTAAGTCCTAGCTACTTTGGAGGCTGAGGTAGGAGGAGTGCTTCAGGCCGGGAGGTCAAGGCTGCAGTGAGCTGTGATGGTACCACTGCATTCTAGCTCGGGCGACAGAGTGAGACTCTCTCAAAAAGAAAAAGAAAAAAAATTTGTGGAATCTAAGAAATCATCCTGCAGTCTGTTGCTACTATGTAAATGACCGCATGAAAAAAGGGGTTCAATGAAGACTTCTCCCTTCTCTTCATCCTGGATTACGAACACACACTAGGAATGAAGAGAGAATGTATGTGATACAGGCAGGAGGCAGGGAAATACTGGTGAGGGCTTCACACTCAAGCCTGGACCCGTGGCCCAAAGTGACAACTATCCCTGTTTTCCCACCTGAATGTTGCCTTTTGGCCTGCTCTGCCCCCTATCCTGTGCCCATAAGAACCCCAGACTCCAGACAAAGGGGACACACACAGAAGAGAAAGCATCTGAGCAAAGAGAGGAGAGGAAGCAGCTGGATGTTGGAGAGGAGTTTGGCTGAGGGATGGCCAGACTCCAGGGGAAAATTATCTTCCTGCTGTACCCCCTTGTCAGCTTCCCTTTCTGCTGAGAGCCACTTCCACAGCTCAATAAAGTCCTCCATATTCACCACCCTTTAATTCGTTCGTGTGACCTGATTCTTGCTGGACGCCGGACAAGAACTCAGGTACCAAGAGGGCAGGGTGTAAAGGCTGTCACCCTGACCCTCCACTGAGCTGATTAACACTCAACACTGATTGTAACACAGGCTTTCTGAGGCTCCAGGGGTCACAGACACCCACTCCCAGATGGCAGAGCTAAAAGAGCATTGTAATATGCTTGGAGGCTGCCGTGAGGCCAGCGCAGAGCCTGCTCCCGCCAGAGAGGAGAGTTCCTTTGCTCTGGTTCCCGCACCTGTCCGTTCGTGTGGTCCCTCCCGTAAGGGATTGAGTGGCAGCCGAGAAAACGAGCCACCCCCTGTGCCAGTCCTGAGAAGGGTCAAGGGAACTCTCCAGTCTCCTATGCAGGTTTATATGCATGATTTTTGCATATGCTTTTATATATTTTATATGCCACTTGAAAAATTTAGAGTGCTGCCAATATCTTTCCATGCCAATAGGCACACTTTAGGACATCATTTACAACTGTACCTGAATATGTAAAATCACCTTTCCTAACGATCAACGGGACTGAACAGGAACATGGATGCAGAAAGATCGAGTACAAATGGGAATTCAGCACGTTGTAAAGAAGGCTCTGTGAGTCACTGGGGAAAAGATGTATGACTTAGTGAATGCGTTGCATCGATAGTGACGTGCTCCTCAAACTCAAATAAATTCCAAGTATGGCAGGTCAGAAATGTACCGGGGAAAAAATGTTTGTGACACTGATGACAAACAGCTAACATGACGCAGCATAAGACAAAGAAAGGGCCCTTCCTAGGTCGAAGAAACATGGGCCCAGGCTAAGGGAAAGCCAGTTCAAAAGGCAGCAGACAATGCCAAGAAACATTAGCAAAGTGGCCGGGAGCGGTGGCTCAGGCTTGTAATCCCAGCACTTTGAGAGGCTGAGGCGGGCTGATCACGAGGTCAAGAGATTGAGACCATCCTGGCCAACATGGTGAAACCCTGTCTCTACTAAAAATACAAAAATTACCTGGGCGTGGTGGCGCCCGCCTATAGTCCCAGCTACTTGGGAGGCTGAGGCAGGAGAATCACTTGAACCCGGGAGGCAGAGGTTGCAGTGAGCCAATTGAGCCGAGATCGCGCTACTGCACTCCAGCCTGGAGACAGAGCGAGACTCCGTCTCAAAAAAAAAAAAAAAAAAAAAAGAGACATTAGCAAAATGACTCAGTGTTACTTACCATTAAATATGTAAGTTAAAGCAGATGCTGCTTTCCCACCGAAAGGCTGATGGTAACCAATGCCGACAGGGACATGAAGAAATAGTTCGCACACCCTACGGGGGCAAATAAAACTGCTACGGTCCCTTCAGAGGTCAACTGAGCAGTATCTCAAATTAAAAAAGGAATTCCATGGTGAGGATTTCCCCCGTGGGTGCACTCACTGGAGTACACAAGACACAGGACACAGATTGGGTGAAAGCGGCATCGTTCACAAAGACAGACCCACAGCTCACATTTCCCACAGCAGGGGAGGGGCACACACAGAGGGGGTGATTTACAGGTAAACTACTTAAAGTCATTCGGTCACTAAATACCTACCGAGTGCCTGTAACACACCAAACACTACTGTAAGCATTGATAACAGAAGGATCTCTACTGTAAGTGAAAAAAGTTGTCAGAAAAATATGTAGGGTATGATCCCCTATGAGGTTTTACACCTCCACATACATGAATCGAATTGAGTTTTTCCCCTCAAGGATTCACTTGGCCTCCCAAAGTGTTCGGAAACAAACGGGGTAGATGCACACGACCGAGCACCATTCAACTGTAAAAAGGAAGGGGGTCCAATGCGGCTGCTGCATGGCTGGACCCAGAGGATACCACGCTAGGTGAAGTCAGCCAGGCACAGAAGCACAGACACTGCAGAATCCCACACACATGCGGTCCCCAGGAGTCCCGTTCACAGAGGCTGCAAGCAGGTGGGTGCCAGGGCTGGGGGAGGGGAGGGCAGAGAGTTACTATTTAATGGCTACAGAGTTTTGGTTTTAGAAGATGGACATCCTGGGAACGGTTGGGTGGTAATAGTTGCACAGTGTGAATATACTTAATGCCAGCATAAACTGCACAGTTAAAAACGGTAAAATGGTAACCTTTATGTTAAAAACTCAAACTCTACAGAAGGGAGAGAATTGGAGGAATTTTAAAAAGTGCCATTTCCACAGGAATTAAAAAAATACACAAGAAAGAAAGGACCTCTCCTCTTTGTTTTATACCTTTCTCTAGCATTGGAACTTTAAAAATCATATGTATACATCAGTTTTATAGAAAGTAAAGACAGAGAAGTGACTGTCCTTCAGGCACATAAGCTGCACTGTGGCTGTTTTCAGTTAACTTTAAGGTGACAGCAAAATTCCTGCCATGTTATGCCAGGCCTTGTGTAAGGGAGTGTCCTCATGCCACCCTGCAGAGCCAGCCCGAGCTAGCCACGGCCCCGACAGACCTGGGGGTGCCATGAGCCTCCTGGTGCCGACGTGCCCTCAGCCACGCAGGCTTCCTCACCCAGGGCGTGCGGTGGCCGAATGTGGTCTTGTCTCAAGTCCTCCTGGACTCCGAGAATTTCACAACTACATAGCTGGGTCAAATGTCTCAACATCAGCGAGTAAAGCAGATGCTAGAATACTTAGTAAAGTCAAGGGTAACCTGTCCCAGAAGTTGTTTTAGGCTAAAAATATTTTCGAGTTTGAATTTTCTTTATGGCAATTGCCAATTTAATTACAAGTATTTTTGTTTCAGAAGCAATTAAAGACATTTATCATCATCTGCTACAACCATTACATTTTTGTTGAAATGGCTTGGTAGCTGTAATCTGCATACACAGACACACACATATATCCAGGGAGAGCATCCTAGTGATTTAAACGCTCATTTCTATGTTCTACAGATTCAAAAACCAATGCCTGCAAACAGGAGAGGTGAGAGGGTACGTGTAAAAATAAATAGGACAGATTGAGACCATCTTGGCTAACATGGTGAAACCCCGTCTCTACTAAAAATACAAAAAAATTAGCCGGGCGTGGTGGCGGGTGCCTGTAGTCCCAGCTACTCGGGAGGCTGAGGCAGGAGAATGGTGTGAACCCGGGAGGCGGAGGTTGCAGTGAGCCAAGACTGCGCCACTGCACTCCAGCCTGGGCGAGAGAGCAAGACTCTGTCTCAAAAAACAAACAAATAAATAAATAAATAAAATAAAATAAATAAATAGGACACAGACCTAAGCTGTAACATATCTTATGTTTATAAGGAAATAATTCTGGTTGCTGTGATGCGGAACTACAGCAGATTGGGAAAAACTGGGCTAGTGATAAATTATACTTGTGACTGAGTTTCACTGGAAATTTTATGACGACATACACGTATAGTCATGTAATGTAACTGGTTAAAGCATTCCTGTGAATGTCTTTCAATTAACCCCTTTACCCGCTGCACAAACGATATCAAAACATGAGAACCCGTACGCCACTGTAACAGGTCCCTTACTTTCTTAAATTCCCTTCCCTCCTTGCTACATGCATATTTTCATGGCTGTAACCACAGAAGTGGATATATTTTATACTGTGCTTCTCCTGCTTATTACATCAGAAGCATTTTCTGTGTGGCTACAAGCGTCCTCATGATCATTTTTGTTGTTGTGTATTTCATCCCCTTATTGCTGCAGAACATCCTTTTTTTTTTTGAGAAGGAGTCTCGCTCTGTCGCCCAGGCTGGAGTACAGTGGTGCAGTCTTGGCTCACTGCAACCTCTGCCTGCCAGGTTCAAGAGATTCTCCTGCCTCAGCCTCCCGAGTAGCTGGGATTACAGGCATGCTCCACCACGCTCGGCTAATTTTTTGTATTTTTAGTAGAGACGAGGTTTCACCATGTTGACCCCAGACTGATCTCGAACTCCTGGCCTCAAGCGATCCACCCGCCTTGGCCTCCCAAAGTGTTCGGATTACAGGTATGAGCCACCACGTCCAGCCAAGAAATCCTATTAAAGCTAAGGAATGACCACAGATCCTTCGGCCATAACTGGCTGAAGTGAGGAGCCAGGAGGCAGCCCCGACTCTGAAGAGCTGTGGAAAGGCTGTGAGACGGCGTCCCGGGGGGCTGCTGGGGGTTCCCACCTTGCCTGAAAATGTTCGTTTCTGGGGCTGGCATGTCAAATGGCTCAGAGGAGCTGAGGCTACAGCGGGTGGCCAGAGCACTCGGGACTCAGGGCAGGAGCCCACCCTGCGGCACTCGGGGACTCGACAGGGTCTCACACAAACTCATCTTCTCTGCTCTTCTAATTCTCCCCTCCTTGCCCGTCAGTTATTATTTCTGAGGCCTCCTGCCAGATGTGAGAGGATTTCAGACTGACTCCCAAAACAAGAAAGCTGATTCAGCCTTCAGCATCATTTGAAAAGTCTGAGCTTAGAATGTTGTTTTCCACAGAAAAATAAGCGAAGTGACTTCAAGCAGAAAATCAGTTTTCAATAATGGCCCTGGACTCTTAGAAACGTCAATATAATTAAAGTGAAAGGCTCATTCTGTACTTTGGGAAAAAAAGATCTACAAAAGACACGTGGGGCCACTTGGAGCAACGTGGCTGCGGCCTGCAGAGGAAGTGATGGACACCATCGGTGGACAATCTGCATGCAGTGCTGTGTTTCCCAGGAGAAGGCCCTTCATGGGAAATGCAGCTGCAGTATTCAGGGCAGAGCAGTCACCACATATGCAACGACTCTCAGAGAGGGCGAGCACGCGTGGGTCAACGTGCGCACATATAGATGAGCGAGCACGCGCATGCAATCGCCTGGGGTGCTGGGGGCATCTTCCCATTCTTTCCAATTTTTTGAAGGTTTGAAACTTTTCAAAAAGTAAAATTCCCGGAGTTACTACCTTTTTTATTCTTTCCAACTTTTATTTCTTTCATCACCCAGGCAGTGAGCATAGTAGCTAACAGGGAGGTTTTTGATCTTCACCCTCCTCCCTCCCTCCCTCCACCCTCAATGAAGCCCTCGAGTCTGCTGTTCTCTTCTCTGTGTCCATGTGTGCTCAATGTTTAGCTCCCACTTATAAGCGAGAACATGTGGTGTCTGATTTTCTGTTCCTGTGTTCATTCATTTTTTTAAAGAGAGAGATTAGGTTGAGAAAGATTTTATAAAATGATTTTTAAGTGTTCTTGAAATAACATAAAACCACAACTTTTTAGCTATTGTCTAATTGTAGATGTAAACCCATTCTAATATTATAGTTCAAATGTTGTCAGCTTTTAATTCACCTACAATTACAGGACTAGCTACTAAAATGCCCAGTTTTGTCACAGTTTATTGATACAAAGACAACCCTCCTTTAATCCTCAAAGGATGTGTCCTACTCTATTATTTTTCTTACTTTAAGAGTTATGTCTCCAAAATGCTCCTAAACTCCCCAAAGAATTTCTGCATATTCTTGTAGTTTAAATACAAAATAAAATTCAGAGACATAACTACTATAAAGAATCTAAAATTAAACTTAAAAGATTCTAAATTGATGTGACAAAAAAAAAAGTAGAGTTTTTGCTGATTATGATTAATTGCTGTGCTGCTGCTGCGGAAGGCATGTGTTTCCTGAAGGCCTCTGGTCTCGGACACGCATGGGAGCAATCCCCTTGGCACAGGAGCCAGTGTCTACTGAAGGCCTCTGGTCTCGGACACGCATGGGAGCAATCCCCTTGGCACAGGAGCCAGTGTCTACTGAAGGCCTCTGGTCTCGGACACGCATGGGAGCAATCCCCTTGGCACAGGAGCCAGTGTCTACTGAAGGCCTCTGGTCTCGGACACGCATGGGAGCAATCCCCTTGGCACAGGAGCCAGTGTCTACTGAAGGCCTCTGGTCTCGGACACACAAGGGAGCAATCCCCTTGGCACTCAGGAGCCAGTGTCTACTGAAGGCCTCTGGTCTGAGGCACTGTTCTGAGCACCCCCTCCTTGGCAGGGAGACTTGTAAGGCAGCCACGTGATGACCCCCATGTAAGGCCCTATTCCTGCTCACACCACTGAGGAAGGAGCCATGTACTCCTGGAGTCTGTTCTCTTAACTCCCTCTTCCTTTTTCTCTTTAATTAAAGTGCTGACATTGATACAGACCGTGGCAAAAGGATTTCTGCCCCACGTGTGAGCGCAATACTGGTGCTGCTGCGGAGGCGGGGCTTCAGTGAAGTGTGTCCACCACATTTCCCCAGCAGGACCCATGGGAGGCACTCCCCAAGCCCTCCTGCCAGCCCCATAAGGGCAGCCGTGAAGCAGAGGCTCCCCTGAAATCGCGGGCAGTGTTTGCTGCTGGCGTGACTGTGCACTGACGGGGGAGACTGCTGGCAAACTCTTAGATTCACTGCTATAGAGTAAAAGCCACTCAACCATGTCGGGAGGAAGAGCTGGGAGCTCATATCCCTCACTCAGGCCAGAGACTAGGGCAGCTGGAGGGAGACACATCCTCCCTGCCTCTATGTATCACACAGCCCCGCAGATACCAATGTGGGATTTTACTATACCTCGACACTGAAAGGACTCTCCTCAATTTTCCCAGCTTCTGCTTCCGGCAGAGGATTTTTGAGGGTCTGTAAAAATAACGCCGCTTTCCTTTTACGTTCTGCTTGAAGCTGTTTCTCTTTTGACTCCTTAGACGCCTGGGCCAGCTTTTCCCGGGCAGCAGCTGCGAGGCGATCTTCCAGCTTTTGCTTTGCTTAAGGAATAAACAAAGAAAAAAGAGAAGTTTAGAGCAAACAGTATTTTATCTGATCTTAATTTTCACAGGTTGCAAAAGTGTCATACAATGCAGTTAGTTAAAGTTTCTGAATAGGTACATACATTGGACAAATCAAATTTTGAGAGAATTAGTTTATAACGTGCCCTTTTTTGGACATTTTACTTTCAGAGTTAGAAGGTTGGTGAGACTCTACACTAACGAAAGCTGGAATAATGAAAACCTCAGAGTGGCTCTCAGCATATATCCAAAATATTCACACCAGGCAATGAATACTCTATAAGTGTTTTATTCCAAATGATCCGACAGTTGGTTAGTTTACACACAGGAAGGACAGATTCAGATGTACAGGCATGAGTACAAGTTTGCTTAGGGAGAACACCACAGCACAATGGAAGTTCTTGATGGTGGATTGTGGTTGAAAAATGGCTTTTTTTTTTTTTCTTTGAGACGGAGTTTTTGCTCTTGTTGCCCAGGCTGTAGTGCAATGGCGTGATCTCAGCTCACTGCAACCTCTGCCTCCCGGGTTCAAGCGATTCTCCTGCCTCAGCCTCCCAAGTAGCTGGGATTACAGGCGTGTGCCACCACGCCCGGCTAATTTTGTTTTTTCAGTAGAGATGGGGTCTCACCATGTTGGCCAGGCTGGTTTCTAACTTCTGACCTCAGGTGATCCACCCACCTTAGCCTCCCAAAGTGCTGGGATTACAGGCATGAGCTACCGCGCCTGGCCTGAAAATTGGCCTCTTTCAAATGTTGCTTGATCTGAATGTGTGTATACAGGAAAAGCAATTTAAGAAAATCAGTTAGAATAGATAACAACCACAATGCAGCAACCATTATTTGACTGCTTTAATGCAGAGCAGAATTTATTCTGGAGTCGGGATGGGAAGACTACATGCTGTCCCCATGCTGCCAGCAGTGTTGGGGTGGGTGTGGTGGCCACACTGCGGCCCATGAAGATGAGCCGCAGCCGGAAAACCAGCTGGGGACACACCACCTTCAAGGGCCCAATGGTTCTGTGGGTAGGCAGCCTCACAAGAGGGCATCTCCTAGTTTGGTTCCTGAGCTGGGAAGACAGGCTGAGCCTTTTACCCTGGGGCTGCCAGCCAAGTGCAAAGTGAGCTGCCATTAATGCATTCCACTGTGGCGCATTAGAGCTAAGACGGCCAACTCAGTTTCTTCGAAAACAAACTGCCAGCGGCACTGCATTTGAGGCTCAGTGAAGAGCAGAGCTCATTCCTCTAAAAGAGAACGTTTCAAAACCTCAGACATGTTACACAACTCCCAAATAGGTCGATTTCCAAAGGCTTCAGATTCTAGTTGGCAGCCTCGAGATTTTTTGGCTTAGCAGATAAATCTTATATTTGTGTATTTCCTTTCTTTCAAGAAGTTTAAAAGCTATCAACAAACCTTGCTTTGCTTCTAGCTCCTCCTGGGTAAGTTGAGGCTTCTTCTCCTCAACAACTACACAGGGTGGGGCAACTGCTGGGTTAGTGTTTGCAGCACTACTAGAACTTTCTTGGCCTTCTTTGCTTTCTTCATCATCATCACTGTCATCATCTAGCTTAACACGATTTTTTTCCAGGGGAAGCAGATCATTTTCTTTGGCCTTGATTGCAAAGCTTATTGGAGCAAAGGAAGCTATTGAGGAAAGGTGAGAATTATGATACATGTTACAGAGTGGAAATCTTTGCAGGCCCTGCTACCCACCTGAGCATCGGCTGCTGGGAAGGGGATGACTAGCATGGAGCCACATCATATGCAGGGTCTACGGTGGGGGACGCCGTGCCGTCAGAGCAGACCTGTGCAGATGTGCACTGCATGGCGTGGGGCTGGGGTGAGCCCCTGAACCATGCTGTGAGAACCGCACTGACTGGGGACTTCATGGCAAGGGCACACTCGCTGATGCCAGGGCAGTCACCTGCAATTTTAAATGGCCAATTCTTGTCATTTTTCTTTTCTTTTCTTTTTGAGATGGAGTCTCGCTCTGTCGCCCAGGCTGGAGTGCAGTGGCACGATCTCGGCTCACTGCAACCTCTGCCTCCTAGGTTCAAGCGATTCTCCTGCCTCAGCCTCCTGAGTAGCTGGGAGTACAGGCGCCCGCTGCCATGCCTGGCTAAATTTTTCTATTTTTAGTAGAGATGGGGTTTCACCATGTTAGCCAGGATGGTCTTGATCTCCTGACCTCGTGATCCGCCTGCCTCGGCCTCCCAAAGTGCTGGGATTATAGACGTGAGCCACTGTGCCCGGCCTCATTTTTCTTTAAAAAAAAAAAAAAAAATTCATGGCTCAGCATATATCTAAATTTGCTTCAGGAGGCATATGATGTGACTCCACTATAAACAGGTCTCTTTAAAAAATTCCCCATGATAAAAAATAGCCTTTTCTTACAAAGCAAAAATTACAGAATCCATGCCTTTATTCAGCAAACATTTTTACCTACTTTGTGACAGGCATTATGTTAGACCATTTTCCACACCTGTAAGAAAATGTCAAACCCAGCGTGACAGAAGTTTAGAAGCAATCCCTCCTCTTAGAATATCCAGAAGGCTTAAATTTAAGGGAAATATGGAGGCCCTAAAGAAAAAATCATCTTTCCCGCCCCACCACTCAATGAACACAGAGTCCCTTTCTCTTTCAGATGCTGTGATAAATGGCTCTTGACAAGAGCTAACTGGTTGCAATAAGATACAGTATTTTAAAAAACCATCAGTTGTTATTTATGAAGAATATTCAAGGCACCCACAATGAAGGGGATGCTAAGTGCACCGCAAACCAGGTGACTGAGAGGGAAGTGGGTTCTGGGTAAACAAGGCCGCTTCTGGAAGGGCTGCAACTTATGTTTGTGATGCCACCTCTGTAGCACAGGGTGGGCTACCTGGCTGGCCCCTGGCGGAGGTCCTTCCGCTTTAGCATTTTATGGCTCCAAACCCGCGTGTGATGTGAAGTAGACAGTTAAGCATGTGATAGCCCAGACCCTCTGAAATATAACCACTTTTCATCAACAACTGCCTCAGGGGACAGGGCACACACAAAGATACTGATACCGGGACAGCAGTATTTTATAACATCAAAATAAAAAGCAGCAGGGCCGGCAGCTGAAGCCAGATGATGAGCACGTGTGTGGGGCGTGAGTGGTCATTATGTGATATTCTGTTTTCGTACATGTTTGAGATTTTCCATAAGAAAAAAAAAATTGGCCGGGTGCAGTGGCTTACGCCTGTAATCCCAGCACTTTGGGAGGCCAAGGCAGGTAGATCACAAGATCAGGAGTTCAAGACCAGCAGGGCCAACACGGTGAAACCCTGTCTCTACTAAAAATACACAAATTAGCTGGGTGTGGTGGCGGGCGCCTGTAATCGCAGCTACTTGGGAGGCTGAGACAGGGGAATCACTTGAACCCGGGAGGCAGAGGCAGAGGTTACAGTGGGCTGAGATCACGCCACTGCACTACTCCAGCCTGGGTGACAGAGTGAGATTCTATCTCAAAAAAAACAAAAAACAAAACAAAACAAACAAGGGGCTGGACTAAAATATATCACAAAATGATTTAATAACAATTATTTCCAAACCATCTCCCCAAATTAGAAAAATACGCAATCAACAAATAAGAGTATTAAGATGAAAGCTTCCAGAACACCTTCTAGCAATGCTTATTTCATTTTACATTTTATTTTATTTTTTTTGAGAAAGGGTTTCACTGTGTTGCCCAGGCTGCAGTGCAGTGGTGCAATCATAGCTTATTGCAGCCTTGACTTCCTGGCCTCAAGCAATCCTCCTGCCTGAGCCTCCTGAAGTGCTGGGATGACAAGCATGAGCCACCGTGCCCAGCCTCAAGTAGACTTTTTTTTTGTTTTTTTTTTGGAGACGGAGTCTCGCTCTGTCGCCCAGGCTGAAGTGCAAAGGCGCGATCTCAGCTCACTGCAACTTCTGCCTCCCAGGTTCAAGCGATTCTCCTGCCTCAGCCTCTTGAGTAGCTGGGATTACAGGTGCTCGCCACCATGCCCAGCTAATTTTTTGTATTTTTAGTAGAGATGGGTTTCACCATGTTGGCCAGGCTGGTCTCGAACTCCTGACCTCAGGTGATCCACCTTGTCCGGCCTGTCAAGTAGACATTTTAAAGCTAGTATCTATGCAAACCAAACACAAAGCCAAAACCACAGCTACTCACTCTAAGAGTGGCCTATGGCACACAGCCCACAGGCCTCCCTTACTCAGCCTTTACAGCTCCACAGGATGGACACTGAGAGGCTTCCCATTTTACAGATGGGAAAACCGAGGCTGAAAAGATTAACTAAGTTTCTCCAGGTACCTCAGGTCAGTACAGGGAATCAGGAATTGCTTCTTTATGTGGAATTTTTCAATCACAAAATTGTTGCTTCTGCCTAGAATCTTCCTTGCAGATCACGTCACAGCACATGGAAAGCATGTCCTACAGCTTCAGTGAGTAGGTCTCACGCTGCATTCAGAATAAACCCAGTTCCTTCCCAAGGCTGCCACGTCCCTGAGTGATCGGGGCCACTGCTCCACGTTTGCACTGCCCCTCACCTCTGCCTGAGAGCTGCCTGCTCTTCTCCTGTCCCTTTCACATTCTTCAAGGATCGGCCCCCACGATGCCTCCTCAGACAGGCCCTGCCCAACCTCTTTCCTGCACACCACTCACTATGATTTGCATTCAGGCACTGATGGTCCACTATCTCCTAGGCGGTGGAGGACGGGACCATGCGGGGACAGATGCATGGCTAACATGGCATCGGGCACCCCTGAGTGAACCCGCCATCTTCCATAGCAAATAGGTTTCTGTTTTTTAGCTAACAACTCTTATTGCTAACTTCTAACTTCAAAAGTAATATACATTTTCTGTGGGAGATTTTGAAAACATATGAGCAAATAGATCAATTGCAATTCCAATATGGAAAAAAAATCATCTGAACATAATCAGTGGATTCCCAGGCAGAAGTGTACAATGGCACACGTGTGTAAAATGGGGGCACAGCTCGTTTCATAACCTGCTATTTTCACTTTGAGACGGAGTTTCGCTCTTTCGCCCAGGCTGGAGTGCAGTGGCGCGATCTAGGCTCACTGCAACTTCCACCTTCCAGTTTCAAGCGATTCTCCTGCCTCAGCCTCCTGATTAGCTGGGATTACAGGTGCCCGCCATCACACCTAGCTGATTTTTGGATTTTTAGTAGAGACAGGGTTTCACCATGTTGACCAGGCTGGTCTCGAAATCCCGACTTCGTGATCTGCCCCCCTCGGCCTCCCAAAGTGCTGGGATTACAAGCGTGAGCCACCATGTCTGGCCCCAGCAACTCCTTTCTTTACTGTGTAGACAGGTTTCTGTGTCAACACAGACCACTTAAACAGACAGCAATAAGTAGTATGGACATGTCAATTCACAATTTCCCATAACTGTTTCCAAGTTTTTTTTTAATTTTAAAAAACAAACATGCCCTACAACGAACATCCATGTATAGACATCTTGGTAAAACACGTTTCTAGGAGTAGAAGGTCATTTTCATTTAAAACTCAGTCCATATTACTGGGTTCTATCGACTTACACTCAAAAACAGTATTCCTACTGCCCACAGCCTCTGTCTCATTGTTACTTTTTTTAAACTTTATCAATTTGAGAGGCAAAAAATAAAAACTTGTTAATGAGGCTACATTGAAAAAATATATTTACTAGCCATCGATTTTTCTTTTTGGAACCATATTTTCATGTCCTTTGTCTATTTCTCTAGGTCAGTGACTGTCTTTTTGTATTGATTTATAAAAGCTCTTTCTATAGTGAGGATGTTAACCTTTATTTTTATGTATTAGCAGTTACTGCCATTTCTGTATTTGTCTTTTAACTTTATTCAGGCCATGCCCCCATTAGACCTACCAATCTTTCCCTATGATTTACAGCTTCAGTTCTTAAGACACTTCTTTCCAGCTCCAAGATTATTTTAAAAGGAAAATTACCTTTATATTTTTCTACTTTTCTAGTTTTATGTTTTACATTTAAATACTGGATTTATATGGAATTATGGTTGTCAAATATGTGATATCTTATTATTTTTCAAAATGGAGAGCCTGTTTTTCCAACATTAATTAGTGTTATACTAAAGAAGTTTCATCATCAACATCTGAGAGAATGTTGCTGCTTTCTCGGCATCTGAGAAAGCCACTCATCTGTTAATATGTAAACTATACTAGAAGGTCTTCTCATTTTGTGACATGCTGGGATTCCTGGAACAATCCTACTTGCTCATCATCTATTACTATTTTCTTTTTTCTTTTTTTTTTTTTTGAGACGGAGTCTCGCTCTGTCACCCAGGCTGGAGTACAGTGGCGCAGTCTCGGTTCACTGCAAGCTCCGCCTCCCGGGTTCACGCCATTCTCCTGCCTCAGCCTCTCCGAGTAGCTGGGACTACAGGCGCCCGCCACCACGCCCGGCTAATTTTTTTTTTATTTTTAGTAGAGACGGGGTTTCACCGTGTTAGCCAGGATGGTCTCGATCTCCTGACCTCGTGATCCACCCGCCTCGGCCTCCCAAAGTGCTGGGATTACAAGCGTGAGCCACCGCGCCCGGCCTACTATTTTCATACATAGCTGAATTCAGTTTAATATTTTAACATCTATACTTGTAAGTGATCGTGGTCTACAGATTGCCAAGCTTTGAGAGCTTCATACTTTTCCATCCTTCTTAATGCTCTGGAGTGGCTTTAATGATGTAGGCATTCTATTTCTTGAGGGTGAATTAACTTGACCTTTAATTTGTCTTGGCTGACTGCCTGGGTTGAGAGGTATTTCACTAACCAATTATTTTCAAAATTCTTTCAGGTCTATAGGTCTATGTTGGTTCCTGATTTCTTCATGAAATAATTTCAGCACTTATGTTTTCTTAGAAAGCGATATTTTTCACTGATTTTCAAATTCATTCAAATTTAAAATAATATATGTTCTCATATACTTTATTTTCTAGTGTTAACTTCTAGTTGTAGCTTGTGTACTTAAAAAGATACCTATAATTTTCTTCCTCTGTCACGCAGGCTGGAACACAGTGGCGTGGTCTTGGCTCACTGCAACCTCCGTCTCCTGGGCTCAAAAGATCCTCCCACCTTAGCCTCCCAAGTAGCTGGGAGCACAGATGGGTGCCACCATGCCTGGCTAATTTAATTTAATTTTTTGTAGAGACATGGTCTCACGATGTTGTCCAGGCTGGTTTCTATCTCCCCGGCTTAAGTGATCCTCCCACTTCACAGCCTCTGTGAGGAGCTGGTGCTACAGGCATGTGCCACCATGCCCGGCTACATTTTTGTATTTTTAGCAGAGACGGGGTTTTGTCATTTGCCCAGGCTGGTCTCGAATTCCTGGACTCAAGTGATCTGCCTGCCCTGGCCTCCCTATGTGCTGGCATTATGGGCGTGAGCCACCACACTCCACAGCAATTTCTAAGCAATCTTTTCCATGTCTGATTACCAGTAGCACTAGTTTTATAATATTTTCCATTTTGTAGAATACAAATTAGAGACTTAAAAGATTTTTCTCCTGTTACGCAAGAGTCTGTTTCAGAGATGCCCATATGCCTGGAGGCTCAGCTGTGTCTCCCGAACTTTGGAATCTCTGTGGGCGCAATGACATTTCTGTCTCCGCATCTTTTCAAAGAGAGGCTGGCCTGTGCTTTTGAGAACTGAGAGTTAGCATGGGTTTTGTCAGATATTGAGTAGATCTCTGTTCAAGTGTCTCAGGCTTGGGTGGATGTAGACGGTAAACTTCTCGGTGTGTTGTTTCATCTGCCAGGTTCTAGGACAATCAGGGAAGTGTGGAGAAGGTCACGCTGGTTGGCAGCAGCCTTGTGGGCAGGGCTGCTCCTCTGCGGGCCCCACAGCTGGCAGGGGTCAGGTGCCTTCCCTGGGCTCACAACCCCTCTGCACACCCCATAGCTGGCTGGGTCAGGCGCCTTCCCTGGGCTCACAAACCCTGGGGCAGCAGGCAGGCTCGGGCTGTGGTTGTGTTCTGGGGTGTGAGAAGGGATGAGGTACTGCTGCCTCTGGGAAGCTCCCAGCTTGTTCCAGCCTCCTGCCTGCCCCTCTGTGGCTGACAGTCGACTCCCCTGGAGTCACTGCCCTGAGTCTCAAGGGTACTTCTCTGCAAGCTCCAGGTATGCTGCCTTACCCTGACCTATAGACAGTACCTCTCCCCGGGTTTCTAGAGCAGTAACCATTTTCCTCCTCTACTTATTACATTCCTTTGATTATCCCAGTGAGAGTATGCGGGTGGCCGGGAAGGGTGAGAGCTGGATCACTTGTGCTCAGGTAACCTACTCGAATGAGAGGCCCAAAGACACATATAGTGAATTGCCTAGTTAGCGGTTCATCCACATGGATTTGGTTTCGCTGAATGATCACCATTCTCATACAACAAGGCATCTTTATGCAAAGGACGGTCCTCTTATCACCCCAGCCCACTTCCTCAATCTCTTGTCTCCACTCTGCCTTTCCTTCTGACCCAAGAGCTGTCGCCTCGCCCCACTGCCACACCTCACCCCACTGCCACACCTGTCACACTCCATTCCAGGCCACCAATGCCACCAGAAATCTCTGAAGTCGCTCCAGTGGCTTAACCGCATCACAAAGTCACCAGACTGGATAAAGTTATTCCGCTGACCTAAAGCCTGTCAGATGTGCTGGCCCCTCCCCGACAGGGTGCACCGGGGCAAGCTGGCCAAGGCTCCTTCACCAGCCACCCCCGAAGTCACTGCTGACCACCTACCGCATCTCAACACGGGGCCGGGCAGCTCGCACCACGGGGCTCCTGCCTAGGGCTGCACCCCTGCCTCAGAGCTTCCCGTTCCTCTCGCAACACCAGCTGAACGCCTCTACTCCACAGAACCTCCCTCCCGCGGGGGGAGCCCACTGCTGCTCCACGAGGTTCCTGGCTAAGGGCCTGCTCTGGCCTTTGCTTCTGTCTGCTTTTTAATTACACTGACTTTGTATTTTTACATGCCTGTCTGTCCTGTGACATCAAAGTCTTGCTCCAAGAACATAACAAAGTAACTGAAATCGAGTGAGTGAAGTATTGCCTGGTAGAGATTCTCAAGGAATCTGCTTTGACAAATTAATAAATGAATTTCACTGGTACAACAGTTTGCATATAAATAGTTTCAGAAGTCCCAGGGAGTACAAAGGATTATTTGAAACTTTCTGTACAAATGTCCAGTACACTGAACAGACTGTTAAACAGACACATACCTAAGGGCTGCTCACACTCACGTTACCTCCAATGCCACGCGAGGCAAGCATGACACAGCATGGAAGGCAGAGGTTTCACCACAGCAACCTCCAGGGGGCCGCCAACCCCACCCCAGCCTGCAGGTGAGGGCGCTGAGTCTGAGGTCACCGAGGATCCTACGCTTGCCAACTTATGGTGGAATGTGCAAGGCCAACATGCAAGTGGCAGCATACCTTTCACCAGCTTCCCGTCCGGGACGGTCTTACTGGACGATGCCTCCTTCTTCCCGCCTGAGCCTGCCCGTGCTCCCACCTCGGCTGCGTCTTCAGGCGCGCCATCCTCCCCAGCATCACTTGGCTTCTCGGGAGCAGAGTCTGTGGGAGCCTCTTCTGGTGCAGACACAGCCTAGAGATTAAATGTCACTATAAACTGTCAGCAGGAAATTATACAGAAATTTTAAAAAAAGAGAGATGTATACGGTATATGTTTCACTGGACAACGGCAATTGTACATTACTGCCCAAGCAGCACTGGGAACAGACTTCCAAATCCAGATCTGCTGTTTTTTCTTACAATGGAATGTATCAAAGAGGAATGGAAGATTTTCTCCTGTCTGAAAAAACACTATACTCTTTGAAGCCCTAATACTGCCTTGGGAACCAATTTTCAGTATCTTTTCTTTGGACACTGATTACTCAGAATTCTTTAAAAATACCAAATTATCCCCATCACCTACAGAGGAGTCAGTTTCTTTCAGTGTGGGCTATTGGAGATAAGGGTCTGAAGAAATCTCCTGAGAAGTAAGGCCCATGTCATCTCCTCACCAAAACTGGCTTTACAAAAATGTCAGGGTGTCTATATAACTGAGAAGAGCAGAGCAAAGGCAGAAGAGGGGGCTGTAGGACAAAAAGCACTTCCAAGTGCGCCAGCACCACGCTGGGGATCTGGTGAGGGGGAAGGGCGTGCAGGCACAGGCAGAGGCCGTGCTGCAGGACACCCCCAGCACCAGCTGGCCAGGCATGAGGCGCCCACTTATATTTTATATATTTCATACATGTTAACACAACAGAAGCAAGGTACCCGGCTGTCATGAAAGGTAGCTAGTAACTGTAGACGGCCAAAACATCGAACAGTTGAAGGAACAGGATTTTTTTTGTTTGTTTAGAACGTGCTGGACAAACAATCATCAATGCTGTGAACGTGGGCAGATGCTTTCAACAGATCAGGTTCCAGAGCTAAGGGGGACGTGAAAGATGGAGTATGCCAGACACACATTAAAAAAAGGTGAAGAATCACCCAGCCCTTTCACCTGTAGGAGAAGAAACAGAAAGCGACTTCTGATCTGGAAGGCGGAGCCACCTCTAAGAGCTTCACAGCCTCCCTGCATTCAGACACGTACCTGCATGCTATCGCCCCCTTCTTTCTGGAGGAAGAACTGCTTCTTAAACTCATAATAAGCATTATACTGGTGCCACGGCTGCAGGAACTCAAATCTGAGCAGAAAAAGAAAGAAAATGGGTCATTTACCAAGACAAGCTCACTGAAGTAACAACAGGCCCTGTTCTCCTAGCTCTTTACTGATCTCAACAATCCCACAAGGTGGTTACTGTTTTAGCTACTCATCTTATAGACGAGGGAGACTGCACACAGGGGGTCGAAATCGCTTGCCCGGGGTTACACAGGTCACGCTGCAAATGTGACAACATATCTTTACGTTTTATTAGTACTGAGGCGTGGGACATTGCTTGGTTTTTAAAAAGAAGGGTTTGTGTCTAGATTTTTAAGGCAGATTCTTGAAAACCATGAATTATAGGCTTTTATTTTAGGTAGCTTCAAAATTCCTACTTAAAAAATGAAACAAAAAACAGGTAACATAATTTAAAAACACCACCCAAGTCTAAGCAATTTAACAAGCCAATTAAAAAATGTATTTATCTAAAGACATTGGTTGGGCGTGGTGGCTCACATCTGTAATCCTAGCACTTTGGGAGGCTGAGGCAAGTGGATCACTTGAGGTCAGGAGTTTGAGACCAGCCTGGCCAACACAGTGAAACCCTGTCTCTACCAAAATACAAAAATTAACCAGGCGTGGTGGTGCGCGCCTGTAGTCCCAGCTACTCAGGAGGCTGAGACAGGAGAATTGCTTGAGCCCAGGAGGTAGAGGTTACAGTCAATCAAGATCGCGCCACTGCACTCCAGCCTGGGTGACAGAGCAAGACTCCATCTCAAAAAAAAAAAAAAAAAAAAAAAAGACATTTGAGCCAAGAAAAGGCTTAAAAATATATAAAAAAATTAATTCTGTACCTACATTTTTTTAAAAAAAGGCTAAACGAAACCCCCAAATGCCATATACCTAACATATAAAATTCTTCTTCTGACCTTTGATCATTCTTGGCACGAACACTGGTCTCGAACTTCAGGCCGTTCCTGGCGACATACTCGGCCAGCTTGTCAATCACGGGCTGGACGTCGGGGGGCGGGGGGATGATGGCGGCCACGGGGGCAAGTGCACTGCAGGAGAAGAGTCTGTGAGACCCCTGGGCTTCAGGGGCTCGCCAAGCTCAGTCCTGGCTGCTCGGGGGTCCTCACCGCCTCAGATGCCCGGAGAGACATGTGAGTTATAAACAGTGTGTTAGGGGAGGCTCTTGTTGAAGGTGATGCACACGACAGAAACTAAAGTCAACTAGACAGGATTGTTGTCAAGAGTGAAAAATGGGGATTTTAGTGATAAAAGGTGCATTTTTCCTACTAATTAACATTTCCCCCCAATCACAAGCTAATTCTTAGAAATAACAAAGAATAAGCAGTTTGTTGTTGTTGTTGTTATATTGAAAACAAGTCGGCAAGCATGGTTCAACCTCCTTCATTTCCTGTCTGACTTGCTCAGCATGACCAGAAAGAGTCGTTTTCACAGAAACTCGCGTGTTTCATTCCATTTCCCAGGAGTCTCCTTTCAAGGCAGGGCATTCCAGGCCCACTGGTAAAGCGCCTGTCTCATACTCGTCCCCTGAACACTGGGGGCCCTCGCTGCTGGAGAAGCTAGGGCTCTGCCGATGGCTTCACAGGTTAACTAAAGTAGCTGCCAGGGTCCCCTGGTGGCCAACAGCTTGGGAGAGACTCATGAAGCACCCCAACATCACCTGCGTCAACTTTATGAACCTGCATGTTTTGCAAACAACTGCAGCTTCACTGCATACTGATTTTGCCTAGCACAGCTCAACTGAGACTCTGACACAAAGCGCAAGAACAGATGCTGGAGATCTGGGGCCAGCGTGCGACGTGAAATGAATTCAACTTTATAAGTGGTTTAACTTCAATGCTAAAAAGTTTGTGCTACAACCATTTCTGTTTTCCTGTCAACTTTGTAACTTGGGGATTTGGAATAATAACTACTCAGACAATGGGGACCCCTGTATATGATCTAGATTACAAGCCCCCCATGGAGACACAGACGGCCCCAGTGACTGCAGTGCTGAGTGACTCACACAGCAGGCAGCGGTGGACGCTGCACCTACCTTGTGGTGGTGGTTGTGGAGGTGGCCCCGCTGCTAGTCTCTGCTGTGGTTGGGGGCGGTAGTGGTGTGGTCCCAGGAGGTGGTGGGGCGGTGGTCGTCACTCCAGGGGAGTTAGACACGGTCACGCCAGCAGGAAGGGTGCTGTAGTAAGTAGTCACGTCGATTCCGGGAGGGGGCGGCGCCAGGCAGTAAGTGCCGTCCGGTAGCATGTAGTAGCTGTAATACATGGCTGCCACGGTCGCTGTGGAGACACATTGCCCCGGAGTGAGCATGGCCGGCCACAGGCTGGTCCATGAGTCCACAATGCAGCCACAAGAGCCCTTCCCCCGGCAAGATGCAGCCTTGCCTCTGCTCACTTCCAACCATGCTGTTTTCTAGATTTTTCTGATACAAAAAGTTGTCTGCACAATATGCAATTTAAAAGAACCAGGCAAAGCCACAACACGCATCCAAAGACAGATGGAAAGCGAATGGCATGAGGACATTCAAAGGCACCAGATATGAATACTCTCTAGACAAATTAATGTCCTCCTTAACTTCAAAATGTGCAGGTTGGGAACAGTCTCCTCTCTAGCGGCAACCAGTCATCCCTTTGCTCACACGGCCCACGAAGGCCACCTATGCTCCTAAATGCACATGTGAGGAAATGCCTTTGGCTAGCTCCCCGCGCTGACACCTGCTTTCATTCCCCAGGCACGCTGCTCCCTCCATTCACACGTTAATCCGGAAACCATCCCCTCAGTAAGGCAGCTGCTCCTGGCAACCCTGGCGTCAGCCCCCGGCCCCAGCAACACAGGCTGTGCAGGAATTTATTCAGTAAATAAAAGTTCCCAGGGGCACTGAGGCTGTGTCTGGACCTTTCCATCACAGACAGTGATGTATGCCGTCTTGCCACCTATGCTGTGCACACAAGCAGGTATCTGTAGGGTAGAGGCACGCTGTCTTAACAATTAAAAATCCTGTACATTTATCCTTTTTGGGGTTAAATGTTCAGAACCACGAATCACAGAAGATTCAATGATTAATTACGAAATTTAATTTCCAGTCCTGTTGTAGATAAGCAAGTAGTTCTGACTACACAGAGATTTAATTTCCTCTTTATTAGGAGATGGCAAAAATATTTTTCGAATTAAGAACTTTTATCTTCACTTTCAATCAATTCACCTTAAAACAATAACATTGAAAAACAGTAAAAGCTTAACTATGGTTTCCAGTAATGTATGCTATGCAGAGAAAAATTTCAGAAGTACAACTTAGACTATCTTGACCTTTCCATCTTAGATTGGCGAGGCAGCATAATTCCTATGTGCTGTAGGCATATTCCCCAGCTGCTAATGACTTATTTAAATTAATTATACATGATGAACTCCTAAACCGTTGTTCTCTAGCTCCATGTTACACACCAACCACCATGACACAGAAACAGTAATACTCCAAATTTTCAAAATAAGATAAGTGGGTTCGATGTGCTCCACATTATCGTCAACACAGATATATCTGAGCAACATTTCTGAGAAAAGGCCGGGAGCAGGGGATGAGACCCTTGGATGTCAATGGGAGGCTGACAGCAGGGCAGGCACCGTCTCTGAGGCTCCTGCAGCGGCAGGTCCTGTCTTCACTGTCTCTGCAGCCTCTGCATTGAGCAGAGTATGTGCTGGACCAACGAACTGACCTGATGGTCCAACATAGGCTTCCTATCAAAATCAGGAATCCGAATATAAGCATGTGCTTCTGTAAGAGACAACGTCATCCCTGGAAGGGGGGAGCTGCTGCTTCCACCCACTCCCTGCTGGAGCCATCAGGCTACTATGTATGGATGCTTCCTCTCAGCCAGGGCGAAGCCAGCACTCCAGGGGAGAGAGTGCAGCCCAGTGTGTGCTTAGCTCTGGGGAGGGCCAGGCGGAACTGACCCCACTACCGACTGGCTACTGTCAGGTCTCCAGCCTCCCACCTCAGCAGGAAGGACGGAAACCCCATGTCCTGCTCTGGACAGTCAGTCTCACCCCTAAAAAGTGTCCAAACATGTTTTAAACTGGGGCCACAAAGGACGGGATCTGAATTCACAAAAACAAACAAAACAAAACGGTTTATAATTATTTCAACTAGTAGTACATATTATGCAGCTCCAACCTGATACCTGCATTCTTTATGTAACTGTGTAAAGTGCAATCACACTGGAACACAACAGAGATGAAGAAACTGTTTTCAAAGCTGAGCGCCATTCCTTTAAAGAACACGCAGACTGTTAGTCTATATGACCTTCCTGAGCCTTCCATCTTGTTAAATAAAAACGAAGTGTTAAAAAAAATAGCAGTGCCGGCAAAATGGCAGACTGCTCAGAGACTCATCCACTACAAATGTCAAAAATGTCAGCTAATTTGAAAAATTTAGGCTGGGTGCCATGGGTCACACCTATAATCCCAGCACTTTGGTAGGCTGAGGTGGGAGGATGCTTCAGGCCTGGGCAATACCATCAGACCCCATCTCCAAAAAATAAAATAAAATAAACTAGCTGGGCATGGTACACATCTACAGTCCCAGCTACTTGGGAGGCTGTGGCAGGAGGATGGCTTGAGCCCAGGAGTTTGGGGCTGCAGTGAGGTGTTGATGGCACCATTGTGCTCCAGCTTGGGTGATGGAGTGAGCCCCTGAGCTGAGCTCACAAAAAGAAAAAAAGGCTGCCTGTAGGTGTAAAAATGAAACAAATGCCCAAATCTGAAAACACTCCAGGGACATCCTAGCCTAGGTCCACAACTTGCTTCAGAGGCTCCACGCTAAAAACCACTCAGGCTGACAATGCTCTGGGCACACCCTTGACCCAGACCCAGGAGATTCTCACAGAGGAGAGCTGTGAAGCCGAGACACGCGCAGCCTCTGTGAGGCGGTCTGCTGCTAGCCACTGCTGCTGTCACCTCTTCCCCACACACACCTGTGATTCTCTCCAAGGTTTTAATCAAATTTGAAAATCATCCTGTCTCTCAAAAGGACTCCAAGAGAAATAAAGTATGTGTTGCTTGATGAGATGAAAACACTTCTCTGTCTGCCGACAGAGAATGTGGGACGTGTCCTATGGCACTGCCATGCTCGGAGGCAGCCCGGGAACCAACACCACAGTGGTTCATGAATTCCGCTACACCGTTCCTGGGTTGCTTCTCCCAGATTCTCACTTCATAGGGTGTCAGGGATGTGAAGATCTAAGGGAGGACGTCAGATCCATCCTTCCCCAGACACTGTGGCCCTGGTGGGAGGCAGGACGGGCACAAGTCATCTGGAGCAGCCCAGGGCCAGCCTCCCGAAGGGCTTCTGCCGCTTGCCCAGCCCACCCCTTGCCCTGGCTTCTGTTCCCCAGGTCTCTGTCCTTTGCACGGCCTCACAGGGTCTCTGCCTGCCATGAGGCCCCTATTCAGCTTATCTCCAGTGCCACCTCTTTCGGGAAGCCTCTGCCTCCTTGGCAGACTCAGGAGGCCTTTGCTCTGGGCTCGCGTGGGGACCCTGTAAACAACGCCCTATGGCAACTCCTGCGCCACTAGGACTGGTGTGCAGCTATGTTCCCAAGGACTCCATATCTCCAAATAGTGACCACAAAACCTTAGCCGCTCACACAGCTCCTGGCATGAGCAGGCCCTCAGTAAGTGTTTAATGAGTGAGTTCATGCCAGCTGGTGGCACGGCCTGGACTGCTTCTAAAATGCCTCAGTGCTAAAATATCCTGCAGTGACCATGAAGCTGCTTGACACGTGCCGCACACAATGGTGGCACCATACAGCTCACAGAACCCTTTAACTGGACTGAAGCCCTTTAAACTGACTACCAACTATAGGACACAGGGATTTTGTATACAGCCCCTTGTATGTTGTACACAGCAATTCTCGTGAACACTAAATTTTAAGAATTTCTGGACTAGTACAGGGTGACAACAGAAATAAAATCTACAAGCTGGGCTGTAGTCTACAAACTGAAGTCTGGGCTGGCAAAAGCCACATCAGCTTTACAATAACTGTGCCATTACTAGTCATGAACGGGGGAGGGCACAGTGTGCCAAGGGGCTCCTGCTGTCCTCAGGCTGCCACGACATGCCGGGATTCTCCTGGGCTTATAGCGAGGCTACTTCCCGACAACCCCACCATACACTGACAACACCGTGAAGTGGAAAATGCACAGAATCCACCTATAACCCACCGAACACCATGGCACAGCCTCACCTGCCTTAAATGTGCTCAGGGCACCTACAGTAGCTGACGGCTGGATGACATCATCTAACACGAAGCCTATTTTATAATAAAGTTTTTAGTATCTCAAGCATTTTACTGATGTTCTACTGAATGCAAATTGCATGTGCACCATCATCGAGTTGAACCCTCAGTAAGCTGGGACCACATATATCTTGTTAGGTTTGTTGCTGTTCTTAGGATTTTATATTGAATTTCCCAAAGGGGACTACGTTTTAAACTAAGTTAAATGCTGACGTAATGTTACTCTAATAAACGCTATGAGTACTACGAAAGCCTACTCCAAATAAATCCAAGAAAGAAATTCCAATAGGTACCTACACAGTCCCTAAAGGCAAGTATAGTTGTATGACGAGAACCAAGCTGCTTAAAAGCAGGAAGCACATTTGTAAGTCCTTCTCCAATACTGCCTCCTCTGAAACGTGCAGAGCTACTTAACATAGGTCAGAGAAATCTGCCTAATTATCTCCCAAGGCCCTCTATTCAACTGGCTTCTTGCAAAAATCAGAGCCAGTTCTCTCGTATCTCTGCATGATCTTAATCTCGTGTGAATTTAACACACAGAACAGAACTCCTGTGCTGAGAAGGTTCTTAGAGAGGAGATTGGTGAGCAACCACCTTTCTGGAAGAGCTAAGTCAGGGAGGATGAACAATGTGTATATTAAGAATGAAAATAGGCTGGCCAGGGTGGCTTACACCTGTCATCCCAGCACTTTGGGAGGCCAAGGTCGGGGGATCACTTGAGGCCAGGAGTTCCAGACCAGCCTGGCCAACATGGTGAAACTCCGTCTCTACTAAAAAATACAAAAAAATATTAGCTACTTGGGAGGCTGTGGCAGGAGAATCACTTGAACCCGGGAGGTGGAGGCTGCAGCGAGCTGAGATCAGAGCCAGACTGTCTCAAAAAAAAAAAAAAAGAATTAAAATAGTTAAGAGTTCTATGGAGATAAGTATAGATATTCTGAAAACACACACCTATTTTAATAAGAAATGTTAAAGAGATGGCCCCTGTGTTTTAGCCAGGCAAATGTAACTAGCTGAGCACATCTGAGAGGCAGGAACAAGCCAGCCTTCCTGTCTCCCGGCTCTCCAGGCATCCAGAGTCAGATGGTGGCCTCGCTGCTCCCACAGCCCCAGGCTCTTCCTCGGCAGCGGCCATGCCTCTCGGTCTCTTTTCCTGGATCTAAATCCTGTTGACAGGAACTCTTCTAAGTTCAGTGGCTTTGAATTCTATTTATACTTGATGGCTGCAAAATTCACTTCTCCAGCCCTGAGCTGAACTTGAACTTGTGCATTAACCACCTACTCAACATTCCCACTGGGATGTCTCGTACATATTTCAAGCCGAATGTGTCCAGAACAGAGCCCCTGATTTCTCCCCATGCCTCTCCTCTGTAGTCCCCCAATGCAGGAGGTGGCCACACCCCTCATCCATCCAGTTCATCTGGCAGACCCCAAGGCTGACGCCCGATGATTCAGCTCTGAGTCCTGCCCTCCAGCTGCAGCACCTCCTGCCCTCCATGTGTACAGCCTCTTGGCTGCTGCCTGCCCCGGGTTTTCCACCCTTGCCTCCACAGTTTCTGCCTGAATCCCTCCCATGGCGACCTCTCTCAACCAGGGTCAAGCTAAGTCCCTTGTCTGGGAAGCCCTCCTGCAAACCCACCTGCCTGCTTCTCCTACCTCATGTCCCATTGCTGTCCCATCCCCCATCCTGCACATGGTAATTGCTGGGCTCACCTGCACTTCCTCTGGTCTCTGGTCACAGGAGGCCTCCCTGTCCCCATGATGCCAGCACTGCTGGCCTCCCCAGAACCCTGGTCCCCTTGTCATGGCCACTTTCTCCATCGCTCTTAGTCACATGTCCACTGTCACTGTCTGGCTCTGCCCTCCAGAACATAAGCTCCATGGCAGAAGGAGGTTTGTCCACTGTGTTCCTGGCATGGCAGAGCATGATGCAAATCGCTCAACACCTGTACAAGTTACACAGGAGAGAATGGTAACGAGCATGGCATGAGCTTTTTTTTTTTTTTTTGAGACAGAGTCTCGCTCTGTTGCCCAGGCTGGAGTGCAGTGGTGCGATCTCGGCTCACTGCAAGCTCTGCCTCCCGGGTTGATGCCATTCTCCTGCTTCAGCCTCCCGAGTAGCTGGGACTACAGGCACCCGCCACCACACCCGGCTAATTTTTTGTATTTTTAGTAGAGACCGGGTTTCACCGTGTTAGCCAGGATGGTCTCGATCTCCTGACCTCATGATCTGCCCGCCTTGGCCTCCCAAAGTGCTGGGATTATAGGCGTGAGCCAGCATGCCCGGCCAGCATGAGCTTCTCCATGGCAGCAAAGGCTCCTGCAGATGGCGGCATCCAGCACCCACATTCTTAGGGAAAGTCATACCCACCCCGCAATTCTAGGTGCTTCCAAACTACCTGTCAAATGGGAAGGCAAAATTAAGGCATTTTCAGATATCCAAGAATTTAAAAAACTTTGTGTTCCTATGTACCCTTTCTTGGGAAACTACTGGAGGATGTGCTCCAGCAAAATACAGAAGTAAACATACAAGCAACAAGAACAGGAATGAACACAGGAAAGAAAGAGAAGTCACAGAAAAGCACTGGCTACAGGCTCAGAACAGTGATGTTCCAGGCGGGGACGGGGGACAGGGAAACCCAGCTGTCAATTTCACCAAATGCACACTGCAAACAAACGACCCACATGCCAGAGAAGCTTGCTCCGCCTGGGTCTAGCAGCAGCAAATGAGGCATCAAAAGTCAAGACTTGCTTAAAAGATGGCACCATTACATGAGTCTACACTGCAACAACGCTGTAGGTCCTCAGCTAGGAAGGCGGCACAGCTCCATCTGAGAACCACCTCTCAAGGGTGATCTTAACTTGCCTGCATTCCCTTCCATTCTTTCTCCACATGCACACTGACTTCTCAGAGATACAAGGTGGGCTGCACTGCAAAGATGATGTGCATGTTCCCAATACTCACCTGAGATCTCCTCTCCAATTCAGGCTAATGGTTCACCAATATATGCAGTCATCTGTAATACTACGCATGTACATGTATTAGTGTGTCATACAGAACATGCAATATGTAGCAAATTTCCCAGACCATAACCGATGTTTGTTTATTTCCATTTAATTTTCAAGCTGGATTCTAGGAGGAAGCCGCTGAGAGCAGATTTACCCTAGCAGGGCTGGTAAGCCAGGAAGCGGCCCACTCTGAAGCCCACAGCCTGACCCGCTGCCAAGAGTCGCCATTCCCTGCAGGCTTATTCGGCTGCTGGATCAATGTCAGAATAAATTGTTTTCATGGCAATTCCACTATTTAATGTAAAATTCTACAATACTACCTTTTTTTTTTTGCCAAAAAAAAAAAAAGCCTTACTAAAAGTTTCATTACCATCTGAAGATGCAGATCCCTGAAACAGGTATTTTTAGGTCCTTCAGACTGTGCCAGCCTGCCTGATTTGAGAATCTTACTCTGCCTATAGTTAGAGTGCTGCCTTATTCACAGTGAAGACCTGCACCCCAGGAGAGGTCCACATTCTATGCATGTAAATGTCAGGCACTGACAACACGATTCAAGAATAATTGTTTTTATTACTGAATTCTGCATTCTCAAGAATGAGGAAAGTGCCTAATACACCCAGGGGATGTTAGAAACCTTCAAGGTCCTCTAGAAGTGAATGAGAGAAATCAGGGCGGAGAAACTCTTTCTCCTTCTGCAAGTTTCTCTTTTCCACTCAATTATCTCCATTCTCATGACTTCTGACTTCATCTCCTGAACTCAGATAATTTTCAAGAATTCCTAAAAGATCCCTTCTGGCAATTGTTCGTTTTAGGCAGGGTGGTTATCTACTAGCTCTCTATAACATAAATCTCATATTGCAAGAATAAAAATGGTAAAACAAACCAAAAACTCCTTAAGATGTAAGCCCAAAGTTTTTAAGAAAATATGATCTTCCTTCCCATCCTCCCAAATACTTAAAAGCATTTATTATTTGGCTCATCACACATTGTGTCCAAGTATTTTCCAACTGAGATAAAACTGGTATGGTTTGGCTGTGTCCCCACCCACATCTCATCTTGATTAGTAACTAGCACAATTCCCATGTGTTGTGGGAGGAGCCTGGTAGGAGGTGACAGAATTATGGGGGTGGGTCTTTCCTGCGCTGTTCTCATGTTAATGAATGAGTCCCACAAGATCTGATAGTTTCAAAAACAGGAGCTTCTCTGTACAGCCTCTCTTTGCCTGCTGCCATCCATGTAAGACATGACTTTGCTCCTCCTTGCCTTCTGCCATGATTGTGAGGCCTCCCCAGCCATGTGGAACTGTTAAGTCCATTAAACCTCTTTTTCTCTCCAGTCTCAGGTATGTCTTTATCAGCAGTGTGAAAATGGACTAATCCAGTAATTTGGTACCAGAATTGGGGTACTGCTGAAAAGATAACCCCAGAATGTGGAAGTGACTTTGGAACTGGGTAACAGGCAGAGGTTAGAACAGTTTGGAGGGCTCAAAAGAAGACAGGAAAATTAGGGAAAGTTTGGAACTTCCCAGAGATTTGCTGAATGGCTTTGCCCAAAATGCTGATAGTGACAGGAACAATAAGGTCCAGGCTGAGGTGGTCTTAGATGGAGATGAGGAACTTGTTGGGAACTGAGGCAAAGGTGACTTCTTATGTTTTGGCAAAAACACTGGTGGCATTCTGCCCCTGCCCTAGAGATCTGTGGAACTTTAAACTTGAGAGAGATGATTTAGGGTATCTGGTGAAAGAAATTTCTAAGCAGCAATGCATTTGAGAGGTGACTTGGGTGCTGTTAAAGGCATTCAGTTTTATAAGGAAACACAGCATAAAGGTCTGGAAAATTTGCAGTCTGACAATAGAAAAGAATATCTCATTTTCTGAGGAGAAATTCAGGCTGGCTGCAGAAATTTGCATAAGTAACCAGGAGCCGAATGTGAATCCCCAAGACAATGCAGAAAATGTCTCTAGAACATGTCAGAGGTCTTCATGGCAGCCCCTCCCATCACAGGCCTGGAGGCCTAGGAAGAAAAAACGGTTTCGTGGTCTGGGCCCAGGGTCCCTGTGCCGTGTGCAGCCTAGGGACTTGGTACCCTGTGTCCCAGCTGCTCCAGCCATGACTAAAAGGGGCCAAGGTACAGCTTAGGCTGTGGCTTCAGAGGGTGGAAGCCCTAAGCCTTGGCAGCTTCCATGTGGTGTTGAGCCTGCAAGTGCCCAGAAGTCAAGAACTGAGGTTTGGGAACCTCCATCTAGATTTCACAGGATGTATGGAAATGCCTGGATGCCCAGGCAGAAGTTTGTGGCAGGGGCAGGGCCCTCATCGAGAACCTTTGCTAGGGCAGTGTGGAGGGGAAATGTGAGGTCGGAGCCCCCACAGAGAGTCCCTACTGGGGTACTGCCTAGTGCAGCTGTGAGAAGAGGGCCACCATCCTCCAGACCCCAGAATGGTAGATCCACCAACAGCTTGCACCGTGCTCCTGGAAAAGCCACACTCAACACCAGCCTGTGAAAGCAGCCGGGAGGGAGGTTGTACCCTGCAGAGCCACAGGCGCGGAGCTGCCCAAGACCATGGGAACACACCTCTTGCATCAGCGTGACCTGGATGCGAGACATGGAGTCAAAGGTCATTTTGGAGCTTTATGATTTGACTGCCTTGCTAGATTTTGGACTTGTACAGGGCCTGTGCAGCCCCTCTGTTTTGGCCAATTTCTCTCATATGGACGGTTGTATTTACCCAATGCCTGTACCCCCATTATATTTAGAAAACAACTAACTTGCTTTTGATTTTATAGGCTGGTAGGCAGAAGGAACTTGCCTTGTCTCAGATGAGATGTTGGACTGTGGACTTTGAGTTAATGCTGAAATGAGTTAAGACTTTGGGGGACTGCTGGGAAAGCATGACTGGTTTTGAAATGTGAGGATGTGAGACTTGGGAGGGGTGAGAGGGGATGATATGGTTTGGCCATGTCCCCACCCAAATCTCATCTTGAATTATAACTACCACTATTCCCACATGTTGTGGGAGGAACCTGGTGGGAGGTGACTGAATTATGGGGGCGGGTCTTTCCCGCATTATTCTTATAATAGTGAATGAGTCTTATGAGATCTGATAGTCTCAAAAACAGGAGTCTCTCTGCACAAACTCTTTGCCAGCTGCCATCCATGTAAGACATGACTTGCTCCTCCTTGCCTTCTGTCATGATTGTGAGGCCTCCCCAGCCATGTGGAACTGTAAGTCCATTAAACCTCTTCTTCTCCTCCTCAGTCTCGGGTATGTCTTTATCAGCAGTGTGAAAACAGACTAATATAAACCATGAGGCTATCCATATCACAACACAGAATGGTTTCCAATGATCTGTTAATGGGTTCTTATATGCCAAGACTTACAATAAAATCACTTAACATGCAGTCCATCACAACCACACTGTATTTTGTTGTAACCTCCCGACGACCTAGTATCTTAAAAAAAAAAAAAAGTCCCCCAACAAGAGAAGACTTGTTTTGACATCACCAAATTGGATTAGGGAAACCTGAATGATTTCTGTAGTGATGCAAGATTACTCATTTGTCAAACTGGGAAACTACCAAAATGAATCCGTTTTGGGCATTTAACCAGCTATTTGGAATTTTAGCCCACTGTGCTTAAAAGTCACCTCTTTCTGGCAAATAAAACTTTCCTCTAGAAAAAAAAAAGCCTGTCTCTAAACATAACTTACCATTTTCATCAGTGACCCTCAAAGTAAAAAGCTTTCAATTTTTAATGCTGTACTGAGGTTTTGAAGACTTCTTACATAAAAATAGGTTCCAGAGAGTTGTGGGTAAAGAGAGCAAGTGGCTGAAGTGAGACCTGGGCCCCACCATGGAAAGAAGCAGGTGGAAATGCCAATGACCTGCCGTGGGGATCCTGACAGTGAGGAGAACGGGGCTTGTGGACCTGGGGCCCTGCCTGACACATATGCTGTGATACTCAAGAACGTCTCTCCCTGTAGTTCCCTCACTGGGGGAAGGAAATCCAATCTAGGACATTTTTAGAATCTCACAAAAGACAGCAGAGGATAGGTCTTCCCAAGAAGGCTGTTGGAAGGGAAGAAAAAGGTGCTAAGAGAAGGTGAGAGAGCATCAAGGAGAATCCACCCACACCAAGAACACACAGGCTTGCACACCAGGGAAGAAGGAGCACCAGACGGCATGAGACCCTGCACACGCCCCCAGGAAAAGCAGCGGAGGGAAGTAGCATGGCATGTGAATGGCATCTCAGGCTACAGGAGCATGTGACCCGAGGAACCTTTGAGCTCTCTGAGCCACAGATGAATCTGGGAAGACAGGAATTCAACAAAGCACAAAAATAAGGTAACATAACCAAATGCAACAGAGGGGGAGGCTGTGAGGCAGGGTCCAGCAGGCGCTCTCCCTGTTCTTGTACAGCCATCAGCAGAATGGTGTTTACTGTTTTTTTTTTTTTTTTGGACAGAGTCTCGCTGTGTTGCCCAGGCTGGAGTACAGTGGCACAACCATTGCTCCCTGCAGCATGGAACTCCTCGATGCCCTCCCCTCTGCCAACCCCCACACCTCACTCTCCCCAGCAGCTGGGACCACAGGTGTGCGCCATTATGGTCACTTAATTTTCTTAATTTTTTTTGTAGAGACAGTCTCACTATGTTGCCCAGCCTGGTCTTGACCTCCTGAGCTCAAGAGATCCACCCACCTTGGCCTCCCAAAGTGCTGGGACTACAGGTGTGAGCCACCATGGCTGGCCTGGTTTTTACATTTTTAAATGGTTGAAAAAATACAAACAAACAAAATAATATTTTATGACATCAAAATTGTATGAAATTAAAACCCTAGGCTGGGCACGGTGGCTTGCGCCTGTAATCCCAGCACTTTGAGGGGCCGAGGCAGGTGGATCACGAGGTCAGGAGTTCCCAGCCTGGCCAAGATGGTGAAACCCTGTCTCTACTAAAAATACAAAAATTAGCCAAGCGTGGTGTCGGACGCCTGTAATCCCAGCTACTCGAGAGGCTGAGGCAGAGAATTGCTTGAACCCAGGAGGTGGAGGTTGCAGTAAGCTGAGATCGTGCCACTGCACTCCAGCTTAGGCAACAGAGTGAGACTCTATCTCAAAAAAAAAAAAAAAAAAAAAAAAGAAAAAAAAGAAAAAAAAAGAAATGAAAAGCCTCGTATCCATCAATTAAGCTTTAGTGAAGCCCTGCCACACTCATGGGTCTACAACCATCTGCAGCTGCCTCCACACCCCAGGGACAGAGCAGGGGCTGCATAGAGGCTGGGCAGCTGCAGGGCTGAAGACATGCACCTTTATATAGAAAGGCTGTGGGGCCCTGCTGTAAAGCTTAGAAAACCAGCCAAGGATCCAAACAATACCACTGCAAAACCAATGGAATTTAAACTACAAGGAATAAATAGACATGGCTGAAAAAAGTCGCTGACAGGGAAGATGGACACAGTCCTGCTGAGTGCCAAAGAGAAACACAGGGAGCACAGGCTCGAAGAAAGGTGACCCGAACCAAGAGACTGTGTCCTTCAAGCAGAGGCACCAATGCGTGGGACAGGAAAGGTGCTCGAGGCACAACAGAAAAGAACTTCCCAGAAATGAGAACTGAATCTCTGACTGAAAGGTATACAATATAGTCCATGAAAAATGGGCAATTAAGTTAATAAAAGTTAAGGGTAAAGCAAGACTTCCTCAGATGTGTTGGGTCAGAAAGAGCATCCACCTCCCAGGGCAGGTAGGGAAGACAGGGCTGGCCTCGCCCTTTCCACAGCAACGTTCAATTCCACTTCTGAATCCTAGGCAAGCGACTCGGTGCATCGTTCCCTGCAAATTGCTATTTATGTTAAAAGGCAGCTGAGAAAGATTTTCAAGCGTGAAAAAACTCAGAGAGCAGCATAGGAGCAATGAAAGCAAACCAACCAATGAACAAACCCAAATAGGTAGTCATGACCCATCCAGCTACCCCGGGCCACCCTGCAGTGGAAAGGACAGTGTCAGATTCTAGTTCCCAGAGATCTGAGAGGCCCACAGCATTACCCAAGAGTTTTATACCCAGACAAGCCGTCCTGTTCACATAAAGGTCAAAGGCAGGCATTTTTCGACAGGCAGAATTCATGAACTACAGCCCTTGTAAAAACGTACTTGTTTATGAAATTCAAATGATCAAGAAAAGATGAATCGAATAAATAACTCAAAAGGAGAAGCTGTAGGGAAAAAACGAATCCAGTCAACCATAAAACTAAAAGTAAGCAACTGGGGGCTGGGCGCAGTGGCTCATGCCTGTAATCCCAGCACTTTGGGAGGCCAAGGCAGGTGAATCACGAGGTCAGGAGATTGAGACCATCCTGGCTAGTACAGTGAAACCCTGTCTACTAAAAATACAAAAAATTAATCGGGCATGGTGGCGGGCGCCTGTACTCCCAGCTGCTCGGGAGGCTGAGGCAGAAGAATGGCGTGAACCCAGGAGGCAGAGCTTGCAGTGAGCCGAGATTGCGCCACTGCACTCCAGCCTGGGAGACAGAGCAAGACTCCATCCAAAAAAAAAAAAAAAAAAAAAAAAAAAAGCAACTGGGGAATAATAGAATGCAAATACTATTTATAAACTCTCATAATATAAAAATAATATTTCTATACTTTAAAGGAACCAAAGTCATAAATATAGTATATTGACTGTCCTACTCACTCTTAAATATATTTCTATATCAGCATATTCAAATCATTTTAAATGGTTACAAAACTAAGAAGCACTCATATCCTAGCGGTGGCAATGCATATTGACACAATGTTTCAGAAGGCAACTGCTCAGTCACTGGTAATACTTTAAACAAATGCACATACTCTTTGACCTAGCTGTTTATTTTCTAAGATTTTTATCTTGCATATAGAATTATACCACATTAGTGCTTAAAAGTAATAAATAATTGGCAGGGCACAGTGGCTCATGCCTGTAATCCCAGCACTTTGGGAGGCCAAGGTGGGTGGATCACTTGAGCCCAGGAGTTTAACATCAGCCTGGGCAACATAGCAAGACCCTCTAAAAATTTATCTAAAAAGTCAGCCAGGTGTGGTGGCACATGCCTGTGGTCCCAGCTGGTCAGGAGGCTGAGGTGGGAGGATAGCTTGAGGTTGCAGTGAGCCAAGATCACGCTACTGGACTCCAGCCTAGGTGACAGAGCGAGAGACCCTGTCTCAAAAAAAAAAAAAAAAAAAAAAAAGAATAATGTTCATTACAGCACTGGAAAAGTAGAAATAATTGGAAGTCACAAATAATCAAATTATCAATTAATGGAGGGCTGTTTCACAATAAATCTATACAACAGGATACTAGGTAGTTGCTACAGCTAGAAGAGAGAGATACACATGCACTGTTAATACAAAGATGTTCGAGATATATTAAATGCAAAGAAAAAGTTGAATAATTCTAACAAAAATCAGGAAAAATACACAGCTTTAAAAAATATCTACAATGACAACCTCTCAATGTTCTCCTAACCTTTTTTCAGAACTGAATTCTTTAGGCATAAAAGAAACTTTCATCCGAAGTTCGACAGTTACTTCATTTTTAGATTGCAGGCTCTTCTGTTTAAGTAAAATTAAGTTTATTTCCACTTTAACGTAAGTATTTCTAGAGACACATCCAACATTTTAATTGATATTCGTGCATAAAGATGATCTTTGTGTTCCACAGATAACAAGCTTCTTTCTTTCCTTTTTATTTAGCACGATGACCTCAGTGTTTTCCACTTTGCTAATGATGTTCACTAATGGCTATTTCTGGATGGTGGAATCCTGGGTAACATTTTTGCTTTCTTCCTTCTTCTCTTGACATACAATAAAACCATTTTTAAAAATGGGTTTGGAAAGTAAGTAAAGAACTTCAAAGTCATGATGTGCAGGAAAAATATACCATAAACAGCAAAGGCACATTTAAAAAACAGGGATAGAAGCAAGAAAATATCTATAGTAGCCATGCGCAATGGTTTAATTTCACTTCAGATATTTATAGAATATTAAGAAAAACTGAGTTGGCATTTTATTAAAAAAAACCCACAGGCTATCACAGTGGGCAGCATTTCACTATGACTGCCTCCTGCATAATTACTTTTATTTATTTATACTCTTCTATAAGGATTTATAGCTAAATAGCAGAAGACAAGTAATGAAAAATAAAGAGCATGAAAAGTAGTTCATTGTCAGGAAAATTAATAAATGAAATAAATTGTTAGTTTTACACATCTATATTTAATGAGCTTCTAGAAAAATTATTTTATACACATATTTTATATATATATAAAATTCTGCTGGACTTTAAGGAAAAAAATAGATGCTTTTCTTCCCAGGCTGCCAAAATGTAGGAAAATCTCCATCAGTAGGAAGTAAATAAGAAAGAACGACTGAGTATATCCTAAGGTGATTATTAAATACCCAGCGTATGAAAGCCAGAAAAGCTTAGTGACCCAGCAGCCTCCCACGAGACACAGCAGTACTGGGTATGCAAGTCTCTACGGGGGAAAGATGTTACGGGGGCCACTTCCGCCTAAACAAAAACACACTGAGCTGATGAAACAAAATGATAAAAGCACGTATTATTAAAATACAGAGTTGTAAGGAATTAACTCAGGATACCAGTTTAGTCTCAAAATAAGTACCACGTCAATCTGCATGTTTTGAGAGGGTGACGAGTCACGCTGAAAAAATGCAAGCAGCGCAAACGGGCAGGTGAGTCAGCCACTCCTGTCTGCGACCTCGTCCTTCCAGTTCCCCTCTCTGTGCTGGCCACTGGTCCTTCTTACCTGCCCTTTTAGGTGCCGATACAGAAGCACTACAGACACTTCCCTCCCCTTCTGACGTGAACAGACTGCCTCGTGCTGCCCTCCCCTTGAGTCACCTCGCCTCCACCCTCAGGAAGAGCCATTCCGGTGGGTGGCCCTGCAGCGCTCGGGCCCTGGCCCACCCCCAGAGCTCTGCAGCCCACCGCGAGAGCACACCAGAGGGACTCCATTAGTCCTCCACCGAGGATGTGCGTCGCCTCAGTCTTTTGCTACTACTAAAACTGTACTATGATGAGTATCTATGTGGCTATGTTCACCCATATACTAGTAAATGAGAGCAGACATCCTGGGTTGGAGGCACGTGTGTTTTAGACTGATAGACTGCCCGCTGGCCCTCCACAAGTACCACATCGCTGGCACAAATCTACACCCCCACCGACAATAAACGTCTGTCACCTTTTCTCTGCTTGAGTGACAGCTGAAAAATGGCACTCCATTGTAGGTTTTGTCTGCATTTCTTTTATTTAATCTCTATTATTAAGCTACCCAAACTCGCATATACAAAATAACATTCCAACAGCCTAGAAATCTCCGTCTTCTCCTAAGTCTTAGACCTGCACAGTGTTCTGTATGCCTATGAGTGCGCTCCTTTCTACTGTAACACGAAGCCTCACATCCTAACATTCGCTGGAGCTGAGCTGAACCAAAGCGCTGGAGGGGTGTTTACTACGGATTTCAGGTTCTACGGTCGGCGGACACGATGCCTGTGAGCAGGCAGTGAGGGTGAGTCTTTAAAAACCGTATGGGCATTTTTGCCTCTGAATTATTCGCACTGCAGATCTTTTTTCTACTAGACTATCAGAATTTTTTCCTATTTGATTGTAAAAGCTGTTTAGACATACAGGCTTTTTTTTTCCCCTCATTTTTTAAAAAATTAATTGAATATAACTGCTGGCTGAAAATAGATGATTCTTCATTCTGCTGAAGCATCCTTACTTTCCTAAGAATTTCCACAACTGGCATTTACATCTGGAAGTGATTCTGATACTGGGTGAAAGTGAGGCTCTTATGTGATGTTTTCCAAATAGCTCTTTGTGTCTTAGAACACCCCTTCCTGTTAGCTTGGTGTTTCCTTTTCTCCGTCCTTATTTTTATTTGGATCTGTTTTTGGGGACTCATTCATCCCTTCCCACTGCAGGGCCTGTGGATTTCTGTGCTGGTGCCGCCTTGTTTGAAACACTGCAGAAGCTCCCTGGCTGGACTGGTGGCTCCATCTTGCTGTGTTGGCTGGTGCCATGACAAACACCAGGGGAGAAGGCGCGTCTCTTCAGAAGCCTGGGCCTTTTTGCTTTTAACAGTAGAGTCTCTCTTATTTTTTCCAGTTAAACTTACTGTAATTATGTGTTTGATGAAAATTTATGCAAACATAAAATTTGAGTGAGAGATGAGAATTATCATTTCTGTGAAAATGAAGCTGAATACTTTGAGAAGATGGATAAAAAGTCAGCTGCTTTAAAAAGCCATAGAGCAACTCCAGGAGGGAGAAGTAACCATGAAGTCCTTGAAATAATATAAGCCCGGCATCACTTTACAGAAATCCAGACTGGAAGTCAGGGCTCTGCTCGCTGCGTGCAGCTCACGTGAGGACCACAGGACGCCAAGACCAAGGGAACAGCAACAGACGGGCTGGGGCCCAGCATGTGTTCATGGTTTGGGTCCACACACAGCATGTGTAGACCTGTTTTTAACCGCCTATTTTGCTTAAAGCGCCAACTATGAGGCTCGAGACCTTCGATGGCAGTATCACACTTTACGATCTTGTCTTCCCTTTATCATCTGTTTCTCAAACTCTCTCTGGGGTTCACAGGAAACAATGGGAAACCTCCAAAATGTTCCAGAATTAACTGGTGTCCCATTCAGAATACGATAGAGTGCTTCTGTTATTTAAATTAATACCCTAATGGTACAAATGGGAAAACTGAGGCCTAGAGAAGCAAAGCAAAGGGCTCAGAGTCATCCAGCCACAACAAAGCCCAACTGCAAAGGCTGTTCGTCAGAAAGCGCGCATAAATCTTCAGGCGCGGGCGTGTAGGGATGATGCACAGCCCATGGCTACGACGGCTCTCATCGCTGGGGGAGGTTGTGGGGACTTGATTTTTGGGCTTTTCTGTCATTTCCAAGTTTCCCTTGTCCCCCAGACCCAGATACTTGTCACTGCTTTCAGCCAGGAAAGCCTCTCGCCAGCTCTCTGGAGTCCGAGTGCCTGTGGCCACATTGCTCTGCTGCTGCCTCCCACTTTTGTGACTGTGTGGCAACAGCCTGCTGCTAAGGTTACGGTATGAGCGTCACCTTCACGGACAGTCGCTTCCGGCCTGACCTGTCTGTCTCTCGGAGCGGGCCCCCCCTCACTGCCCCACCCCACCCCCATGCGCCATGCCGGCTGAGATGGTATCTGCGGCTGCAGCAGCAGCAGCTCCGTCATGTTCCAATGCCTGCTCCTCAGCATACACGAGCGTACGTAGACGTGCGCACGCAGGGAGAGCTCGTTCATCTCACCTGTCAGTTGGATCCAAGGTACCTGTGCAGGTGACTTCTCCCAGGAAGCACCAGGTGCTTTTGGAACTTCTGCTCTTCACTTTTCTGAAGTTACTCGGTGAATGTTCCTGGGAGCCCCGTGGCCCCTTGGATCGAGGTGCAAGGAGCACGCTGGCTAGTAAGACAGTCCCAGCCTTTGCCTCACAGAGCTCCGGGTCCACAGGGCATTCAAACATGCACAAGCCCACACATGTCTGTGTAACTCAAAACCGTAACAGGCTCTAAAACAGAAGTGTGGTAACACAACAATGCGGCCCCGGCTTACAAGCAGGGAGTGCGTGGGGTGGGCGGCTGCCTCTCTGACCTCCTAGTCACTCTCTTTTTGATCTTAAGTCCTCTTCTCATTTCTCCTGCACATTCATTTTAAGTCCTCTTGGGTAAGATCATGGTTAGCCAAGACATTCATTCTTGTCTTCGTAAGAATCCAAAGTCTGTAACTTTGCTATTCTAAGTTGTGAGGAAAAACGTGAATCCAGTGTGTGGGCCCTGTCCTATGTACGAGCCACACCCAGCCCAACGTCAGCCTTCAAGTCCTCGAGGGCGGCAGGAGCCAGCGATGAACACGCTCTCTGTGCCAGGGGCCACCTGGCGTCCACCACAGCAGAGGCTCTGATGCTTCCCCAGCCTCCGCTGCAGGTGTCACTGTCACCTGAGCTGTTGGGTCTCAGTGCCACAGGGTGGGCACTCACCTAGGACAGAAGAATAGTTCCCAAATGATGGTGGCAAGCCACACACAGGGCACTGACCTGCTCCCATGTGTCACCCTGCCCCAGGGTGGGCTCAGGGCTCCCATGTGTGTGTTTGGGGTCTTGTCTGTATCTAGGAGGTAAGTCATCTGGAGACCACGCCCTGGAGGATGAAGCTGCATGGGGAGTGGAGGGGCAGGTGCCAGGACCCAGGCATGGGAGGGCTGCTGCGCTGCGGCAGGAAGACAAGCCTGAACACACACTCTGCACACCTCGGGGCCCACCCCTGCCTGTCCCCCACCTCACCAAGCCTGTGACTCCAGGGTGGAGTCCTCTGTGCCTGTCCTGAGGGGACTGTATGGACTGCTGTTTCCTTCCGGGCTGTCACAGATGCTGTGACAGGCCTCCTTCTCTCTCCAGGAATACGGCTGCAGTCGGTGAGCCCCCAAGAAACACAGTGAAGAAATCCCCCGAGAACATGGAGCTGCGCCCACCTCCAGCCTTGGCTCCACTGCTCAGAGGCAAGGAGGAAGCCCTGCTCCTGTGGCCCTCTGAGCGGTGGGGCAGTGCAGGCAGCGTCGCTGCCTGGCTCTCAGGATGCATGCCGTGCTTTATGATCGTGAAATTTCCTCCTACAAATGACAAACTGCCGCTCCCTGCAAAGCTGGACTGCAAATCCTAAGACCCTCAATGTGAAAGGCGCCTTATAGGCCTGCCAATCCACCCCTGGCTCAACAGGTCAGGAATGGGAGGAGGAGGAGATGGCAGAGACACACATACGAAAGTTCTCACAGGGCAGGGTGAGGAGCTCCTGACGATACGCACCTGCCCAGTAAGTACCAGGGAGACCGCGCCATCCCCCGCCCGCTCTCATACAGCTGACGTTTCAAGTCCATGGCCAAAATGTCCTTTGTCTTGTCTCTGGTGTCCATGGTTGGCAGTGGTCTGAAACGCGGGCCACAGGGCTCTGGTTTCATTGTGGGGCATGATTCTCTTCATGCTTTAAATCACGCCTCCTCCCTCACATGCAACTCCTCTGTCCTCAGGAAAAGTAACTGGCTGCTGTGGAAGCTGACGTGCTCCAAGGACACTAGCCCCGCCCTTTTCCAGACCCCACGGGGCCCCAGGTTTGCCCCAACTGAGAGTCTCCCAAAATGTTATCAGTAATGTTAGTAATTTTCCAGACAGCTTTCTCTCTAGTATCCTACTAGAGTACTTCCCAAGTGCAAAGCCCACAATTTAAGCCCTCTTCTGAAAATTACTTCAATGCCTCTGACGGTTGTGCCTTCTCTGTAGAAAGCTGGCTGTTTAAGAAACAAAGCTATGCATGCCCAGAGCATGGAAAATCACACATTAGAGATACAGGAATAACAGGCTGTATATGAAACCCCATGGGACAACACTTCCGTGAACACACTGGGTACATTAGGCGGAGACGAGGAGCAAGCCGAGAGCAGCCAAGGGCAGCAGAATCCGCAGACCTGCTTCTCAAGCTCTCCTGAGCAGGGCTGGGTGTGCCCAAGACAGAAAGGGGCCCCTCAAACCTTCCTCTGTGCTGGCTGAAGCAGGAATTTCAAAATAGCCCACCAACCTCATACACTACATTCACAAAGGCTCATCAGACAGAGCCCATGAGTTTAGGTCTTTTCTTGAAGCAACTCAGCGACGTCCTCACAACAGTCTGAGAAGGAACTTCGGGAGATCTGTACAGGCTTGGGCTTGCCACAAACTCAGGCCAAGCCATGGGCTGCTCTTGCCCTCACTGTCCGGCATTGCAAACGTTACAGTTATTCTATGAACTTTGTATTTTACTTTGTTTCTTAAGTATAATAGCAACACGGCTGGGTGCGGTGGCTCAGCCTGTAATCCCAGCACTTTGGGAGGCTGAGGTGGGCGGATCACCTGAGGTCAGGAGTTTGAGACCAGCCTGGCCAACATGGTGAAACCCCGTCTCTACTAAAAATACAAAAATTAGCCAGGCGTGGTGACGAGCGCCTGTGATCCCAGCTACTTGGGAGGCTGAGGCAGGAGACTCGCTTGAACCCAGGAGGTGGAGGCTGCAGTGAGCCGAGATTGCACCACTGCACTCCAGCCTGGGTAACACAGAGAGACTCCGTCTCAAAAAAAAAAAAAAAAAAAAAAAAAAGTAAAATAGTAATGCATACTCAAAAACATCATGAAAATGAAAAAAGTATGCAGAGAAAAAAAATCAACCAAATGCCAATTTGAGAGGTAGCTCTGAGCCTCATAGTATTTTTTGCACAGCTCTCTCCAGTTTATTATTTTAAGCATAGTTGAGATCCCACTGCATTAATACTTTTGGAAACTACATATAATGAACGTAACAATATTATCTTGAACTTTAGCATGACGGAACTCAACCCAAAAACTATGACCAGTGTTCCCTCTATTTGAACTGTATTTGTAAATAAATGCTGTTATCAATGACTGATTACAAACCAATAACCACATAGTAGTCAGTCCATGAATTACAGGCAGTTCCCTAATCATGACCAACCTGGGTAGATCAATGACTGCTGTCTCCACCTGCAACTGCCAACAACCTGCCACACAGGACCCCAAATTCTGCAACAACTTCACTGAAAACCCAGGAAGTGAAGACGAGGTCATGAGGGACTTTCACCCACGAAACTTCAACAGCACACAGAAGCATGAGGCAGGCAGAACAAGGTACTCAAAGGGTAGCAGAGGAAGACGGCAGGCAGGGAGGTGCGTGTGAGTCAGGCGCCCTGGAACCTCTGCAGATTCTGGAATGGCCGCACTGCCCGGGCTTGCGTGGTGCTGGAGGACCCGACGTAACGCCACGCCACAGCCACTCATCCCATAAGGCTGAGCGCCTGAGTACAGGTTTATACTGATTTCTGCTAGGTTTTACAGTGATTTAGAGCCAAAGTTCTAGCTCTTGGCTCTTCTTGGAAACTGGATGAGGACACCTCCCCCACCTTCTGACCCTCCAGATCCAAGATGGGTGGGACTGTGGTGGTGGCCCTGAGTGCTGTGCTCAGCGAGGAGGCTCATAGGAGGGCTCTGACCCCTATGGCTGATGCAGGAGCATATGTCTAAAACCCACAGACCCTAACAGCAGACACGCATGCTTTCACCAGCCCCCAGGCACCCTTACTCTCACATGTGTGTATCCACTACTCTTGCTGTGTCGAGGGGAGACGATGAGTTTCAAAACAACGGCACCGTATTGAGGGGAGGAGAGGGCACCCCCTACTAGAGCCCTTGCAGTTGGGAGGATAGGGTGGGGTGCCGTCAGTGCCCAGGGTGGTGGTAGTCAGGGGCCTGAACAGAGTAAGCTTAGGGTTCCTGCAGAGGCTGTCACGGCTTATCAGTGGTCTCGGGAGCCATCAGCAGGTGGGAAGAAACCAAAGTGTGTGGGCTCTGGCCGCCCTGCGGTGAACCCTTGGGAATGTACCAAGCCTTCTGACCCAGACAGCTCACAATGCCACCCCTGCATGCCTCAGTTCAGATCACATTCCCACCAGACCAGGGGATGCTGTGTGTCACAGAACGGCCACTACCAGCCGGCTCCACCATCCTGCCTGGTCCTGCGGGGTCTGCACATGGCTGTTCTTCCACCAGTGATTAGCACAGCAAATAATCAAGGTCAGCCCGCCCTGAATTTCTAGTCCTCTGCTTTGCAGCAGCTTCAGGGATCTGGTGGACGTGCACGGACAATGCATTTGGTTCAAGCAAACTCAACGACAGGCTTGGAAAAGGAAAGGAGGAAGCAGAGGGATGGTCCCTCAGTGGGCAGGCATCCTGGGCAGAGCACAGCGCCCCATGACTCCAGGGCGGGAGCTTCACAGGCTGCCGAGTGGGGCTCAAGACTTAAAGGTGTGCGGCCGTCTATCCAAAAATCCATGCAGTGAGGACTGGGCGTTAGGAGTGATCTACAGAGCACCTCAGACAGCTGGCTGCCTACACTATTGAACACGCACCTCTGTAGCAGTAGAGCTGACCTCTGATTTGAACATTCAGTGAAATTTGATATGACTTGATTTAATCATTTAAAGACATTCTCAGCTTTAAAAGGTTTTTGGGGGGACACATGCAGAAAGTTCACTCTAGTAACTAGTTTTTTAAAGTCTAAAAACGTTTAGTATGTGCCAGTGCTAAAAGGGAAGTGCAAAGAACACAGCTGTGATGTTTACAAAAGCTTGTCCCAAATAAAGAGGAGCTGATGTTTTAACAATTCATCTCCGGCTGAACTGAAGGAGATAAGCTTTACAAATGGAGTCAGGGTACCAGAGCTGCCTGGGAAGCAGACTCAGCAGGTGGTTCCTCGGCTCTGCTAAAGCTTCCTCATTCCATATTTAACCTCTGAATAAAACAATTACAGAAAGACCTGACGCTGGAACCAACGTCAAACACTTTCAAATGATCTCCTGCATGGACCTTCAAGACTTACCTTTAATGAATACCATAAAAGAACTGCAATCAGCGAGAAAAAGAAATGTAATTTCTCAGTGCATATGTTAACTTATGCTGTAAGCCTCTTTTTCTTTCTTCTTTTTGAGACAGGGTACTGCTCTATCGCCCAGGCTAGAGTGTGGCAGTGCAATCTCAGCTCACTGCAGCCTTAACCTCCTGGGGCTAAGCCATCCTCTCACCTCAGCCTCCCAAGTAGCTCAGACCACAGGCACACCACCATGCCCAGCTAATTTTTTTTTATTTTTTGTCAAGATGCGGTTTTAGTATGTTGTCCAGGCTGGTCTCAAACTCCTGTGCGTAAGTGATCCTCCCACCTCAGCCTCCCAAAGTGTTGGGATTATAGGCATTAGCCACCACGCCTGGCCTGCTGTGAACCTTTTTAAAGAAAGCAACTGTGTTAGACAATACTATGTGTCTCCCATTCTCCCTGTTCTTACCAGCATTTGACTTTGTTTAGGGCAGCAACGTGTTTAACGGAGGCCCCATTGCCTCTGCTGAGTGGGGAGACCATGTGACAGGACACTAGCCACTGAGAGGTAAGGGAAGCCACTAGCTATGGCTTGGGTGGATATTTAAAGAAGGGCAGAGCCAGGGCCAGGAGCAGTGGCTCAAACCTGCAATCCTAGCACTTTTGAAGGCCAAGGCGGGAGGACTGCTTAAGCCCAGGAGCTCGAGACCAGCCTGGGCAACATAGTGAGACCCCATCCCTATCAAAAAATCAAAATTAGCCCAGTGTTATCGTGCTTGTAGTCCCACCTACTAGAGAGACCGAGGTGGGAGGATCGTTTGAGTTTGGGAGGTCAGGCTGCCGTGAACCATGCTTGCATCCCTGCACTCTGGCCTGGGTGACAGAGTGAAACCTCGCCTCAAAAAAAAAAAAAAAAGAAAGAAGGGCAGAGGCAGCCAGCTACCTTTGCCGGTCCTCCTCCTTCCTGGAATGCACAGCTAATGCTGGAGTAGGGCAGCCATCTTGCCAACACTGGGCCAAGCAAAGGGCAGCCTCGTGGCACTCTCCCTTGGGACCATGTGCAGGCTCTGGGCCGCCTGCTTCCATACTTGTTACACTTGGAGGACAGAACACTTGGGGTTTAGAGCCCTGTAGCTGGCTCTGTCACAGGCAGCTGAACACAGGTCAGGACATACACAGTGAGTACTCACAGTCTGCCGTGTACTCCACCTGGGAGGGCTGCACAGGCGCACCGTCTGCGTTGTGTGGGGTGGGAGTGGAACTGTCAGCCTGTGCCTTACGAACAAGTGCTGCGAGGGGATGATCTGGGTCCACTACCTTCAAGGGCTGGAAACAGAGAAGACACAGCCTTAGCATTCAATATTCTGAACCATGCAGAACTCTTCTGCTGCAAAAGGCTCACCTTTAGGACTCAGTGTACATGCCTTAGAAAAAACACACACATGCACGCACCCATGGAGGTCCTAACGAGTTGTGGCCAAATGCCCCAGCTGGCTGTCTCAGAGGAACTGAGTGAACACAGGGTTTCAATTTCCAAAATAACTACCAAGAAAAGGACAGACGAACAACTAAGACTAGTTTGACACCAATTAAAGTGTGAATGTCTAACCCCATGCAAAATTTGAAACTGTCTTTCCTTATAGGAGTTTCTGATTTTTAATCACCAATAGCTTTTCCAGTCCAATCAATCAGCAATCATTCCCACAAAAGGTCACCCACAATGCACAACTGCTGAAAACCAGATGCTTAAATCTAATAGACTCCTGTTTTTTATGTCGCGAATGGCAGAGTGGTGTGAATTAACCACAAGATAATGCTGAGTGGTTTCTTCACACAGATGAGGGGAGAATTAGAAGTGAAAATATTTATTTAAAAACAATCTATGATGGTAACATAGGACTCGAAGATGCATATATTCTGATCACCTATAAAATCCAATCCTATGATGATATCACAACTAAACAATTTTTTTTTCTTTTTGAGTCTCACTCTGTCTCCCAGGCTGGCGTGCAGTAGTGTGATCTTGGCTCACTGCAACCTCCACTTACTAGGTTCAAGCAATTCTCGTGCCTCAGCCTCCCGAGTAGCTGGAACTACAGGTGTACCCACCACGCCTGGCTAATTTTTGTATTTTTAGTAGTGATAGGGTTTCGCCATGCTGGCCAGCTGGTCTTGAACTCCTGATGTCAGGTGATCCACCTGCCTCAGCCTCCCAAAGTGCTAGGATTACATGTGTAAGCCACCACACCCGCACAACAAAACAATTTTCAAGTCTTAACCAACACTCTACTTGGAACTCTAAATATCTCAAAGGAGTAAAATTGTAATAAAATGGTAAAATTATCCTGAGCAAATGCTCACGAATTTTATAAGCTAGACAGGTAAGAAACCAAAGAAGCAGATGCTTTGTCACCCAGCTAAAAACAAAAATGCAAATACACCTCAATGATGATAAAATAAGATACAACTGTAACACACAAGAATGACATGCTTCAAATTTTCCAAAATTACATTAGCAGAAGTTTTGTGGTGGCATAAAAATATAGTTCAACAATGAGATAAAAACCTTCATCAGCTCTTCAAGGCGGTTACACTTCTTGGAGGCAAAGAGAGAGGGATGAAGGTAATTCCCATCTTCTTCATCATCATCATCTTCATTGTCAGAGCTGACTCCTGATTCTGAAATCAAAATCACATTTCAAGATTTTGGTGTTTGGTGAGAAAAAAAGTACAAATTAATTATGCAAAAACTTAGAAGCAGCCAAGTTATCTTGGTTATCTGTCGAAAAAACACTTTTAGAAATTTCTCCCTAGAGTCACCCAAGTTGTCCAGAAGAAGGCCAGATAAAAAGGATTGCGACCTTTGCCCATTTGGTGACTCCTTGCCAGCATCGAGCACCAGCTGGTCTGGGGCTCTGTATGCTTTCTTTCTCTCTGCCTTTTTTTTCCTTTTTTTAAAAAAGGGCAAAAATTGTACTGATTTATGAAAAGCAAAATAATAGCAACAGAAATAAACAACTACAACAAAACTGAAGATGAGATCTGCATTAAGATTTACACAACTGATTTGAAACTTATTTTGGCTGAAGAGAACAGAATTCAGTGGAAGGGCCGGGCACAGTGGCTCACGCCTGTAATCCCAGCACTCTGGGAGGCCGAGGCGGGTGGATCACCTGAGGTCAGGAGTTTGAGACCAGCCTGGCCAACATGGTGAAACCTTGTCTCTACTAAAAATACAAAAATTAGCCGGGCGTGGTGGCACGTGCCCACGATCCCAGCTACTCGGGAGGCTGAGGCATGAGAATTGCTTGAACCCGGGAGGCGGAGGTTGCAGTAAGCCAAGATCGCGCTCACGCCATTGCACTCCAGCCTGGGCGACAAGAGCGAGACTCTGTCGCCAATTAAAAAAAAAAAAATTCAATGGAAGATGTGTGTGTGTGTGTATATATATACATATATATGAATAGACTTGTCAAAATACCATCTTTATTCAAAATACAGCTAACTGGCTTTGGCAGTAAGAACTCCAAAATAGAGACACTGTTATAAAAATAATAGCTTAAAATAGATAATCCAAGTAAAATTTTCACTTTTGTGGCCATGTATAATTGAGCTATACAGCCCTGAACACTGTGGTACTTGAATAATCCAAGAGAGGATATATAACTGTTTTCTCTATGAAATGTTAAGTGGGCAAAATGAGGGCAAAAATTTCCCACCCAGATGATTATGTTCTGACAGCATCAATATTTAGTTATATTTCATTTATCTATAAAATATTAACCAAAGATTTAATAAAGGTGCACCAGCAGGGGTAACGATCACGCCTTAGCTGCAGGATTTCAGACACATTCTAGAAATTCGAGTCTGGCTTTCAACCATGCATCTGTAAGAATGTGTATCTTCACACTTTTCCCAGAACCACCCAGCCTGCCGCCCCCACAACACAGGCCCAAAGTCTGGACGGAACAGACGCAGTGGGACCTACTTTTTTTCTCGTCACTTTTGTTTTCTGCCAGGACAGTGTAGCGTCCCTCTTTCATGGCTTTCTGGATGAACTTATAGTAGGGGTTGAGGTAGTGGTCGAAGCGCAGAAAGTCAAACTGGGAGTTCCGGGCCTGCTTGGCCTTCAGCATGATCTCAAACTGTGCTCCCTGCCTGCACACGAAGCTGGCCGTGCGCTCGATGATGGCGTGCATTTTAGCGGTTGGTGGCTACGGGAAAACACACATATTCACGTCACCCATTTGTCCTCTTGTCCACCGGCCACGTGATTTCATTAAAACATAGAAATGACTCTGGTTTTACTGTCAATTTTAAGAGATACGAGACTTTAAGCTGGAAGAGCCCAGGCTGTTCGGACTCCTCATCTCCAAATCTTGACAGGATTTTGCAGGGGAGAAAGCTCGCCAGCTGAGGCAGGCCACTCCACCATGGTACAGACCCATGGGAGGTGACTTCTTTGTGCACCAAGTCAACATTTTTCTATATATTTAAGTTCAGCTCTATGATGGAATTCAGGGGGTTTGTGAATCCTCTGTGCATGTGAATTTTACAAACAAGCACTTTTCTAGGGAGAGGGTATACATTCCATGGTTCTCAATAACCAGAATCACTGCTCTTTCCTTCTTCTTAGCGGGGACTAGGTTTCACAGCTTGGAGGCTCCCTCTTACAAAACAGCCCTTCTGGACATCCAACAAAAGCCACAAGAGTACGCCATGTCTTTTCTTCTGCACCTGAGCCCTGCTCCCCAGCCCCTGCACAGTTCCTGGCTCACTGCCATTCCCACTTAAAAGCAGTATCCCAAGCTGAAGACCACCTAGGTGTGGTCTGGCCAGAGCAGATGGGACACTCCAGGTGAGTTTCTTCCCAGCATCAAAGCCCTCCCCCATCCCTTCATGTGCTGCTAAGGAGTCACTTCAACGAACCTCATGCTCTTAGCATTTCCTGCCCACAAATGGATCTTGTTAGACCAAAGGCTGAAAGCCACACATCTAAAATACCTTTCATATCAACAAAGAGATTAACACTAGGAAATTATTTGCAAATAAATCTGGCAATTATTCTCATTAAAAATGGATGGTTAAGAATTCAGGGCTTCATCCTTCATAAAATATAAATGGCTTAATTCTCTAATTTAATTTTTGAACTAATAACATCCTTCACACTTAAAAAGGATAGATGTCTACAATTATTCATTAATCCCCAAATAATTTAAATTCCATGTTAAAGGCCCACTGTATGCATGTCCACGACTTGGATTTTCAGGGGCTCTGGTTATTCATTGTTAAAACAGAATATTCCATAAACACATCAATAATTAATGATCACTTCATAGTAATGACCCTTAAAGGAAAATATGATACTGGCCCAGTTTAGGCTTTCTTTATTGACCAAACCAACTTGTTGATCCAAAATTTCTTAAAAGTAGGCCTATTTGTTATATACTACTTCTATTACCATGGTTAAAAAGCAATGTGTAAGTAATTTTACAAAAAAACAAAGCATCTTACGGACATATTTCAAGGTTGGCTACCAACCCTGAATAAGATTAAAAAGTATCTGGTTTGGAAAAAGCCATTCTTTACTTTATTAGGCAGACTTTAGGTAAATCATTTTCCATTTAAGAATATCATGATCACTCCTACTACACAATGAGATTTAAAAAATACAGTCAACATATAAATATGCATATGTTACAATGGCCTAAGAAAAGGAAAACTGTTTTTCTAATTTAAATCCAGTGGGGAAGCCTTTTGTTTAAGGAAGCCGACAGAGCCCCGGAAGGGGGCTAACACCTCCTCCCCTTCCCTGGAAATTCCATTAATGTGAATTTAAGCTCCAGAGGAGGCATGGGAAACAGGAGAAAGGTATCTACAGGTCAGAAAACCCACACAAATGCACGGTTTCCTAAGAGCTTTGGAAAAGGCTTGAGCTCAGACCCATCGGGGGACCAGGAAGGAGGTGGCATGACATGAAGAGGGGAAATTAGCAAGGAACCCCAGGGGCAGTGGGGCCAGCCCTCTCCTCACGGGGTTAGGGGAGAAAAAAAATCAAATACCTGCTTTGCCCAGAGCCCTAAGTAAGTATCAGATTGAGTCAAAATTCAAAGGCAAAAATACAAATACAGAAGTACCAGCAGTAAATATAGGAAAATATTTTCAAACTCTTGTGGGTGGGAAGCCTTCCAAAATAAGCTTTAAAATTCTGAAGCCATAAGGAATAGAGGGACATATATCACTCTATACTTAAATTCTGCACAGAGAGTCGTACAATCACTTAGAAAACAAAGTGCGGGGAGAAAATACCTGCAAGACACATTGGGGACCAAGAGTTAAGGCTCATTAGACGTCAAGAGTCCTTACGAATCTGAACAAAAGGCCAGTCACTCCACAGTAATTCAAGAATAAATCAACATTTTTTCCCTCCCCACCCACCTTCTGTGACAATACAGTACCTAAATTATGATGAAATAATGCTCTAATCTGCACAAATTCGATAAAGCTTAACTTTAGTGGTTCAGAGCTCTGGAGTCGGTCCCTTGGCTAGAACCCCAGGCCTGACCCTCACACATGTAACTTAGGGCAGTTACTCTTAACTTTCTAAACTTTAACATCTGGCAACAACTGTATTTGCTTCATAGAGTTATTTTTGTATTTTTATTTTTTTGAGACAGGATCTGGCTCTGTTGTCTAGGCTGGAGTGCAGCAGTACCGTATTAGCTCACTACAACCTCCACCTCCAGGGCTCAAACCATCCTCCCGCCTTGGCCTCCTGAGTAGCTGAGACTACAGGCATGTACCACCACGCCTGGCTAATTTTTTTCATTTTTTGTAGAGGCGGAGTTTCACCATGTTGCCCAGGCTGGTCTTGAACTCCTGGGCTCAAGCGATTCTCCCACCTCGGCCTCCCAAAGTGCTGGGATCACAGACATGAGCCGCTGCACCTGGCCTGTAAAATTATTTTGAGTATTAACTGAGAGATATGCCTAGAGAAGCACTTAGTACACTGTCTGGTACACAGTAAGTGCTTCATAAAGGCTGGTTCTATGTTATTATTCATCAACAGAATAAGCGTTGCACACAACAGCAACTATCGAATCCTTCCCCACTTTCCATAAAATGTGTTCGAGCAAGCACATTTCCCTTGGAACTGCGCCCTAACAGGTCTGGGACTACAGGCACGTGCCACCACACTGGCCTATTATTTTTACTTGTTTGTAGAGACAGGATCTCACTATGTTGCCCAGGCTAGTCTTGAACTCCTGGCCTCAAGTGATCCTCCAACCTTAGTCTCCCAAAGAGCTGGGATTACAGGTGTGAGCCACTGTACCCAGCCTGGGGTGCTGTAATTTCTAACTACTTCTTACTCTTCATCCAAAAGCCTCAAGGATCCTGTCATCATTAGGTTCTAAACCAACAGTTAGTTTAAAAACCAAGAACCTCCTGAAGTACCTGCTGTCTTTCCCAATCACTCCAATCTTCTCTTGTCAGTGAGTCAAACCATGTCCTGCCCCCTTAAGCAGCAATAGTCTACTTAACCACAATTCAACAATTCTGAGGCCTAGTCACTAAAACAACTTATAATGCAGACACTTCTGTCTTCTACATTTTCTCCACTAACATGGACACCACGGTGTATAATTTACACAATGAATTACTGCCAAAAAACACATAATAATTATGAGAATGAAATACTGACACTGCCATAAAATAAATGAAAGACGCAAATGAGAGACTCAATCAAGCACTCAGTTTCCACAAAGTCAAAACAACATTCAAGAGGCCTTTCTATAATATCATTAGAAGAAACTCTAATGATAAGACAGCAAGTTGCTACACACTAAGACTTACTTTGCTCTCCAATGAGTGACAAGTATGTTTGATCTGGCAGACTATCAAGAGCTTAGTGATGCTTATTTTGGCTGAGAACACAAAGCCATTAAATATTTTAATAGGAATTAAGGCAACACAATTCCATTGTACCTCTATATTTAAATTTGAATAAAAAATTAAAAAATTTTTAACACTAAAAACAAGTAAAATTCCATATAGTCAACTTCATATAAACTTTTTAGCATTAAATAGAGATGGAGCACTTAGCATTTAATAAAAATGGAGCAACTGTGATTTTTTAAAGCTTCATGTTAATGTGTCTCTCATGCATAATAAACATATTTCAGAACAAATAGGAATACAATATATATAATACATGGAAAATATATTAATACAAGTCTCAGGATATCAAATCTTTGGGTAATTTCAGCTTTAACTACAGCAAAATGATCAATACTAGAAATGGAGAAACAAACATATGTAGTAATATAGTTTGGATCAGTTTGGATCTGTGTCCCCAGCCAAATCTCCTGTAGAATTGTCATTCCCAATGTTGGAGGCAGTGCCTGGTGGGAGGTGAATGAATCATGGGGTGGATCCTTCATGAATAGTTTCGCACCATCTCCTCGGTGCTGCTCCCGTGATAGACAGTGAATGAGCTGTCGTAAGATCTGGTCATTTGAAAGTGTGTAGCACCTCCCTGCCTTCCTCCTGCTCTGGACATGCTTAGACATGCCTGCTCCCTCCTCACCTTCCGCCATGACTATAAGTTTCCTGAGGCCTCCCCAGAAGCAGATGCTGCCCGGCTTCCTGTACAGCCTGCAGAATCGTGAGCCAATTAAACCTCTTCTTTATAAATTACCCAGTCTCAGGTATTTTTTTATAGCTGTGTGAGAACAGACCAATACAAGTAGTAATTATACTAGGCAAAATCCAAAAAGTTATTTTACCCATATTTGAAAGAATAAAAGAGAGGGAGAGGATATGTAAATGAATAAGGGAAGAGAAGGAAAGCGTTGGAGGCAGGAATTAAAAGGGCTATTTTTATATTGCCCTTCATCAGATTAATGAAGGGTAAGAACCATCAAATTCACGCTGAACTCAATTAGAGTGGCAGCGAGTGATCGCAGTGGGAGGTGAGAGATGCTCTCTCTGTGCGGAGCTTTCCCGGCATCTACCATGCAGTGAGTGATTCAGGATGTGGGACACAAACAAGAATTGAGAATGCCTGCATCGATGCCACTTGCAATCCAGTTACGAAAATGTCCAAGAAAAAACTTCCTGCTAGGCACGAACACTTAAGAGTCCTTCCCAAGTATACACACACAACAAAAAGATTTTCAACCTTCCCAGTAAACATATAAAAATCCCATAAAGCACGGTGACTGAAGATGGCATCATAGTTAAGACCAACGTTCCCAGTTGCTATTTATTAGCCAAATTCTTGACTTTCCTAAGTCTCAGTTTCTTCACTGGCACAAGAGGGATAGTAAACAGTAGTTCGCTTATAGGGTTGTTAGCATTAAATAAGATAATATGTAAAAAACAGCTTAGCACAGTGACTGGAATGGGGAAATCCCTCAATGAATATTCAGAAAAAAAGGAAAAATCCTGGTTTGGGCTTTAACACCTGTTATAACTTAATTTAATGTGATATAACTGAAATAGCAGGAAAGGTCAATGCTGAACAGACAGTAACCAGTTGCAAAGCCCTCAGATGAGGAAAACCAGGGTGGAATTCCCCTTCATCAGTGGAAGGGTGGCCTGGGCCTGGAGATGCCACAGGGACCTATCACAACACAGAAAACTGCTAAGAAAATGTAACGTGAAGTGACCCCAAAAATCACACTTTAAAAAGCCAGAACAAAGCAACGTTACTGAAATCAACGCTGTCTTGATCTTGAGTGCTTTTACATCTATGTGTGGGGAGCAGCCCACTCGCCACTGATCCTGATTTAGTTTTTCTAAGCTAGTAAAATCTGGGGATTCAACTACATGGCCGCTGAATCACACCCAACTCCTCAAGTCCCTGATGCTCCAGTCTAGCTCTTTTGCTATAATTCTTCCCTTTTCCTTTGGGGAAAATAAATAGGGTGTGATCTTTTTCTCCATTAACTCACAAACCATTTTAAAGCATTATATGCCTAAAAAGCAGCTATAATCATTATTGAGCTTTCCCACAAGCAGGAGTGAATTATGATAAATAATAATGACGACAACTAGTGCTCATGCAGGACACATACCAACTCCACGTCAGACGGGACGCTCAATCCTAAGGGGGCAACGAAGGGCTCTTCATTTTCCTCTAAATTTTCGGCCTCATTTTTTTCTGCATAAAAAGAAAATTAAAAAATTCAGAACAATGCAGGGAGGAAGGCACCTGCTAACAGCAGGCAGCAAGATGGAAGCATGTGACTGGCTGTCCCTGCTTCTTTACCTTCTGTTGTTACTCCTAGAAGCCATCTTCAGCTTTCTCTTCTACCCACAACGCAAGTGAAACTCACTTTACAAAATTCCAAATGAGGTGGGGTGGTGGGGGGAGGTGGGGTGCAGCAGAAGGAGTGTGTATAGGGTCAGACTGCACGGTATTCCCTTGGTATACGCAGGGGACTGGTTCTAGGACCCTTGCAGACACCAATATCCACACGTGCTCGAATTCTGCATTTGGTCCATTTGAACCCACATATATAAAGAAGCTGACCCTCCATATATGCGGGTCTCACATCCCTCAATCTGATCAGTGTTTGGCTGAAAAAAATCCTCATACAAGCGGACCTACGCAATTCAAACCTGTGTTGTTCAAGGGTTAACTGTAGTTAAACTCCTGCCCTGCCGCTTGTTAGCTCCGGGATTCTGCTGTTCTCTGTTTCCTCACTGGTTGTGAAGTCATCACATCCACTCCCAGGGCCAAGTGGGGCTTAGGTGAGATAGCCCATGTGAACATCTCTACCATAATCCTCCACACTTAGCAGGTGCTCAATCCATGTTCCTTTTCCCCTCCGCTGCTCTTTCAGGTATGTATGTATTTAATTGGTATCGCTAAGATTTCTCTCCAACTATTTCTGTGGATTCCTGACAGCATGACACTACATAAGGTAGTCAATTCCTAGATAACTGATTTTCATCTTTGAATTGTAAACCACCTGGGCATAACTATCAAGATTCCTCCACCCAAGCAAACTACCTCTTTCACAAATAATCAATTATTTTTCCATTTCTATGTATTCATTAACCATTCACTTAACAAATACTTGTCTACTATGTGGTAGACAACGTACTACACATTATCTTTCTGTATTCTAAGGTACCTAAGTACATCTCAGTAACTCAGATGATTACCAGTTTAAAAAGACACACTGAAATGTACAAAAATATCATAGCAAACTTTAAAAAGGTAACATTTTTAAGGATTTCAATGATCTATTGAGGTTCTTATTTCCAAACAGATGACATTAAAGAAACAAACCTTAAATCTTCATCAAAATAAGTGTTTCTATCATATACAGTAAAGGCTCTTGAAGCGATCAATAATTTGCAAAGATCTCCTGTCAAACCTCATTCCGTGAAACCAAAGAAGAATTTTAAGCAGGTTTCCTGGTATACAAAAACTTGGGTATTCCAGTCTGATCAGATATAAGTTGATTACAATCCCTATTAAGTTACAGTTATTTAACACCGTCCCATCCATTTGTTTGAGTCCCCTGTTCTTTCAAAAATCAGAGATGAAGCCGGGCTCAGTGGCTCACACCTGTAACCGGGTGTGGTGGCTCACGCCTGGAATCCCAGCACTTTGGGAGGCCGAGGCAGGCGGATCACTTGAGGTCAGGAGTTTGAGACCAGTCTGGCCAACATGGTGAAATCCTGTCTCCATTAAAAATAGAAAAATTAGCCAGTTGTGGTGGCGGGCGCCTGTAATCCCAGCTATTTGGGAGGCTAAAGCACAAGAATTGCTTGAACCCGGGAGGTGGAGGTTGCAGTGAGCTGACACCGCACCACTGCATTCCAGCCTGGGTGACAGAGCGAGACTCTGTCTCAAAAAAGTAAAACAAAGTAAATTTAAAAATACAACTTTTACTATATTTTCCTAAAATGAAAAAAATGATTAAAACATTGTCTAGGCAAATAGCTTCTCCTTAATGTTAAGTTATTCATAAAAATCAAGGCATTTTAATTGAAATAGCTTTTTGGGATTGATGGGTTAAACAGATTTGGTCTATTCTTATATATACCTTTATTTACAAAAAAACAGCTTTAGTAGCACAAAATAAAAACCAACCATTGCACTACAAACTCAGATTTAAATAAATTCAAATAACCTTTTGTTTAAAAAATGGATATATAGCAGTGAGGGCCTGTCCCCGCCCCATTATTCCCCTAAAAAAGAGGGAAAAAAATGGATATAGAATAATGATGAAAAATTATGAACATCTAAAGGATAAAAACTTGACTGAAAATAGTAAAGATCAGAGATGGAGGCACCATCAAAATGCTTTTGGCTAGTATCACAAGGCTTTAAAATACTAACAAACAATACAATACAGTAATTTTGAAAATCAAGACATACGTAGACATATTGATGGCTCAGGAAAAAAAATTTTATTTTAACAGAATGTGACGCTCAATGGGGCTGTTAGTGGTACTGGATTCTATTACAATATGCACGTATGTGTGTGTGTGTGTTAGGTGTTTCACTTATATTAATGCAAGTTAAACACGAAATGTCAAGCTCTAAGTTTTATGTGGGCCCAATTTCCATTAACGAAATTAATCAGTATATAAGGCAATGTTCTGAGAACACGATTACAGAAAGAAAAGAAGTAACATTGTAAAATACTAAAGAGAACTTTATCTTAAGGGGAAAGCAAACTAATACTCAGATGATAAGCTAAGTCATGCTGAAGTTCTCAAGATTCAATAATTATAACAAACTGAACATCATTTAGCCCAATAATTACGCCGAGACAATGGTCCATCATCTAGAATAGGGGCTGACAAACTCTATAAAATGCCAGACAGTATTAATAAATATTTCTGGTTTTGTGGGCCATATGGTGTTTCATTTCTTCAACTCTGTTGCTGAAGTGCGAAAGTGGCAACAGACAATATGTAAACAAATGAGCATTGCTGTGTTCCAATAAAACTTTGTTATTTTCTTTCCAATACTTTAGATCTGTGGTTGGTTGAATCCACAGATGTGGACCCAATAAGCTGACTGTATTTCAACTCTTTATTTGTGAAGTGGCTATAGTATCTATTCCTTCCTTCTGATAAAAACACCACAGATAGAAAGCTGAACTCATGTGTGTGGCTTAGAGATAAGACAACAAAATCAGAACTATCCAGAACCCGAGGAAGGAGAGCTTATTCTGGATAAATAAATGGGTGTTTACGTTTTAGACCTGATAGAACATTTCTAGTGCATCGTAACTTCTGAGGGATGGGTAGGTTTGAAAGTCAATGCAAAAAGTCTTAAATACCTTAACTGGCCTTTAACTCAGTATAATTACAATTACACTTGAAAGTTTCTCTAAAAGCTCATAAAATAGAGCTGTGCAACAGTAATTCTTGTGCCCACAAAGTAAGGAGCAGGACTAAAGACAGGGCAAAAGGAAAGCCGGTGTGTGCGTTTGCCCCACGTCCTATCATTCCGTTAGGATCGCAGCCCTTGGAGAGTGCCGATGGGTAGAACCATAGTGCAGTCACAGGATGGAAGGGCAAACATCATTTTGCTTTACTACTAAAGTGCTATAATTGCTTCATACTTGTTAAAAGATGTGTCACTTGGCTGGATGTGGTGGCTCATGCCTGTAATCCCAGTGCTTTGGGAGGCCAAGGCAGTAGGATCACTTGAGCTCAGGAGTTTGAGACTAGCTTGGGCAACACAGTGAGACCCCATCTCTTTTTTTAAATTATTGTGTATTTTAATAAAAAAATTTAAAAAGATAAAAAGTGTTACTTAAGGAGAAACCGATGAAGTTCAGAATAACAGATTAAATTAGCTCTACAATTAAATCTCCATTTGATGTAATGTAAACATTTGAATGTTTCTAAGTTAATGTTCTTCTTCTTTTTAAACAGAATATCCTGAATATACTGACCCGTCTTTAAGGTGTCAGGTTCATGTTAGCATTACTGCTAATTAACGACTGACCATGATGCAGCGCTGTGGTAGTGGAGCTCTCGACGCTTAGTGAAGTGATTGAGGATATTTGTGTCTATACTACACGAGCCCAGGTTTTTCAGCAGCACTATTTTTTATATTCAAAGTTTCCCATGTTAATCCAGAAAAGCATAAATTCCAAATCTTTAATTTAAAATACTGTGGTAAGTATATGCCCTAGGTGGCATCAAGGCTACCAGGAAGCTGTGCTGTTTTCTGGGGAGTAGAAACTCCCTCACTGTGTCCTTCCACTGGGCATGTGTCACTGTCTCAGTTGTGGAGGGATATGGGGAAGCAGGTCAGTGAGAGGGCGGTGATGTTAACTTATCCCAGTTAACACCTATTCTTTCACTGCCTCAAGAATGAATCCCTGAGGATATTAATGAACATGTTACCAATCTAGAAACAAATAATCCTGAATGAGTAATTCTGTTACCCGAATCAATGAGAAATAAATAATCCAACGCATTCACTTTCCACCTCCATTAATCATTCTAGTTTTTAACTTCGTTTTACCAAAAGAAGGAATATCACTCCCGTTTTCTCCTGTGGTCATAGTGGTGCTATCATGAGTGCCAGAGATGTGTTCTGCAGACTGGACCACGGTGCATGCAGCCTGTGCGTACACGTGTAGCCCTACACCAGCAGTCCAGGCAGCTCCCCACTCACCTCTCTGTTTGGAAGGCTCCTCCTCCTCCGTCGGCTCTGACGGGTCGTAATAGTCGCTACCGTAAGTGAACCCCACGGCATTGTAGCTCCCATCCTCTGCTAGTGCTTCACTCAATCGCTTGTATTCTTCCTCTTGAATAAAAATGAGAATTTTATCAACAAAAATAGAAAATTACTGAGAAAAACTTTATATATTTCTAAAGTTGTAGCTATCAGTAAAGCATACAACATACTTTTTTCAACCTACTTTTGAGGTAAAATAGTTTTAAAAATTCACACTTTATATCTATCATTATGTACTTTTGTCAGTACATGTTTACCCACAGACAGCTGAATACACGTCTTTTGTGGAAAATTTCTTCCTGCTGAGAAAATTTTGGGATTAAGAACTGTATTAAAGACTGTTACGGCAAAGACAAGAACATCAATTTTATTTATACGATACTGTTAAAGAAGAACAGTTAAAGAGTTTGGTTTTTGTTTTTTTCAAATCCCAGTCTGCCCTCAAAAGCTGGGAAAATTCTTTGTGGCTCTATATATAAACTATCCTGAGGTCCTCTCAGAACGCAAAGACTCCTGTTTTTCCAATCCACTGGGTACTGTCAAGATAATATCAGAAAGAGTGAGTATAAAAAAATGAATGGGAGTAAATTTTTAAATACTTAAAAATTTTAAAAAGTTTGTTGCTGAAGTAAGTTTGTCTTGAGCAGTACCTTGCCTTGCCTCCTCCTCAAGCAAGTCCGTATGCAAGGCTAAATACCTCTCTTCATCACACAGGGCCTCTATTCGCGCCTCCTCTTCAGACAGCTGATAATCTCTGTTCCACGTGGAATACTCAGCATCGTACTCAGAAAGGTCATGCAGGTGACCACGTCCATCATATCTGTAATGTGAACAAGCTGGTCAATAAAAGGAAATTAACGTCTAGACTGGTGTGCGTGTGTGATGTTTTATATATGTATATATATATACACACACATACTTACCGATTAAAATAAACAAAAATATTAAAACAAGTATAAAAACTCTTCCCAGATTTATATTTAATTTGGATAGTCATATCTCACCTACTTTTAAACTCAAGTTATCTTAACAAACTCTAAATTCCTTTCCACAGTAAGATAACATTTATAACTAAAGGCAAACAATCCATTAATAGCAAAAATGGTACCCACTTCACTGGCAGTTCTTACCATTATGGTTTGGTCAACCATTCAATGCCACTTGCAAAAAATTATTATTTTTTTCTGAAAAGTTAAATATCATAGCTTACATTCACACAAACCAAATACATAAATACCTATCCGTAAGAACCAAACGGTCGAAATTTCCTCGCTTCTTTCTGCTAGTCCCGAACTCTCAGGAGAGATCTTCACCAAAGAAACTTGCGTCCATTGGAGGTAAAATCTTGGCTAGGCTCGCCCCCTAGCCACTTGGCTGAGGAAATAAGTGCTGGGTTACGTGATAGAGAGACACACATACATTGGAACAGTGACATATACATGCAGTTTAAGGAGGTTCACTGGGAACAGAGCAAAACTATTAGAAGATATGGTATCAATATTTCCTTCTGAACTTTATACCCTCAAGGAAATAACATACATGAAGACACTTCCATGTTTCTCTTGCATGGACCAAACAGTAGTTTGGCCAAATAAGTAATGGGAGCACTTTCTGCTATGCTTTTAACATAAAGGATTCAATGAGGATGCTGTCAACGTGTAACTGTCAGATAATAAATGAATGAGTTAGTGAACTTTACTTAAAACACTCAGGTTTAGGGTTTCAAAAACAAATGTAGAGAAACAAACAAAAGTCTGCTTATTTTTTTAATGCTGACTTTTGTAATGGGAACCAAAAATATTAATGTAGACCAAAAAAGACATTTACAGGAAAAAGGCCCAAAATTCCAAGGTAGTCAAGTTACTGCATTTCATTAAATTTCAAAATTAATTGGATTTTGATGTAAACCTCCTTAACTTACAAATGTAGATTATTATTAAAAATATTATACATGTACATGTGCGGCGTTTGCTCCCCACCAGTTTTGGAAGACCTAACTCAAATCATGTACAGAATGATAGGAAAACTGTACAAAGAGCTCAGACTTCATTGCTTACCAAACTTTAATGATAAATAACACAAGTGACACTTTGGAAAAGCAAGCCTGACAACTCAGGCGACACATTCAATATAAACCATGGTGTGAAGGCACAGCACGCTTGAGCACAGCACGGAGCCATCAGATCCAGACATGATCTGATTCCGCGGCCCTCCCTTCACCAGTTCTCGTTTTCGAGCTCTAATTCCAAAAGGAAACGTCAGGGATGGAAAAAGGCCTATTTGGTCATTAATGTGTCCATTCTGGCCAGCTCAGAGGTCATCCCTACAGTCATGCTCCAGGGCTATGAAGAATCCAGTTTTAATGGTCTCAAACGATGGGCTTTCTTCACGTGGAGAGACTATTCCACAGTTTAATGGTTGGTCATGGTTAGCTTTTCAGTCCGGGCCCCAGAAGTAGCCGAACAGGCAAAAAAGAAAAAAAACCACCCCACAACAACCCCAAAACCCAGAGACGAGGGGAAGGGGGATTGAAAAAATGGGAAGAAAGAGGGGAGCAAACCACCTACATCATGTAATGTTATCCTTTTCAAATCAAACGCCTTTAGAAATCCCTAATCCCAGGCCCCCACTGCCCATAATCGCTAGACACCCTCGAGTGACGACCTAAAGCAGGTTTGATTTGAAAAGAAACAACACATCTATATCCCAGCTCCACCCTTCAGTCTTAAGAGACAGTGAAACCAGCCCTAAGAACACTATCTCTTCCAAGAGCAAGGCCAGGGTCCGCACGAAGTCAAGTGGCCACCAACTGACGGGCAACTTTGCTCACTACCTCAATCTGTCAAACTCGTCGGATTATCACCGGGAAATCAAACGTCATGCCGGCAAAGTACGGGCGCTCCACTGAGGGCTCTGGGGGCATAACAGGTTAAGGCTAACTCACAGGTCCAAGAGACACTTCTAGCCACTGTCTCAGTGAGCGGCGGTTCGGAAGAATAAAGGCACGCCTCCCAGGGTACCCTCCCAGTACACCGAGCAGTGAGAGCGCGGCAAGTAGAAAAGCAGCGCACGACCCCATGGCATCGCCGGGCGGCAGGCCCAGGTGCACTCAGGAAAAGACCCTGGGCACTGGCTGCTTTCACCGCGCGGAATCGCCAACTGCAGCCCAGCGACAGGGTGAGGGGTCGAGAGGGGCTGCGGGACCAGAGACGATCCCTCCGGAGACGGACGCGGCACGCAATTCCAGCCAGTGCCTTAGGGCAGGTTTCACCGTCCCCCTCCCCACCAGAACACCAGGAGGAGGTGGGGACAGGGGAGGGGGTGTCCCCCAGATCCCCGCTGGCTCCAGAAAACTCTCTGCAGTCCTTGCAGTCAAGTCAACATCAGACGAGATCAAGCGGGTGAGGGAAGGGAAGGATCGACGGGTGGGGAGAGGAACCGACCTGTCGATGAGGATCTTGTGGTCCCCCATCCAGGGGATGAGGTGCTGTCCCTGTTCCTGAGCCAGGGCCCGCTCGTCGTCCCGGAACAGCTTGCAGGCATAGCCGAAAACCAAGAGCTCCACTCGGCTGCCCCCACCGCCGGCACCGCCTGGCCCGGCCTCCTCCTTCGCGCCGCTTTTCCTCTCGGGTTTGGCGCGGCCCCCGCTCGCGCCGTACATGACAGCGTCCCCGGCGTCCAGGCTGGTCCTCTTCTGTGCCGCGCGACGTCCCTGATACCTCCACTTGGCCTACCCCTTCAGTCAAAGACCCCGCATCCCGTACCCAACCTCAACACCGCCGCCATAGCGGGCCACAAAATGGTGGAGGGGCAGCTTCCGGCAGGAGAGCCCGCATTTCCGGCGAGCGGACCGGCAGATTCGCCTAGGCTTGGAGCTCTTTTAGCCGCTAGGAAATATTTTGGCTTTAATTTTCGCATTCAGGTGTGCCGCCACAATAGGCGCTGCTGTATTCAGTGGAAAGTGCAATTTTAATGTCCGTTTTATCGGGCAGCCGTCAGGACGTGGCGAAAGCGCAGCGTGGGATCGCGCGCCGGCTTCCGCTGCGGCCAGTCGGGCGGCGACGGAGTCGGAGGGAGGGGCCCGGCGCGCTCTGGGCCTTGGGCGAGTCCTCGTGGGTGGCGGGTTGCTGCAGCCTGCCACATGTGTGGAGGCCTCGGGTCCACCCCGAGCCTCCGCGCCCCTCACCATGTCCGAGTCGCTGGGGCCGTGCGTGCTCTGCCCAGGGTGGCGATGTCCTTTTCCTTGGCCCCGTTTCCTTCTCCATCCCTAGGGGGACTTGGTCCCCGACCCGCCCACCTTTGAAGGTTTCCGAGGCAGCAGAGGCCCCTGCGCTGCAAATCACTCGCGGGTGGCGAGATTTCGGAAACCTGAGACCCTTGTCGCCGGGAGATGGTCTGGCGGGGCAGGGAGACCCCAGTCTGGAGACTGGCCACCTGGATACGGTGCAATTTTGCTTGGTGTGTTTCCTCCTGGGCCGCAGTTTTCCCATCGGTGGTTCCATTAGGATCTTTCGGTCCCTTTTAGCTCAGTAATTTCAGGTCAGACAAAGGGCCTGGAGTGCAAAATCTTAGGCTTTGGGATGGGATGGGATATCCCCATGTTTGCCCTTGAGTGGAAAACGATGACAGATCGTCTCCTTTCTGGGCCTCAGATCCCCTCTCCATAAAAATGGAATCTTTCTACCAGTGATGTTGAAATGAGATAATGTATATGAACCTTTAACTGATTTTTGGAAATTAAGAAACAGGCAGTTCCCACCAAACGTCTTTTGTTGTGGTTTCCCCTGACTGGGTCATGCTTCTGTCTTCATTTGCCAGGCTCCTTACCCAAGTTTAACTCAGTCATCCATTTCTCCACCTGGCCTTATGTGTCTACGTTGTCTGGAGTTTCCCCTCACTGGTGGCTAACTTGTGCCTTCCGATTTGTCTGTGTACCTCTCATCACCACCTTAGGTTACATCCTGTGTTCAGCATCCCACCAGAATTAGCTTTAAGAGATCAGGGACATTGTTGGGGTCACCTTAGCATCCTCAGCACCTAGAATGGTGCTTAGCACACTGTGGGCCAAATACTGGTTAATACCTGTAGAATGAGCCGGGCCAGCAGCTGAGCATGCGTGGCCAGGCCATCATCTTCCTATCTAACTCTACAAGACTGCTCTGCCACTGCTGAGGAAGATGTATGTGTCATGGTTACTTGATAAAAACACTGTTGTTTGCCCCCAGGCATTTACTAGTTTGTTTCGGTGCTGGGCTCCCTTCAAGCTTTCCCTTGGGTTCAGGTGTGGGGTGCTAAAGCAAATAAGGAGGCCATTAGCTTGAGATCAACTCTGTAACACCAGCTCCTATGCAAGCAAACCAAAACCCAATCAAGTAATTTTTCTGCTTCCGTGTTGGGTCTATAAAAGCTTGCTGCTCATGCTGCTGAGTGGAACTCTCTGAACCTCTTCTGCTTCTGCATGCTGCCTGATTCATGAATTGTTTTCTTGCTCGAATAAACTCGAATTTGTTTTGTGTAAAGTTTCTCTTTTAACAGTTCTGGTGTCAGAAATGGGATCTGAAGGCCCCCCTATTCCCTCAATGATGACCTCTGGGAACAGTGACTAAACAGATGCAGGTGCTTCATTGTGCAGGACAGTTCTCTGTATAGCCTTGGGCCTACCCACTTCTCCCTCCTTTTCCTTTGTAGTTTTCAAGAGTAACTGCATAACGAGCTGGGATGCAACATCCTGAGATAGGGAGGGACTGGCTGAAGTAGCCCAGGCTCTGTTCCAGTTCTCCCCTAGAAATAGAAGGTCCTTCAACACTTTAGCCCAGTGATTCATGTGACATGTGGTATGTAATCTGGGTGGGCTGCTCTTCGGGATCTCTTATCTGTGGTGTAAGTGAGGAATACGCAGTAGAGATTTCATCCACCTGGGCAACTTTCTGAGCTTTGGGGGGATTGGCTCACAGTGAGTCCTAGTCTTCGTCTCCTACCACCTGTCTATAGGTAATAAATGCACTACATGTAAATTGTTGCTTATGAGAATTCAGAACAGGTTGGTAACCAGTGCCCGTGGGCCTGCTTCACACACTGAGCCATTTGTGCTCAGGGCTTCTCACTGCACATTTGGAGGCCGCCACTTGTAGGCCCTGCTTGGATACAAACTCTACAACTTGTGTCAAATTCTTAAAGTTTATTTGAGCATTTTTGATCTGAGCTGGGTCCAGAAGTTACAACAGAAACTGGGACTGGATCCAGTACAAGGCCTATGGGAGCAGGACTGAGTCCAGTAGGAGGCTTATGGTAGGAAAGGGTATGAGAATACAGGGAATGATGCCTTCATTTGGATCCAAGGAGTCTGAAACTCCTCCACCTGGAACTCCAGCCAATTTCATGTATAAGAACCTATGAACCCAGAGTCTGCACTTTTCCAGAGAAATGGGTGAACCTACCAAAGGTAATCTAAGAGTTAACAGTGGTCAAAGTGAGGAAGTTTTAACCTAGATAAAATTGTTCACTTGCAAGACATTAGAAAAGAAAGGATATTTGCAGGACTAGGTCTGAAAGGAATAAAATAAAATATTAAGAAAGGACAAAAAACACCTCAGAAACAAAAGGATGTATTTTGATTGACATGCAGAGGCTTCTAAAAGGTTAAATGAACCAAAAATTGCCTTTCTAAATGACTTCTTACAAAAAGCAAATGAAAAACTTAAGCAGCTAATTTATGAGAAAAAAAATTGTATTTTGATGTATTGAACTCACTGTACATTCTATCTTTCTATCCTTCTCTGCCTACTCAGAATCTCCTAACTTCTTATCTCAGTTACCTTCCTACCCCAAAGACAAAAAGAAAGCTAAACAAATGCCTTATATAGTTAGGCCCTCAGATTAATAAGTCTGCTTCTTTAATCACTGTTATGCCTTGTTCAGAAATCTTTTGAGTTCAGAGCAACAGTGAAAGGTTTCAAAGGAAAGCCCCCAGAAATTTTCTTGGAGGTAAAAAATTCTCCTGGAGTATATGATCCATGATTCCTTGATCTTTCCCAATTTATTCATATGATACTGGGACTGGTGATACTTGAAAATGGATGGCTGAGGTCAAATGGGAGGTACTTGAGAAAGATATCAAAGATCTAACCATTCAGTCTTTCAGGGATGGACTAAAAACCGGCTAGGGAAATCTCATATGTCAAAATAAAGATCACAAGATCTTAAATTTGGAAAGGAGAACTTTATTTCTGAGAAGAGTTGCAACCCACAGCCTGGGAAGCAGACCCTCTGGCTGAGACAGAAAGTAGGCACTTTGAAGGAAGAAGGGTGGGAGAGGAGTTTTATGCTAAACAGGTTGGCTAAACATACATATTTAATAGGTTATAGGAGGAGCTATGAATATTTGTGAAAGGGGCTTGCTAGGTTGTGTGGTAAGCAAACATTCATGTTACATGGTCCCAAGTTCACTTCAGGGTGGAGACTTCACATTAAAATGTAATACAATTAGTCTGTGTAGGTCAAAAGGTGAAACTTAGGATTGTTTGAGTGTGGAAGGTCAAGGCTGCAGTGAGCTGTGATTGTGCCACTGCAGTATAGTCTGGGCGACAAAGCAAGACCCTATCAAGACCTTGTCTCAAAAAAATAGGTGAATAAATAAGATTAAAGAACTGTAAAAACCTAAGAATAAACATGCAAATGTGTGTTTTGTAAAATTGTTTTCAACTGACACATAATAATTGTACATATTTATGGGTACAGTGTGATATTTCCATTGCATGTATACAATGTGTAGTGATCAAATCAGATAATTAGCTTATCTATTGCCTCATTTATCATTTATTTGTGCTGAGAACATTCAAAATCTGCTCGTTTAGCTATTTGAAACATACTATAAATTGTTAATTATAGTCACCCTGCAGTGCTATGGAACACTAGACTCATTCCTCCTAACTAGCTGTACTTTTGTATTTGTTTTTTATTTATTTTTATTTATTTATTTATTTATTTATTTATTTATTTATTTATTTATTTGAGACAGAGTCTTGCTCTGTCATCAGGCTGGAGTGCAGTGGCACCATCTCGGCTCACTGCAACCTCTACCTCCCAGGTTCAAGCGATTCTCCTGTCTCAGCCTCCCAAGTAGCTGGGACTACAGGTGTGCGCCACCATGCCCAGCTAATTTTTGTATATTTATGTATTTTTAGTACAGATGGGGTTTCACCACGTTGGCCAGGATGGTCTCATTCTCTTGACCTCGTGATCTGCCCGCCTCGGCCTCCCAAAGTGCTGGGATTACAGGCGTGAGCCACTGTGCCTGGCCGACTACTTTTGTATTTTTTAATCAACCTTTGGCTATGCCCCCTTCTCCTGACACTTCTCAGCCACTACTAGCCACTATTTTACTCTCTACTTTTATAAGATCAACTTTTTAAGCCTCCACATATGAGTGAGAACATACAGTATTTATCTTTCTGTGCCTGACTTATTTCTCTTAATAACCTCCAAGGTTGTCCATGTTGCTGGTATGACATAACTTTATTCCTTTTTTTTTTTTTTAAGACGGAGTTTCACTCTTGTTGCCCAGGCTGTAGTGCAATGATGCGATGTCGGCTCATGGCAACCTCCACCTCCTGGCAACCTCAGCCTCCCAGGTTCAAGCAATTCTCCTGCCTCAGCCTCCCTAGTAGCTGAGATTACAGGCATGAGCCACCATGCCTGGCTAATTTTGTATTTTTGGTAGACATGGGGTTTCTCCATGTTGGTCAGGCTGGTCTTGAACTCCTGACCTCAGGTGATCCACATGCCTCGGCCTCCCAAAGTGCTGGGATTACAGGCATGAGCCACCGTGCCCAGCCCAGAACTTTATTCCTTTTTTGTGGCTAAATAGTATTCCATTATGTGTATATACACTGCATGTTCTTTATCCATTCACTTGTTGATGGAGAATTTTATGCTGGAGAATGTTCCATGTACTGATGAAAAGAAAATGTAATCTTCAGCTATTAGATGAAAGATTCTATAAATGTCTGTTAGGTCCATTTGATATAAAGAACAGTTTAAACCTAATGTTTCCTTGTTGTTTTCTGTCTAAATGACTTCTCCAGTGCCACGAGTGGGGTGTTGAAGTCCCCAGCTGTTATTGTATTGGAGTCCATCTCTCCCTTTAGATCTAATAATACTTGCTATTTATGTATCTGAGTGCTTTGGTGTTGGGTGCATGTATATTTATTATATCCTCTTGCTGAATTGATCCTTTTATTATAACATAATGACCTTTTCTCTTTTTACAATTTTTGCTTTACAGAGTCTGTTTTATCTGATATAAATACAGCTAATCCTGCTTGCTTTTGGTTTTTGTTTGCATGGAATATCTTTTTCTATCCCTTCACTTTCAGTCTATATGTGTCTTTAATGGGTGTAGTGAATTTCTCGTTGGTAGCATATAGTTTTGTCATTAAAAAAAATCCTTTCAGCCAGTCTATATCTTTTTAGTGGGAGAATTTAACCTGTTTTAATTCAAGGTTATTATTAATATGCAAGGACTTATTCCTGTCATTTCATTGACTGTTTTCTGGTTGTTTTATATATCCTTTGTGCCTTTCTTCTTTGCTTATTGTTTGTTATTTTGGTTTGGTGTATTTCTGTAGTAACAGGTTTTTATTCTTTTCTTTTCTTTTTTTTTGAGACAGGGTCTCACTGTGTTGCCCAGGCTGAGTACAGTGGCATGCCCATGGCTCACTGCAGCCTCAACTTCTCAGGCTCAAGCAAATCTCCTGTCTCAGCCTCCTGGGTAGTTGGGGCCACAGGCATGCACTGCCACACCTGGCTAATTTTGTTTTTGTAGAGATGGGATTTCACCATGTTGTCCAGGCTGCTCTCAAACTACTGGGCTCAAGCAATTTGCCTTCCTCGGCCTCCCAGAGTGCTGGTACTACAGGCATGAATCACCCTGCCCAACCAAGTTTTTATTATTTCGTCTTTCTTGTTTGTGTACCTGGTCTACCAGTGAGTTTTATACTTTTGCATGTTTTCACGATAGTGACGATTATCTTTTCTCTTCCAGATGTAGGACTCCCTCAATCATTTCTTATAAAGCTGTTCTAGTGGTAATGAATTTCCTCAGTTTTTGCTTGCCTGCAAAAGACTTTATTTCTCTCTCATTCCTGAAGGATAGCTTTGCTGGATATAGTATTGTTGGTTGACAAGTTTTTTTTTTTCTTTCAGCACTTTAAATATATCATCCTGTTCTCTGGGTCTAGCCTGTAAGATTTCTGCAGAGAAATCTGCTGTTAGTCTAGTGGGGATTCCCTCATATGTGACTTGATGCTTTTCTCTTGATGTTTTTGTTTTTATATATTTATTTATTTATTTATTCTTTTGATACAGGGTTTCACTCTGTCACCCAGGCTGGAGTTTAGTGACGCGATCTCAGCTCACTGCAGCCTCGACCTCCCAGGCTTAGGTGATCCTCTGACCTCAGCCTCCTGAGTAGCTGGGATTACAGGCACATGCCACCACGCCTGGCTAATTGTGTGTGTGTGTGTGTCTATATATATATATATTTTGTTTGTTTGTTTGTTTGTTTTTTGTTTTTTGTTTTTTGGTAGAGATGAGGATTCACCATGTTGCCCAGGCTGGTCTTGGACTTCTGGGCTCATGTGATCCACCTGCCTTGGCCTCCCAAAGTGTTAGGATTACAGGCATGAGCCACCATGCCCACCCTCTTGATGTTTTTAGAATTCTCTCTGCCTTTAACTTTTGACATTTTGACTATAATTTGCCTTGGGGAGGACCTTTCTGGGTTGAATCTATTGGGAAACTTCAAGCTTCCTGGATCTGGATGTTTATATCTATTTCCAGATTTGGGAACTTCTCAGCTATTATTTCATTAAATAGGTTTTCTATGTCTTTTCTCTTCTCTTTTTCTTTGGAATACCCATAATGCAAACTCTGTGTGTGTGTGTGTGTGTGTGTGTGTGTGTGTGTGTGTGTGCGCTTAATAGTGTCCCATGTCTTACAGGTTTTTAAATATTTTTCATTCTTCTTTTTTTTTCCTCTGACTAGGTAATTTCAAATGACCTGTCTTCATATTCAGAAATTCTTTCTTCTGCTTGATCAGGTCTGCTGTTGAAGCTCTCTATTGTGTTTTTATTTTATTCATTGAATTCATCAGTTGCTGGATTTCTGTTCAGTTGGTTTTTTTTTCTATGATTTCTATCACTTTCTTGAATTTCTTGTTCATATTCTGAATTGTTTTCCTGATTTTGGTGGATTGTGTATCTGTATTTTCTTGTATACTGTTGAGTTTCCTTCAGGTCATTATTTTGAATTCCTTTTCTAGCAATTTGTTGATTTTCTTTTCATTTGGGTCTGCTACTAGAGAGTTATTAGATCCCTTTGGTTGTGTCATATTTCCTTGCTTTTTCATGTTTCTCATGCCCTTGCATTGATGTCTGTGCATCTGGTGGAAAAACCACCTCCTCCAAATTTTGAGAGTGCCTTGCATAGAGAAAGACTTTCACATGTAGTTGGGTTGGTTTTAATGTGCTGGTTAAAAAGGATGTGGTGACTCTGTTTCCAGATAAGTGCAGTGATATAGTCCCTACTCAGCTTCTTCAGCTGTGTTGAATATCAGCAGTAACTGTAGGTGCCTCAGTTGTCTAGGCTGTAGAAGTTTGTGGTAGCAGTGGTGCCAGCATAGATGGTTAATGTCCTTGGTATCAAAGGACATTTGGTTTTGATACAATAAATTTTGACATTAGGTTTTGGGATCCTCCTATTCCTGTTTTCCCCACAATAGGGGACTTAGGTCAGGGCATCTCTCTTGATATCAGTCTGACATGGCCTATAAGCAGCTCCAGTGATGCTGGGTTCCAGATGTAGGTGCTTGCAGCAGCTATGGATCCAGGGTCCTAGGCTCAGGGTCTCACAAGCCTATTATGGCACCTGGGTTTTGGGGTCTAGGTTCATTCTTTGCGGCAGGGTTGGATGTTGGTTGCCCATAGATCTGTGACTCTGAGACACTCCCTAGCAGCTCAGGCCTGGGGGTCTGGGTTGTAGCTGTGATTCTACCCCTCGGGGACAGGGCACAGCACCGGCCCAACTCTGGGGAAGAAGGGTTGTCCTGGGGGTTTGGGCCTCAGGATCAGGGCATGACTGCAATTTGGTAACCTCAGCCAGTAGGGCTCAGTGGCAACTTGGGTCCCGGGGGATGAGGCAGGCACCAGGTGGTAGTGACACTAGACTCTGGGATGGTGAGGCTTGGCAGTACCCCACACTCTGGGAGGCCAGGTGCAGTGATGGCAAGGACCCCAGATGGTGGTATAAGGTTGTCATTTGGGCCCTTGAGGGGTAGGGAATAACACAGCAATGCCTCCACTTCCCAGGTAGAGGGCTGTCTCAGCCCCTGAGACTCTAGAGTGCTAGTCCAGCTCCAGGGAAGCAGGTACTAAAGTTGTTTGGCCTGTAGGGTAGGTGTCTCCGCTCAGCCACTGCTGTTTCCCTGGAATGTGGGGTACCATCTCAGCTCAGCTCTGGGATGTGAAGCTGTTCAGCTTGGCCAGGGCACTGATTCCTCAGGAAGCAATGTGCTGTTTCACCTCAGGCCTGAGGGGTGTGACTGTTCTGGGCAGCCCAGGCACGGTTTCCTGGGATATAGGGCACTGCTTCAGCTCAGGCCTGGGGTGCGTGACTGCTCTGGGCAGCCCAGGCACTGTTTCCTGGGATGTAGGGCACTGCTTCAGCTCCTGCCCAAAGGGGTAGAGGGAGGGGTAGGCAGAGTGGCTTCACGTCCACCTGGCCCCACCGGGAAGGCTATAACAGCTGCACCAGTTCTGCTTGGGGATGTTGGGCCATTGGGCTGGGGTGGTTCCACAGGAGCCACCCTTATTGTTCCAGACCATGACACACTCCAGCCATGCTTCCAGTTCCAAGATGGCAGAGCACAGTAGCCACGTGGGCCACGGGGGTGGGCACTGTGTTGCTTCCTTCTCTGGGGGAGCACAGCCACGTAGACTCCAGGCAGCTCCCTCTGCTGAGCTTAGTGCCTGGGGGGACTACAGGGACCCCGGTGGTGAGGGCTGTGGGCGTCCATGGTGGTGGTGAGGGCTGTGGGCGTCCATGGTGGTGGTGGGGGCTGTGGGCGTCCATGGTGGTGGTGGGGGCTGTGGGCGTCCATGGTGGTGGTGGGGGCTGTGGGCGTCCATGGTGGTGGTGGGGGCTGTGGGCGTCCATGGTGGTGGTGGGGGCTGTGGGCGTCCATGGTGGTGGTGGGGGCTGTGGGCGTCCATGGTGGTGGTGGGGGCTGTGGGCGTCCATGGTGGTGGTGGGGGCTGTGGGCGTCCATGGTGGTGGTGGGGGCTGTGGGCGTCCATGGTGGTGGTGGGGGCTGTGGGCGTCCATGGTGGTGGTGGGGGCTGTGGGCGTCCATGGTGGTGGTGGGGGCTGTGGGCGTCCATGGTGGTGGTGGGGGCTGTGGGCGTCCATGGTGGTGGTGGGGGCTGTGGGCGTCCATGGTGGTGGTGGGGGCTGTGGGCGTCCATGGTGGTGGTGGGGGCTGTGGGCGTCCATGGTGGTGGTGGGGGCTGTGGGCGTCCATGGTGGTGGTGGGGGCTGTGGGCGTCCATGGTGGTGGTGGGGGCTGTGGGCGTCCATGGTGGTGGTGGGGGCTGTGGGCGTCCATGGTGGTGGTGGGGGCTGTGGGCGTCCATGGTGGTGGTGGGGGCTGTGGGCGTCCGTGGTGGTGGTGGGGGCTGTGGGCGTCCGTGGTGGTGGTGGGGGCTGTGGGCGTCCATGGTGGTGGTGGGGGCTGCTGGGGTCCTCTTGCTTTCCTCCTCACCCCAGGGAGAAACTTCTCGTGGGTCCCAGCTGGTCCCAGTTGGGGCATGGGGTGGTGGAGGCCCAGCATTTCCTTCCCGATGTGGCCATCCTGAGTTTCTGTGCTCACCAGCATTTCTGTGACTCCTCTGATGCACTCCACCGCTCTCTCTCTGTTACTTTCATTCCAGTGCTGTTGTGTGTTCATTGTTCTGGCTGTCTCCACGAGGGGCCGAGCACAAGGGGCTTCTAGTCAGCCATCTTGCTGACCCATGTATATGTGTTTTGTATGGTTGAAAGAAGGCCATGATCAAAGTGTGATTTCACAAATAACATGGTTTAATTGCCATACAAAGAGACTCCTTTTTTCACAATGCTCAAAGATGGGGAGGATCATGAGAACAAATATCTCAGGGAATACACTCAACAGATGAGGTACGTTTTGTCTAGGGTTCAGTTATTAAAGTCCAGTTGCTCTAGGGTGGAAGCAGGCTGCTGGGGACGTAGAGTCTAACTGAAGTTTGAGGTGCACCTTTCTATGAGAAGTTATTGGGAGAGACAGTTTGACCAGCACAGCAGAGATCTGGGGCGACGCACCAGGTCCCTCAACACTAGCGAGTGGTGTTGCTTGTGGACGAGGCTTCAAAGAACAGATCAGAGGCTGACAGAGTAGCCCAGCCACAGCCTGAGCTGTCAATGTGTCTGTTGAAATTACGGATGTATATGTGTTTTGGGGTCCAGTACTCACATACGTGGTCTGATAAGGTGTGATGTAAGATCTTCCTGGGCTTGGGCTTATTCTCCATTTTCTCATCACAGCAAAGCATGTGCCACTCATGTAGCACACGAAGTGTTTGGAATCATGTCACAGCTGCATGGCCAAGTGGCCTGCAGGGTCCATCCCTCCATGGATGTCAAGCCCCACAGTAAACCCAAAAACCTATGTATTTAAGTTTTTTGGGATTACTGCTTCATGATGACAAAATAAGCAGCACGAGCTCCGGTTTTCCCATTTTCCTGGGCGATTTCATAGCTAATGTATTTCTTCACCTAGCCTTTCTTCTAAGTTTCTTTGAAATCCGGTGTTCAGAGTGAAAGCTTGTAAACAGTTATGATGAAGCCTTTTTGAAAACAGCTTTGCATTTCTTTCCCACCTGGGCCAAGGCTTGGCTCAGATGTATAACTGGCAATTTTTACTCCTCATAACAGTACCCTGGGTAGATCAATTGATTGACCTTGATGTTTAACTCAGCCAGGTTGTACCGGAGGCTCTGTTCTCACTCCTTCCCTTACTGACTGCACAAGTTTGCCATTTAAAAATGCAGCTGTGTCTATTTCACTCCTCACCACATTGTCCCCAGTCATCATTTCTCTCACTAATTGGCATTATATTCCTGTTTGACTCTGCAGCACCGTTCATGAACTATTTAATCTCTGTCGAGTCATGATGATACATTCGGGAGGGAAACATTTGAGCCGGATGTGCCCTGTGGGACTAAGAAGAAGGAATGTGTTCTATTTGTGCAATCCATCAGCAATTGATCATGGACTGTTTTTGTCTTCTACTGTCTTGAATTCTCATTTCATCTTTCCTTGTTAGACTCATTAGTGAACCAGAATACACACATTCACTCTGAATTCACTCAAAAGGGACCTCACAGATGTGGCTGAGGGTCTTGAGGTGGGGAGATGATTCTGGATTCTTCATGTGTATCCAATATAATTGCGTGGGTGCTTATGAGAGGGAGGCAGGAGTGTCTGTGTCGGGAGAAAGTCATGTGAATATAGAAGCAGAGGTTGGAGTGATGTGGGGTGGCCTCTGGGAGCTGGAAGAGGCAAGAAATGGACTCTCCCTTAGACCAGTGGTCCCAGCCTTTTTGGCACCAGGAACTGGTTTTGTGGAAGACTGTTCTTCCATGGGTGGGGGTGGGGATGGTTTTGGGATGATTCAAGTGCATTACATTTATTGTGTACTTTATTTCTATTATTATATTGTCGTATATAATGAAATAATTATACAACTCACCACAATGCAGTGGGAGCCCTGAGCTTGTTTCCCTGCAGCTAGATGGTCCTATCTGGGAGTGATGGGAGCAGTGACAGATCACCAGGCATTAGATTCTCCTAAGGAGCTCACAACCTAGATCCCTCTCATGCGCACTTCACAGTAGGGTTCATGTTCCTGTGATCATCTTTTTTTTAAAATTTTTTTGAGATGGAATCTCGCTCTGTTGCCCAGGCTGGAGTGCAGTGGTGCGATCTCGGCTCATTGCAACCTCCACCTTCTGGGGTTCCAGCAATTCTCCTGCCTCAGCCTCCCAAGTAGGTGGGATTACAGGCATGTGCCACCACACCCGGCTAATTTTTGTCTTTTTAGTAGAGATGGGGTTTCACCATGTTGGCCAGGCTGGTCTTGAATTCCTGACCTCAGGTGATCCACCTGCCTTGGCCTCTCAAAGTGCTGGGATTACAGGTGTGAGCCACCATGCCCGGCCTCCTGTGATAATCTAATGCCGCTGATCCGACAGGAGGCAGAGCTCAGACGGTGATGTGATTGACAGGGAGCAGCTGTAAATTCAGATGAAGCTTCACCTGCTGACCGCTCACCTGCTTCGCAGTCTGGTTCCTAACAGGCCTGGTACCCATCTGTGGCCCGGGGGTTGGGCACCCCTGCCCTAGAGCTTCTAGACGGAACCAGTCCTGCCAGCGCCTGGGTTTCAACTCCTCGAAGACTCACTGTGGACTTCTGACCTTCAGAATGGGAAGGAAGTAAAGCTGTGTCGTTTTCAACGGTTACAGCAGCAATAGGAAATTAGTGTGTATGGCAACTCCATGCTGAAGCTTCTGAGGCACTGCCAAACTGTTTTCCAGGTGGCTGCTACATGTTACATCCCCACCACCACTTGGTGTGGGCAGTCCTTTTGTGTACAGCCATTCCAGTGACTGTGTGTCTCACTGTGGTTTGAGTTTGTATTTCTCTAATGACTGATGATGTTGAGGATCTTGCCCTATGGTCATTAGCCATCCAGATATATTCTGTGGCGAAGTGTCTATTAAAATCTTTTACCCATTTAAGAGTTATGGACTTTCGGCTGGGAGAGGTGGCTCACACCTATAATCCCAGCACTTTGGGAGGCTGAGGCGGGCAGATCACCTGAGATCAGAAGTTCAAGACCAGCCTGGGCAACATGGCAAAACCCTGTCTCTACTAAAAATACAAAAAATTATCCAGGTGGCGCACGCCTATAATCCCAGCTACTCGAGAGGCTGAGGCAGGAGAATTGCTTGAACCTGGGAGGTGGAGGTTGCGGTGAGCTGAAATCACACCACTGCACTCCAGCCTGGGCAACAGAGTGAGACTCCGTCTCCAAAACAAACAAACAACAACAAAAAAGTTATGGACTTTTCATATGTCCTGATATGCTGATTACACGATATGCTGATTACCTGATATGCTGATTTTTTTCTTAAAGGTAACTATTACCCTGACTTTTATCATGGTAAGTTGGTTTTGCCTGTTTTTATATTTTATGTAAATGGAATTATATAGTATGCATGCTTCTAAATCTGTTGTCTTTTACTTATGTTTGTGAGATTTTCCCAAATCATGGTATATTATGAAAAAAGTAAAGAACTTTAGGCTGAGGAATGTTATGAGAAAAGTAAAGAACTTTAGGCTGAGGAATGTTATGAGAAAAGTAAAGAACTTTAGGCTGAGGGATGCAAGTCCTTTTAATGATCAGGCCCAGAGAGACCGTAGAATGAGGGGCAGCCACATGCTCCTCCCTGCTTCGAGCTGTGTACTCGTCTCTTCAAACTGTGGGCTGTTGCCACAAGTAGCTGTAAATTAACCTAGTAACGCCACACTGGACACTGTGACCCATACCCTACCTTGTAACAAGGTACAGCCAATCACTAATCAATGTTATTTCTGTAGACTAATGAGAATTCTTTTTTCCTTTTGTTTGAGATGGAGTCTTGCTCTGTCGCCAGGCTGGAGTGCAGTGGTGTGATCTTGGCCCACTGCAACCTCCACCTCCCAGGTTCAAGCAATTCTCCTGCCTCAGCCTCCCAAGTAGCTGGGATTATAGGCATGCGCCACCAGGCCCAGCTAATTTTTTGTAGAGGCAGGATTTCGCCATGTTGCCCAGGCTTGTCTCGAACTCCGGAGCTCAGGTGATCCACCCGCCTCGGCCTCCCAAAGTGTTGGGATTACAGGCATGAGCCACCACGCCTGGCCAGATAATTCTTGACATAACTTTTATCAGCCCACTCCTTGTTTCCTTTTGCCTTTAAAAATCCACTTGTAACGGTTGCTAATCAGAGTGTATATTCGGGAAACTTGAATGTGTGCTCTTGGGCCACAATCCTCACGTTTGGCCCAAATAAACTCTCTACTTGTATTAATTTTGCCTCAGTTTCTTCCTTTTGGGTCAACAGTTATTTCTAGTTTGTTCATTCTCACTGCTGAATAATGGCCCATTATGATAGTACCATCGTCTATTTAGTAGTCTGTGGGCATTTGAGTAATTTTACTTTAGGGCAGTTGTAAATAGCGCTGCTGTGAGCATGTGTGTGCATGTCTTTTTTTTTTTTTTTTAAGATGGAGTTTTGCTCTTGCTGCCCAGGCTGGAGTGCAGTGGCGCGATCTTGGCTCATTTCAGCCTCCACCTCCTGGGTTCAAGCGAGTCTCCTGCCTCTGCCTCCCAAGTAGCTGGGATTACAGGCGCCTGCCACTATGCCTGGATAATTTTTTTTGGTATTTTTTGTATTTTTGTATTTTTAGTAGAAACAGAGTTTCACCATGTTGGCCAGGCTGGTCTTGAACTCCTGACCTCAGGTGATTCGCCCGCCTCGGCCTCTCAAAGTGCTGGGATGACAGGCGTGAGCCGCCGTGCCCGGCCATGTGCATGTCTTTTGGTGCACGATTCACATGTTTTTGTGCTGGTATATACCACAGGTGGGACTGATGGGTTGGAGGGTGGGCGTACGTCCTGCTTGAGGAGATACGGCCACGCTTTTCCATGGAGGTGTGCCTGTTCGGACCAGACTGTTTTGCCATTGGGCATTTTCACACGTGGGGGCCACACCCAGGGACCCTATTGCTAATCAGCGTGGCCAACGTTGTCACCTTTAGGCTAGTGAAATGAGAAAGGATGGAGGAAGAGGTGAGTGTCAAGATTGGAAACCAGGACCAGGGAAGGGGCCAGGGAGGGACACCAGGGGCAGGGAGTGGTGACCACGGGACAAGTGAGCCAACGTGTTTAGTGCTAGCTCTGTGGCCTACACCATTGCAAAAGCATTCGGCGTCTCTGTTGAGGGGGGGATTTAACTTAGGCACACGTGTAATCACTTACGTGTGTGTGGACACCCTGGTGACTTGTAGAATTGGTGTGAGGCCATGCAGTATTTACTGCTGTTGCCAAGTTACATCTGTGTGGGGGGGTTGAACAAACATGAAAGAACCATGTTGGAAAGGTGGCATCTAACTGCCCTTGTTACTCAGGGACATCCTTTCCCACACCCGAGGTGCTTTTCCATGTCAGAGGCAGAAACGAAGTGGGAAAGGGTTTTCTTTCCCTAAGACATCAAGCCCAACTCCGTCATGATTTCCTTCCACAAGGAACAGGCGGTCTTGGCAACCAAGTTCCCGATTCACTGACCTGCTCTGCATCCAACCTCCGCTTTTCTGAACCTCAAAGTGTTTACATGTGAAGACAGCCCGATTCTTCAAGAGTCCCAGCGCAGTGTTTTCCCTACACGAGAAGTGTTAAGCTCAGGTGCCGCCAGGGGCCAGGCCTGTATGTGAGGATGCTGCAGAGGTGGAGGTGGTGAGAGTCAGGGTGGGTGCACCGGTCGCACCCTGCAGGAGCACGAGCTGGGGATGCCTGATGAGAAGCTCAGAGTATGGATTTTTATGTGAAATCCCCCATTAAGAAAAAAGTTGGAGTCCGGGTGTGGTGGCTCACGCCTGTAATCCCAGCACTTTGGGAGGCTGAGGTGGGTGGATCATGAGGTCAGGAGATCAAGACCATCCTGGCTAACAGGGTGGAACCCCGTCTCTACTAAAAATAGAAAAAAATTAGCCAGGCGTGGTGGCGGGCGCCTGTAGTCCCAGCTACTCGGGAGGCTGAGACAGGAGAATGGCATGAACCTGGGAGATGGAGCTTGCAGTGAGCAGAGATCACGCCACTGCACTCCAGCCTGGGTGACAGAGTGAGACTCCATCTCAAAAAAAAAAAAAAAAAGTTGGAATAGCAGCCCAAAGAAAACACACCTTCCTGCTAGGCCACCACTTTGCAATCTGTGTTTTAAATATTTTAAAACGTGATTTGAACCAGCAGAATTGTGTTTAAAGCACCCAGCTCTGGCAAGGAGACCACGGAGAGCTCAGCACTTAGACCAGGAAAAGCCCCACAGCCCCCTCCGATGGTCCAGTCTGCGTGCAGGGAGCAGGCACTCTTTGTAGGAATGACTTCCATGGGGAAGGGACTATTCCACTCACCCTCACAGTGGAGGCTTCACTGGCTTTCCCCAGGCACAGGCAGCTGTGTGCAGCTTCTGTGTAAAGCCTCTGTATGCAGCCTCTGTGTGCAGCTTCTGTGAGAAGTCTTTGTGTGCAGCCTCTCTGTGCAGCTTCCATTGTACAGCCTCTCCTTGCAGCCCGTGTGCAGCCTCTGTGCACGGGCCCCCTTGTGTGCACGGCCTTTTTACAGGATCCTTTCTGTCCTGCTCTGTCCTGTTCTGCCTCACCTACTGTCATTGTCAAAGGGTTTCAGCGGGTGCCCTCTCCTCACTTCCCAGTCCTGGGATCAGAAGCCTCAAAGGGGTGTGTCTGCTGCAGGGCGGGCAGGTCAGTGGGCCCCTGGTCTCTCCCGGGGATGCAGGACCATAAGGTAGGCGTGTGTGTTTTTGGGCTGTGGTGTCTCAGCTGGGGACTGTCTTCTGTGGCCTGTGACCCTGGGACATGGTCTCTGCAAACCCCTCTTGGACCCTACCTTGGGGGTCATAGGGGGAGGCAGTGAGACTGGAGGACTGTGGAGGCCAAAGCAACTCCATGTTGGACATGAGTCCGCCATGTTGGCTTCTGATTAACCCCTGTTCCGAGAAGGCCTCTAACATTCCCAGTTTATTGATTGTTTCTTGTGTGACAGCAGGCACTTACTCTAAATCCTGCCACTGGATCAAACAGTCTTAAGGTTACCATCCCTCAGTTGTCCCTTCTGAGTCACCCCTCCCTATGGTCCATGAGCCCTGGGTCTGGGAGTGATGGGGCAGGGATCTACCATCTCATCTCGCTGTCGTCTGAGACACAGAGCTGGCTTCTGTTTGTAAGTCACTATTAGATGTTTCTTTTTAAGGAACTGAACATGTCGGCCTCTTTCTTCAGCCTCTCAGCTTCCTCGGACTCTGGGGTTGACTTGCACACACCTGCCCGCTGCAGAACGACAGAGGACTGGTGGCCTCCAGTTTGCTTCCTGCTCCTCTGAGTGCCACCCCCCAGCAGCCACACTTCTACCAACAGCGCAGGCAGCTGGGACCCAGGAGATTCTCCAAGTGTGGAGGTGTGCGTGGGGGGGCATGGTATTGCAGAGTGAGAGGCCCCTGGAAGACACATGAGGGGGGGCTGCATTGGCTGCCTGGTGTGAGCCCGGCAGGAGGCAGGAGGGAGGGGATATTCCATGAGGCTCAAGGGGCGTCAGAGCAGCGAGGACCTGGACTCACCCCTGGGGAGGGCCAGGGAGGGAGGGAGACCCAGAACGAGCTGGAGGCTGAGTGTGCAGGCAGAGAGGGCCTGGCTGAGCCCCCCAGGCTCAAGTGAGAGTCATTCTGTGCCCCAAGAGTGGCAGAGGGAGGCCAAGTGATCCTCCGGAGGGAAAGAACCCCGGGGAGAGGGGCAGAGGTGACCTCGCAGAGCCCCCACCCCAATGGACGATGGAGGCTCGGTGGACATGGGCAGGCGTGTAACAGCCAGCTCTTCAGGTAAACTAAAGAAAGCAGCCTGCATGTGTGGCATTTGCCAATTTCTGTGGTGTAAACACTGCCCGGGGCTGACCTCCCACTGCAATCTGACGCCACTGAGCGTGGAGCTGGGGGAGATGCTGGTGGTCTCTACCACATGGCGTTGCTACCACAGACTCAACAGCTAACTGCAACAGTAGTAAAATAACCGGGAGCTGAGGGCTTGCAACTATTCCTGTTGCTTTAATAGAATTTACTTCATGGTAAGTTTATCTGATGCAATTCTGATAATGGCAGCATTGAACGCCCGGCTCGTGCATTCCCGGAGCTCTAATGACCGGCTCTGCAAGCTCACGGGCCAACTCCAGCACACCCCACGGAGGCTCCTTGCACGATGATGTCCTTTCCTGTCCTGGATGGGCAGGTGACGTCAGGGATCTGGTGGCCTCCTGTCCCCCTCCCCGCCTCCGCAGCACGTCATAGACCCTGGGATTCAGCTGCTGTGCCTGGGGGAGCTGATATCCGGTGTGTTTCACGGGGGCAGGTGGAGATGAAAGCCGTTGGTGGAATCGTGAAGGCGGTGCTGCTTCCCATGCACCTGAGCTGGAGGAGACTCACAAGGGCCTGAGCTGCGAGTCTTGGGTCCAACTCACCTCAGGCCTTTAGTGACACAAGTTGGTTCTCCCTCCTCAGCGGGGTCAGATGCGTCACTGCACCTCCCAGGCGTATGGGGACTCTCTTTAGAGAAGCCTCTGCGGACATTTCTTCCTTGACAACAGCCAAAGCTCTAGGAATCCTGGAGTCCAGCATCACCCTGAAAAGTGAGGGAAATGACCCCAAACGGGGCCTAGCTAGGCTGTGAGAGGACAACCAGGAGGGTCCCAGGCACCTGCCCTCCCCTCCCCTCTCCAACCCCGGAGAGGAGGCTTGGCGTTCCCCTCTTTTCCCCTCTTTTCGCAGGACTCTTCTCCTGCCCATTCTTGGGCGCCCCCCTACCCCACCATGCGAACAGCCCAGACTCAGCCCTTATAAAAGGGCTGGAAGCAACCTTAAAGTTAAAGTGAAAATGTTTTCACCCAGCACTTCCTTCCAGAAATTCATCCAAGAAAAGCAATCAGAGGTGTGTGTGAAGATTTATATTGTAACAGCATTGTTTGTAATGGTGGAAAACATTGGAGACAATCTAGACGTTTAAAATAGAGGATGCATTATATGAGTTATTGTACATCATTCTCATCGCATATCAAACAGACATTAAAAATAATGCTGTAATGTGGGCAAGGATGTCTGAACAAAGATATTCATTACAGTGTGATTTGTAACAAAAGACTAAGATAAATGTCTGTTGATAGCGAATAGCTTAAATAAATTATGAGGCCCCTATACAGTAGCACAGGCTGAAGCCATTAAAAATAATGAGGGTTCTGTAAGGTCCCAACTTGGAAGAATCATGCTATATAAAAAAGTGTGCTACCATTTTTCTGTATGTGTGCATGTGTGTGTGTGTGCATATATGTGCATATGCATGTCTGTATGTTTGCATGTGTGTGCACTTGTTCCTGTATGGACTATCTTTGAGTTTTTTATTTTTATTTTTTGAGACAGAGTCTAGCTCTGTCTCCCAGGCTGGAGTGCAGTGGTACGATCATGACTCACTGCAGCCTTGACCTCCTGGGCTCAAGCGATCCTCCTACCTTGGCCTTCCAAGACGCAGGGATTACAGGCACACGCCACCCTGCCCAGCAGAGACTATCTTTGGAAAGACCTTTTAGAGCAGGTGACCACGGCTGCCTTTGAGGGCTAACACAGAGACATTGTGGCCAAAATAACAAAGAAGAAACTTCTTTTCCTCCCCACTGTGTATTTTATACTCTACACTTTTAAACCACAGACATGTCTTATTTTGGGGACATAAAAGCAAAAAACTAAAACACCAAAAAGACCCTAGAGCTCAGTGCACACAGACGTTGTCCTGGGGTGAAAGCACTTTGGCCAGGGTGGGAAAAGGCCAGCCGTACCAGCCCCAGCGTCCTCTTTTGTAAAACATCCAATTTCAGCTGGGAAATAAAGTTTTAGGGTTACAGCTCTTCATCTCTGATTCTGCAACCTCAACACCCACCGTTTCCTATGTTTTAAAATAAACTTTTCCAGTTTAGCATGGCTTTAGGTTTTCTGAGAAGGTGTGAAGACTGTACAGAGTCCTCCCAGCTCCTGTCCCGTTTCCCTGTCACTAACCTCTTTCATTACCACGGTACATTCGTCACAGTTAATGAGTTCGCACGGATGCATCACTCTTAACCCATGTCCACGCTTCAGTCACACTTTATTCGTTGCTCCAACGGCCTTTTACTCTCCCAGGCTCCCACCCGGGATCCCAGGTGACATTCAGTCATCGTGTCTCCTTGGGTTGCTCTTGGCTGTGACCGTTTCCCAGGCTTTCCTTGCTTTATTGACCTTGACAGTTGTGAGGAGGACTGGCCAGGTGTTCCGTGCATGGTCGCTTTGTTGGGATTTGTCCAGTGCTTTGCTCCTGATTAGCCTGGGGTGTACAGAGGTAAGGTGGCTGTCTCTCACGGCATATTGAGGGCCCCTGTTATGCATCGGACATCATGGCTGACGTTGACCTTGATTCCTGGCTGAGCCTGGTTGCCAGGTTTCTCCACTGTAAAGTGACTTCTCCTTTTTCCATTCTGTGCTCCTTGGAGTCGCCATGCAGAGCCTCGATCTCTGTCTCCAGTGAAGATGGTGACAGTGGTCCCTGCTGGTGGTGCTGCCCAGAGGGAACGGTGCTGTCGGCCATCCTGGCTCTGTCCTTCCCAACGGCTGCACAATCAAGTCACAAGCCTGCGCTTTTGGACGCCTTTGGCTATTCAGCCTGGTTCTTTATCTGTGACATTCACCACATGTCCTGGGGATAGAGTTCCAGAAAGGATGGCCCATCCTTGTTTGTGTGTGAGGTGTGTAGAAGGAAAAATAAGGCTGAACATCATTATTTAGGCCTTTGGGGGAAATGTTTTGAGTCCTCTGTATGCAAGAATCAAGATGTATAATTCAGCAGCTGAAATCTCAGTCTTACTTTCATGTCTGGAAATGAATTATAATATACATGCAAATTAAGGAAGGTGACTTTTTTTATCCCTGTTCTGTTTCTCTACAGGATAATTTCTACCATGTTCAGCTGAGGGTGCAGAGTCACATCACTTTTTTCCTTTCTCTGAAGTTCATATTTTATTTGAATTCTACTGGGCGTTTATCACCCCTCTCCATTTAGAATGATGCTGTCAGAACCCACTGTCTTTCTACATCTGCACCTCATTCCTTATTTATATGAGATTCTCCAAAGGCAGATGTTATGGAGCAGAAAATTGGTTTTGGAGCAGACTTTCTCCATGAATTTTCAGGATGACCGTTGCATCAAATGCCCGTTAGTAGAAATGGAGTGTCTTAGGCTGTTCTCTGCTGCTATAACAGAATATCACAGACGGTAATTTGTAAAGACGAGACATTTCTTCTGCTTATGTTTCTGGAGGCTGGGAACTCCACGTGCATGACACTGGCCTCTGGTGTGGTCATCCTGTGGTGGAAGGGTGGAAAACGAGAGGGTGAGTGATTGCAGAGAGAAGAGACAGCACGAGGGGCTGGGCTCAATTCATAACAACCCACTCCCACCATAACTAACCCACTGTCACCATGACTCACCCATTCCTACCATAACTCACCCACTCCCATCATAACTCACCCACTTCCATCATAACTCACCCAATCCCACCATAACTAACCCTCTCCCACCATAACTCACCCAATCCCACTATAACTAACCCACTCTTACTATAACTAACCCACTCCCATTATACCTAATCCACTCCCATCATAACTAACCCACTCCTACCATAACTAACCCACTCCCACCATAACTCACCCAATCCCACCATAACTAACCCACTCCCACAATAACTAACCCACTCCCATCATAACTAACTTACTCTCACCATAACTTATCCACTATCACCATAACTTACCCACTATCACCATAACTAACCGATTCCTACCATAACAAACCCACTCTCACCATAACTAACCCACTCCCATCATAACTAACCCACTCTCACCATAATTCGCCCACTCCCATCATAACCGACTCCCACCATACTAACTCACTCCATCATAACTAGCCCACTCCCATCATAACTAACCCACTCCATCATAACTAACCCACTCCCACTATAACCCACTTTCACCATAACTAATCCACTCTCACCATAACTAACCCACTCCCACCATAACTAACCCACTCCATCATAACTAACCACTCCATCATAACTAACCCACTCCCACCATAACCCACTCTCACCATAACTAATCCACTCTCACCATAACTAACCCACTCCCACTATAACTAACTCACTGCCATCATAACTAACCCACTCCCACCATAACTAACCCACTCCATCATAACTAACCCACTCCATCATAACTAACCCACTCCATCATAACTAACCCACTCCCATCATAACTAACCCACTCTCACCATAACTAACCCACTCTCATAACTAACCCACTTCCATCATAACTAACCCACTCCCACCATAACTAATCCACTGTCACTATAACTAATTCACTGCCATCATAACTAACTCACTGCCATCATAACTAACCCACTCCCACCGTAACTAACCCACTCCTAGCATAACTCACCCACTCCCATCATAACTAACTCACTCTCACCATAACTAACCCACTCCCACCATAACAAACTCACTCTCACCATAACTAACCCACTCCCATAATAGCTAACCCACTCTCATCATAATTAACCCACTCCTACCATAACTAACCCACTACCATCATAACTAACCCGCTCCCACCATAACTAACCCACTCCCACCATAACTAACCTACTCCATCATAAGTAACCCACTCCCACAAGAACGACATCAATTCCTTTGTGAGGGTGCAGCCCCAGGACCTAATCACCTCTTAAAGGCTCCACCTCTTAACACCAAGAGGATGGCAAGTACATTTTCACATGAGTTTCAGAGGGGACAAACATTCAAACCGTAGCATGGAGATTTCCTGCGAGGAGATGTTTCCCTGCGCAGTCCAGGTGTTAATCCCAGCCGGTCCCTCTCCAGGGGCAGTCAGGGGACACACCCCCGGTGTCAGCAGTGTTTCTGTGGTGCCTGTTCCCTCCTGAGGCCTGGGGCAACAGGACCATGAGAGGGGTCTGGGGCAACTGACACAGCTCCGTGGGGTCCCCCGGATTGCTAGAGCCTCGAGGTCTGGAGTCCTCGTCCCTCGACCCTCCTGGACTCAGAGGCAGCGTCTGGTGCAGGTTGATGCATGGGCTTTAGAGTCTGGGAAACCTGGGATTGAGCCCCAGGTGTCCCTGGTGTCATGCAGATGCATCTGTGCCCCTGGAGGGTGAGTATGAAATGGGACAAGGCAACAGGAGACCTAGCCCAGTGGGGGGCACTTAATAGGCGGGAATACATGGCAGGTGTCCTCAGGAGAGATGCAGGGACCAGCACCAGCCTACCAGTGTGGGGCGCAGATGGACCCTCTGCTGCCACATGGCACATGACAACTCCAACCCTCCTGGTGTCTGACCCAGACCCCTGCCAGGGATGGAGGGTGGGCATGGCCTGGGCACTGCATAGGGGGAGGGTGGCAGCAGTCACAGCGCAGGAGGGGAGGCTGGGCAGGGCTGGAGCCCCAGGGCTCTAGTGTCCAAGGGTAGGAGATGGGCAGCCTGGGAGATGGGGAGGTGAGGAGGGGCAGTCGAGAGAGCTGAGGCTCTGAGCCCCCAGGGCATGCTCCACTGGACTTCGCTCACAAAGTTCAAATTCAAACATAAGGTTATTAAGGATTTCAAGATCCTTGCAGCCCGACTGCAGGGCCTTTGGGCGTGCAGGGATCCGCTGACCATCAGATGCATATGTGCCAGACTCGAGTGAAAGACACACCCAAGTCATGACGTGGTGATTCCCATTCTATAGAGCAGGAAACACGCACGCGTGATTCCCATTCTACAGAGCAGGAAACAGACGGGCGTGATTCTCATTCTACAGAGCAGTAAACGGACACATGTGATTCCCATTCTACAGAGCAGGAAATGGACACACGTGATTCCCATTCTACAGAGCAGGAAATGGACACACGTGATTCCCATTCTACAGAGCAGGAAACGGACACGCGTGATTCCCATTCTGCAGAACAGGAAACGGACACGCGTGATTCCCATTCTGCAGAGCAGGAAACGGACACACGTGATTCGCATTCTACAGAGCAGGAAACGGACACGCCATGATTCCCATTCTACAGAGCAGGTGACGGACACGCCATGATTCCCATTCTACAGAGCAGGAAACGGGCATTCTGTGATTCCCATTCTACAGAGCAGGAGAAAGACATGCCATGATTCCCATTCTACAGAGCAGGAAACAGACACGTGTGATTTCCATTCTGCAGAGCAGGAAACGGACGCGCGTGATTACCATTCTACAGAGCAGGAAACAGACACGGGTGATTCCCATTCTGCAGCGCAGGAAACAGATGTGCGTGAATTACCATTCTACAGAGCAGGAAACGGACACGCGTGATTCCCATTCTGCAGAGCAGGAAATGGACACGCGTGATCCCCATTCTACAGAGCAGGAAACGGACACACGTGATTCCCATTCTGCAGAGCAGGAAACGGACACGCGTGATTCCCATTCTGCAGAGCAGGAAACGGACATGCGTGATTCCCATTCTACAGAGCAGGAAACAGACACGCCGTGATTCCCAATCCGCAGAGCAGAAAACGGACACATGTGATTCACATTCTACTGAGCAGGAAACGGACACACGTGATTCCCATTCTACAGAGCAGGAAACGGACACACGTGATTCCCATTCTACAGAGCAGGAAACAGACACACGTGATTCCCATTCTACAGAGCAGGAAACAGACACGCATGATTTTCATTCTACAGAGCAGGAAACGGACACACGTGATTCACATTCTACAGAGCAGGAAACGGACACATGTGATTCCCATTCTACAGAGCAGGAAACGGACACACGTGATTCCCATTCTACAGAGCAGGAAACAGACACGCATGATTTTCATTCTACAGAGCAGGAAACGGACACGCGTGATTCCCATTCTACAGAGCAGGAAACGGACACACGTGATTCCCATTCTACAGAGCAGGAAACGGACACACGTGATTCCCATTCTACAGAGCAGGAAACGGACACGCGTGATTCACATTCTACAGAGCAGGAAATGGACACGCGTGATTCACATTCTACAGAGCAGGAAACGGACACACATGATTTTCATTCTACAGAGCAGGAAACGGACACGTGTGATTCACATTCTACAGAGCAGGAGACGGATACACCATGATTCCCACTCTACAGAGCGGGAGACGGACACGCTGTGATTCCCATTCTACAGAGCAGGAAACGGACACACATGATTCCCATTCTACAGAGCAGGAAACGGACACACATGATTCTCATTCTACAGAGCAGGAAACGGACACATGTGATTAACATTCTACAGAGCAGGAAACGGACATGGGTGATTCCCATTCTGAAGAGCAGCAAACAGACACGCCGTGATTCTGATTCTACAGAGCAGGAAACAGACACGCATGATTCCCATTCTACAGAGCAGGAAACGGACAGACGTGATTCCCATTCTACAGAGCAGGAAACGGGCACACGTGATTCCCATTCTACAAAGCAGGAAACAGACACGCATGATTCCCATTCTACAGAGCAGGAAACGGACACACGTGATTCCCATTCTACAGAGCAGGAAACGGACACACATGATTCCCATTCTACAGAGCAGGAAACGGACACACATGATTCTCATTCTACAGAGCAGGAAACGGACAGATGTGATTCCCATTCTACAGAGCAGGAAACGGGCACACGTGATTCCCATTCTACAGAGCAGGAAAGGGGCACACCGTGATTCCCATTCTATAGAGCAGGAATCGGACACATGTGATTCCCATTCTATAGAGCAGGGAACGGGCACGTGTGATTACCATTCTACAGAGCAGGAAACAGACACACTGTGATTCCCATTCTACAGAGCAGGAAACAGACACACGTGATTCCCATTCTACGGAGCAGGAAACGGGCACGCCATGATTCCCATTCTACAGAGCAGGAAACGGACACGCGTGATTCCCATTGTACAGAGCAGTAAACAGACACGCCATGATTCCCATTCTATAGAGCAGGAAACGGACACGCGTGATTCCTTCCCATTGTACAGAGCAGTAAACAGACACGCCATGATTCCCATTCTATAGAGCAGGAAACGGACACACGTGATTCCCATTTTCTACAGAGCAGGAAACAGAGACGCCGTGATTCTCAATCTACAGAGCAGGAATCAGACACGCATGATTCCCATTCTACAGAGCAGGAGACGGACACGCCGTGATTCCCATTGTGCAGAGCAGGAGACGGACACGCCGTGATTCCCATTGTGCAGAGCAGGAAACAGGCACAGAAGGCTGGGTGGCATCCCCAGGGTAGTCGGGAGGGAGATGGAGAGCCAGGCTCACACTCAGGTGTCTGGGTCTGCTAAGATTCCTGCTGGCCACACAGTGACCTCAGTTTCGTAGTCACCATCCTCGATGTGAGCCCCACAAGGAGGACGCTACCTGCCGTCCCAGCCTCCCGCTGCGGATGGGAGAGGTTTGATAAAGAAGGAACCGGTCTCAGAGTCCCAGCCTGTGGGCTCTGCGGAGGGGATTAGAAATGGTGCTTCCAGAGTGCCTGAAAGGAGGGAAGCAGCTGCCAGTGCCATCGTCATTATCTACGTTGAGGATGACACAACACCCTTAATGATGCTGAGTGGCTGTTTCCAGACTCAGGGGCTCCCCGCCTTGCTCAGCTGAGCACCTGTCCCGGCTGCAGCCCATCCTCAGCCCTCGGCAGAGCTGGGGCCTGGGCAGCTCGGCCGTCTCCTTCCAGAGGAGCTCAGATATCCTCAGGTGCTGAGGGTCAGCCCAGGTCCCAGTGTGTCCCAGCCCTGGGCGTGGGTCCCCCCACATGAGTGCTGGAGTCAGACAGCATCCCCGCGGGTGGGAGGAGCCCTTCCCGGGCAGGACTGTGCCCTGTTGCAGCTCCATTTGGAGGGAGACTTAACATGTTCTGACACGCAATAGGCTTTCTCTTCAACCCTTTCAAGACTTGGGCATTGATTTTTCTCGTCTGCAGGCTGAAGGACTGGGCTCTGGAGAGGAGATGTAGAAATCGAGGTGGCGGCCGCTGACCCATCGGTGCAGGAGAGAAGCTCTGGAGCCCATGGGTGGGACGAAGGTGGTGGGGACGCAGAGCTGCCCCCAGGCCTGGGCCCAGCTCACCTCCTAGCGCCAGGCACGGCCCCACCCAGAAATCCACAGACAAAGACAGGGCTCTCCAGGGGAACGTGCTCACCCTAAGGGTGGTCCCGCTGAAGACTGGCACAGACTTGGCTTCTGTCCCACACCAGGTCCAGCCTGGACCGTTCCCAAGAGCAGAGGCTGGGAATGTCGGGAGCCAGGAAGTTCCAGGAGTGTCCCCAGGACCATCTGCCCAGTGTGGACAGAGACACAGCACACCAACAACATAACAACACAACACAACAGTTGTGTTACATACCAGACTCAGGGGCTCCTCACCTCGCTCAGCTGAGGACCTACCCTGGCCACAGCCCATCCTCAGCCCTGGGCCTGGGCAGCTCCACTGTCTCCTTCCAGACGAGCTCAGACATCCTCAGTTACAACCACACAACACCAGCACCACACCACAACATAACACAAAACAACACCGCACACCACACCATCAACAGCACTGCCTCAACAAGATAACACAACACCACAATACAACAGCAAGAACATATACAACCATACACACCACACACCACACCATGAAAACCCCAAAACAGCACCACACACCACAGCACACTACAACGTAACACAACATCAACATCAACAATATACACCACACACCACATCACCACACCAACAACATAACTCAAAACACCCCCACACACCACACCATGACATCACAACACAGCATCAACCACACAGCACACCACAATGTAACACAACATCAACAATATACACCACACACCACATCACCACACCAACAACATAACTCAAAACACCCCCACACACCACACCATGACATCACAACACAGCATCAACCACACAGCACACCACAATGTAACACATCAACATCAACAATATACACCACACACCACTTCACCACACCAACAATATAACTCAAAACGCCACCACACACCACACCACAACATAACAACACAGCATCAACCACACAGCACACCACAACGCCATGACAGCAGCACCACAACACAACACCCCATGTGGTTCTGTCACGTGCAGTCAAGGGTGCCCTAGCCCAGACGTGCTGGATGCTGGATGACAAGGAACTCGGTTACAGACGACAAGGACACTCCCAGCCTCGCTGGGGCTGAGCGCTTCCCTCCTGGGGCTCCCTCCACATCTGGTCCTGACCCCCCGTCGCCTCCTGGGGCAGAGCCTGGCCTCCCCTCCCCTCCCCTCCCCTCCCTTCCCTTCCCTTCCCCTCCCCTGCATTAGTCCAGTGGCTGCCTGGGGGAGGGGGGATCCCAGAGCCACCTGCCCATCCCCCCTGGAGGCCATGGAGTTGCTCCACCTTCCTCATCCCCCAGTCTGGGCCCCACCTCTTCCCTGCCCCATCCCCTGGAGGCCATGGGGTTGCTCCACCTTCCTCCCGCCCCAGTCTGGGCCCCACCTCTTCCCCGCCCCGTCCCCTGGAGGCCATGGGGTTGCTCCACCTTCCTCCCGCCCCAGTCTGGGCCCCACCTGTTCTCCTGCCTCCCCCGTCCTTTAGAAGCAGAGGAGGCCGTGAGGATCCAGCACCCACAAGTGAGCTCCGCGCTCCCTTCCCAGGGAGGGGAGGGGAACCCCCACCTGATGTCACCCTCTTTCAATGACTAGGCTTTTAGTGTGTGATTAAACCAGCGGGATTGAGCGATTGTTCTTGGGCAGTTTCTCGACTGTCACCCACGACTCTCCTGGTGTCCACTGCAACCATCTCAACACAGAAGCCCTAGCAGGTGCCGCGTGGCCCGTGTCTCGGGGACTGAGCCCAGGTGTGTGGGTTCAGGCTCTTGGTGGGAAGTGCCAGAGACGGACATCAGCAACTAATGCAGAAACTAACCCACAGGCAGGGCGCCGGGAGGTCCAGGCTTCGGGACACAGGCCCTTCTGAGCCTCCCTCCCCCACCCGAGGTTCGGCATCATCGTCACCACAGAGGCAGCCCCGGGTGCAGCAGGGACATTTATGTCCTAACCAGCAGGATAGAAGGGCATGTGGCTGCCTCGGATAAGTCAGGGCTCTCCCCGGAGAAGACGACAAGGACGTGTGGTGAGCACGTGCTCACGGCAGCGCCAGAGCCCAGCACTAGAGCCAGGTTCGCTCTGCTCTTCTCCATGGCGCTGAAGCACACCTTTGTGTCACCACGGTTTTCTGTGGTGTGACAAGTAATGTTTTCCTAAATACCCAAGTGCCACAGATTGGGAATGTTTTACTTTTTAATACATAAAAGGTCATTAGAGTAATTGACGGTAGGTGACTTCACCCTTGCTACATTCAGACGCGCTGTGTCACCAGATAGGAGGGTCTGGGGTCACAGCTGGCAGGACAAATGCCCAGCTCAGCTGTCCACAGTCAGGAGAGGGCAAACAGCTGGGGGCAGTTCTCTGTGGAGCATCAGAAACCCTGATGCCAATCAGCAGATGCCCGGGAATGTGTTGGCTCACATAGTGAAGAAATCTAGGTTATTCTAGCTGGTTTCAGGTATGGCTGTGTTCTGGCCTCTAGAGACATCTCCAGGACGTTCTCTCTCTCTCTCACTCCATCTCTCTCTCTCTGTCTCTCCCCTGCTCTCTTTCTCTCTCCTGGTCTCTCTCTCTCTCTCTCTCTTCCCGGCTCTCTCCTGCTCTCTTTTTTCCTATTTCTCCCCTGCTCTCACCTCTCTCCTTCTCTCTTTCCCCTGCTCTCTCCTCTCTCCTCTCTCTTTCTCTGGCTCTCTCTCTCTCTCCGCCGTGCTCTCTCCTGCTCTCTCTCTCTCTGGCTCTCAGCTCTTCCCTCCTGTGCTGCTTCCATCTCAGGCCCCACATGCTGTCCCCTGGGAGCCCCGGAATCCCCTCTGGCTGTGACCCCATCAATGCTGCAGCACCTCCCAGCTCACTTGTGCTTAAGAAAGAGCACAGTCCTTCCCCAGTAGCTTCTGCAGTGGTCCTGATCTTGCTCCGATGGGCCCTGATGAGGTCATGTGACCCATACCCCACAGAGTGCTGTCCTAGGGAGGATGTCTGTTTACTATGTGGGCCCCATCACGTGATTTACGTGTACAAAAAGGCGAGGGCCCCACCTGGCCCAAAGGGACAGAATGTGGGGAGGGGCAGCCCACAGGGAGAGCCAAGAGCACCAGGGGAGGCAGGGGAGGGGCTGGGGAGGAGCCTCGTGTCCGGGTGGTGAGTCCTTCACAGCAGAGCCGTCCATCCTGGTGTTCAGGGGCTGCCGTCTCTATTCACTCCCCGGTGGAACCTTTCTGGGCTTGTCGAGTCCGCATCAGCCCCCAGGAGTGTGTCTGCTGCACACTTGACCGGCATCCGTCATGCACATGCAGCAGAAGAAGGGCTGAAAGCCCTGGTCTGTTTCACACCTGAGTGAAAAATTAAGCCTTTTCATCCGTGAGGACTTTAGTCCTAGAGTAACGACCCGGGCCGCTGGACTCCCGAGGGGGCTTCCGTCTGCTCCATCACTCAGGACCCCAATCCCAGAGCTGAGACGGGGCAGGCCCTGATTTTTCCTGCAGTGCGTCTACCGCAATTTATTGCCCAGGATTAATGCTGAGGCTGTTTTCCTGCTTGTGACTGAGAGCGTGCAGACAGACCAAGACGGAGAGGTTTTCCCGACATCGACCAGGGCGGCTCTGCTCCCAGCATCGCGAACGGTGGCACCTGCGTCTGGAAGAGAAGCTCTGCAGGCTGGGATTCAGGGAAGGGGGCGCTGGAGCTTCCTGGGAGAGGCGGGCAGGACTCCCCAACCTGGGAACAGTCAGAGGCAAGAGCTCAACTCCAGGTCGGGCAGGCCGGCGCCTGGATTCCACACTCACAACCGTGCGGCTCAGGCCTCAGTTTACCCACCTGTAAAATGCAGATAACTGTCGTATTGACACGATCGCCTTGTGAGGGCAAATGAGGCAGTCCTGTGAAGATGGCGTGGACGCATCACGGCTGTCGATCATGAGTAATATTGATATAATACAACCACGTAGGGTTGGGTACTGTTGTTAATGCCACTGAGGATGTTTTTATTGATTATTTTGAAGCCCCGCTGTGAATCTACCCTTTTACCTGATCCTAAATCTCTCCTGCTGCTGCAAAGCTACCCTGAGACACACCCAGGAGGTGGATTCTGGGTTCTGGAGCCCCGTCACCCGGCCAGGTCAAGGGACGGAGCTGAAGGTCAGGCACCCCTGCGTCCCCTCCCTACGCTCCCGCCCCTCAGCCCACGTCCCACAGTCCAGACCCCGCACCTCCCCCTCCCCTTTCCTTTTTCCTCCCATGAGACCCATCTCTCCTGCCCCTCCCTGGCCTCCACCCCGTGCTCAGGGTTCAACACTGTCCTCCGATTCCCTCCACGTTTCCCTCCTTCCTCCCTGGGCCCCCATCATCCACAGCAGACACCCCTCAGCCGCCACCCCACCTCCTGCTCCTGGCTGCCCGCGTCCCGTGAGGACCCTGCTCCTGGACCCCAGCGATACATGTCCTCCCGCTTCTCTCCCTCTCATCGGCCCCTCCCAGGAGCCCCCTTCCCAGTGTCATCTCTTGGCTCCAGCTTCTTCCAACCAAACCCTGAACTCCATCCAGAGCGGAGCTGCTGCCCTGCTCCAGAGTCCATCTGGTCAACTCAAGTCAGCCCCTGGGACCCACCCCTGCGGGGCAGCCACATCCCGAGTGCGGAGAGCACGGTTGGCTCATCTGGGACACACGCTTAGTGGCTTGTTCTGTGTGATCGGGGATTGGGTCTGGGGGCCTGTGGGGGTTTGGGTCCCAGGGTGGCTCTCATCTGACCTAGCCTACGTGCCGGCCGCCAGCCACACGGGCCAGTCCGTTGTCCTCAGTGAGGCAGTGCCTGGGAGGTGACAGTGATCAGGGCACAGAGCTCGGGGTGTGGGTGCCATCCTGTTCCCACGTGTGACCAAGTGTCCTCTGTGCAGAGCTTGGGGCACGGGTGCCATTGTGTCCTCATGTGTGACCACGTGTCTTCTGTCTTCCTGTGGCTGCTCCTGGGTGGTCAGGCCCTGTGTTCCAGGCGGCTTCGACTGTGACTGTCCCGGGTGCAGCCATCACTAACCCAGCCTAAGAGCAATAAACCCATCTGCCCTGGCCTGGAGAATGTGTGGGTTACTATGCACCTGTCGCCATGGCACCAGCACCTGTGACTTCAGGTCGGATGAGCGTCTGGAGAAGAGCGAGCAGCGTCAAATGGTCGGGGCCCAGGGTGCCTGCGGAGGTCAGCCTCTGCCCAGTTCTCTGCAGGGAAATCTGTGGGGCCGTCCTGGGCCCCACGGAGCTCACAGTCGCCCTGGGGAGAGGGAGGAGGGGCCCAGGAGGTCTTCTCATCTGGGACAGTCCTGGAAGAGGCCCTTTAGGGACTCGCATGGTAAGTTTAGTCCAGAAACGGGGCACCCAGCAGCCAGGCTGAGCCAGGACCTGAGAAAAGAGACAGCTGTCCCTAGAAGTCCTGCCCTGCGGCTGCTCCATCCACCAGCCAAGTGGAGCATCCTGGACCCACTCACAGGGAGCTCTGCTCTTCATGACTTTAATGCAACCTGTCACCGTCATGGTGGGTGATCACTAATAGAGCATAGCAAGGCAGGGAGACTATAGGGCGGGGAATTTCTGCAGAAGACATTGGAACCAGGAATGTACACAGATACCATGAATGTGAATTGTAGCTTCAAAGGGAAGGCACAGGCAGCCCAGCAACAGCAGCGGCCGATGGGAGCTTGCGGCGAGCCCATCTCTCCTCCAAGTGGTGAGAGACCCCAGAGGAGAGGCCCAGGGTGTCAGCCCCCCGGAACAGAGAGAAAGATGCCTGCGTGGACGGGTCCCCAGAGGTGTGGACAGCAGGGTCCCCACAGTGACCGCGGCAGGACAAGCTCGGGTTCAATCTCCTCAAGGAAAGCTTTAAGCTCATCCTCACCTTCTGAGCAGGTGCAAGCCGGTCCCAGGGATGCTTTGTTCCGTTCCCTGCTCTCCAGGGGAGGCGGGTGGGGAAGGGAGGAAGACAGAGGCCTCTCCCTCCTCCCTACACAGCCTCAGACCTTCCAGCCAGAAGCAGCGCTGGACTGGCGTCCAATGATGATGATGACAAAGCTAATAATTATTAGCATTATGAATTAATAGACAGGGAGGCAGTGAAGTACAGGTGCTGGGGGGCTACAGCACAAAGTCCAGGAGAGTCCATCCTGGCCCCGCCCCTGAGCCCGGGTGACCTTGGGCCAATCCCCCAAGGTCAGCCCTTCCAATGGGTTCCATCACCTCTAAATTGCACCTCCCAGGAGAGCACAAAATGAGAAAAAGCGCTTAAAACCCTGAGCATGGATGGCTCCTGAGATAGCCAGTGGGTCGGGGGCTCCATCCAGCCTGGGATGCTCCATGTAGTCCATATGGCATCCTGTGAAATTCTGAGTCTGTTGCCAATAGTTCAAAGTTGGGATGTTTCAGGTAAAACCTGGATTTCCACCTCATCCTGGAGAACCAGAAGTCCCGGCAGCCCTGGGTGCACCCGGCCACAGTCTGCTGTCAGAGTCAAGGCTGGGGGCTGCTCCCCAGTGACCCAGCTCCCACAAGCTGGACTGGCAGCCACATCCACCCAGCCCCATTGGTGCTGTGACCCTGATGTGACCTGGGCCTCTGCCACCGAGGCCCTGAGCCCCCCTCCCCCAGCGAGAGGCCTACGGCCTCTGGAATAAGCTCAGTGGGGAGCGGCCTGCTGTGGGGACGCCTCTCACCACAGGTTCCCCCTGAGTTTTAAACAAAATGCACATGTGCACACACGCACACACTGAAACACACATCTGCACAAACCTGCACACAGCTACACACCCACACGGATGTACACCACACACATGCCATGCACACACATAGACACACGTGCACTCACACTCACACATCCCAGACATGTGCGCACACTTATGCACACATGCTCAATGCACCTGCACAGAGCAATGTACACACATATACATACACTCATATCCACACACCCCATGTACATGTGTGCACATGCATGCTTAAGTACACCCAAACATAGCACATGTGTACACATATACACACATCTCTACATCCCACGTACCCGTGTGCACATGCATGCTCAAATACTCATAACACACACGTACACACATATGCACACATGCACACTCATATCCATACATCCCATATACCTGTGTGTACGCACATTCTCAAATACACACCTGCACAGAACACATGTACACACATATACACACAACCAAAAACACATCCATGCACACATACACACATATGCACATGAAAACACGTCTGCACATTCATGCATACTAGACGCACACAACATCCACACACCCACATGGATACACAGATACACACGCACACTAACATCCACTCAGCTCCACACACATGCATGTGCACACCTGCACACACACCTGCACACACCTGCACACACACCTGCACACACACCTGCACACACACGCCCACATCACAGCTATATGAACACCTGTACACACACATGCCGCATGCACACCTGCACACCCAGCCTGTCTCCCAGCCTTAGGACAATGACATTCTCCCTTCAGGGTTCCCAAATCCATGACTACACTCACTCAACCCCTCTGCAGGGCCGTGCAGACCCCGTATCTGCTGCCGGAAAGGGAGGCAGTGGGGGATGATGAGAAGCTCCTGTGACACCAGGGATCCAGTGTCCCCTGCACCCATGGGGGTGGACGATTGGTCACTGAGGCTGGTGGCATTAGAGAGGAGAGGCATCAAAATCCCCCGTGGGACAGATGTGGGAAAGGATGCATGTGGGGTGAGGACGGGGTGCTTGAACTGGAAACCAGAGCTCCAGGGTTTCCTCCAGAAGGATCAGGTGGAGACCACAGGCTGAGAGTCTTCTAGTCAGGGGTCAGCAGGAATCAGCCTCGGGGCCTGGCTCCCTGCAGGGGCAAGGGGCTGGATGGCCACCGTGGACTCAGCCTCCATGGATTGTGAGGGAAAAGCTCTTGCCCCTGCAAATCCAGCCCACACCTGCCTCGCTGAGGGACTCATCAGCACCTTGCAGGACCCTCCACTCACCACTAGAAACAGAATGTGCTTGGGTCACTGACTTACTGTTCCTCAAGGGAAAGTTAGGAGGGACCAGTTAAGTTAGAGCTTAGGGGGTGCAGAGACCCTTCGTCAGGAACTCAAAGTGGAAACAGAGCCCAGGCCGTTATTCCGCATCTACTCACCCCTCCCTCTGGAAGGGATCAGAGGCATCTCGGGGTGGGAGCCCCTCCTGGACGTCAGAGCCCAGGGGAGGCCCCATCCTCTCTCCTCGGATGCCTGAACCCAGGGGAGGCCCCGTCCTCTCTCCTCGGATGTCAGAGCCCAGGGGAGGCCCCGTCCTCTCTCCTTGGACGTCAGAGCCCAGGGGAGGCCCCGTCCTCTCTGCTCTGTGGGACGTGCCCAGGCCCGAGGATGGGGGACCAACAATGGGCTCTTCACACAGAACCAGATTGTTTCATCGACCCTGGGAGTGAGGGTCCTGGGTGCTCTGTGTCCCTGATGAATGACACACCTTCCTAGCAAACTACAGGGAAATGTCATCAAATCAAGCTGCTGGTTCTAACCCCAGAACTTACATGAAATGCAGGGAAGGGAGCAGCATCTCCAAGGACGCCTGGGGATGTGATCAGCACCATCTGGACACGGGACTCACAGGACAAATGGCACAGCCCCGTCCTTCTGCAAAGAAATCACGGGGAGAAAAGAAGGGGCTGGAGGAGAGGGGAGAAGGAAGATGGCAGACATGTGTGGAAACCTCCCCCCATAACCAGTGGTGTGCTGGCAGAGGCGGAACAATGGGATCTCTTGGTGTGTGTGTATACTCACGCACCTGTGCACAGATTTTCATTCTTACTGATACAAAGGCTCAGCAGCACCCAGATTTTGAATAGTGGAATATACCATGCCCTTTATTGTGGATTCCATATTGCAACCAGTTGTTGCAGGATGTTCTCACTGATTCTTACTGAACTATTCTATTCATAGTTGACTTCTGGGTGCTGGCTATTGATTTATTGCCTCTGGGTTCCAAAGCTGCCCTGCGTTGTCTGCTCGGTGGAAATGCATCTGGGCCCAGCAGCATCTCTCCCATGTCAGCCAGTGCAGTGTTGAGCACAGTGAGCAGAGGGTGCCGAGGAGGCCTGGCAGGAGAAAAGGTGCGGCTAAGCCAGCTCCAGTGGGCTGGGCTAGAAGGTCAGGGCTGGGCCCCCTTGTAGGGTGGTGCTGGGCTGGTGGCTTCTTCAGTGCTGGCGCCTGTATGAGCTTCTCTCATGTTCTTTGCAGTTCTCTGTACTCCTTAATCCTCAACTCCTCATTACGGCAGTCCTCTGTTAAATTGAACAAACCTTTAAATAAAACCTGCCCTGTTCAAATCACTGTGGGGTTTCTCTCTCCTGATGGAACCCAGGCTGACACACTATGGCTGCAAATCAAGCAAGATTTGGCAAAAATAGACAATGAGTAAACGTCGTCACTGTCAGATTCAGCAAGAGACTCGCAGGACTGACAAATGCGTGCAGTTCTGACGTGCGTGTGGGCTGTATTTTCATGACACTGACCTAAGTGAGAGGATGTCACAGGCATTGGCGCAGGTCAGACAGAAGTGGACACTGGAGCCCCACGTGTTTATCAGCAAACTGGGCAGCTTCCTCACTTAATCAGAAAATCATTTTCAGGCCAGGTGCACTGGCTCACGCTAGTAATCCCAGCACTTCAGGAGGCTGTAGTGGGAGAACTGCATGATGCCAGGAGTGTGAGTCACCCTGAAAAATCTCATCTGTCTCTACAAAACATATTAAAAAAATTAGCTGGGTGTGGTGACGTGTGCCTGTAGTCCCACCTACTCAGGAGGCTGAGGCAGGAGGATTGCTTGAGCCCAGGAGGTTGAGGCTGCAATGAGCTGAGATTGCACCGCGGCACACTTGAGCCTGGGCAACAGAGCGAGACTCTCTCTCCAAAAAAAAAAAAAAGGAAAAAAAGAAAAGAAAAAAAAGGAACTGGTTCATGGTTTTCCTGTACTGGAAGAACATTTCCTCATTTTTTTGTGCCACTCACAGTGTGTTGGCTACTGACACAACACGTTTAATCTGAATCTGCACTTTCTTAAGAATAGGAACTCAACAAAAGAATAAATGAGGCCCTCATTTGCACTGTTTGATGACTGCCACTGTTTAAGTATTCTCGCCGTGGCTGGTTCAAGCTGTCATTGGAGGTCTCTGGACGGAGCTGGGGAGAGACGTGCAGCCTGGCACCACCGTTTCCACCACGTAGACACCACAGATGCAAGGAACCCTGAGGGCGGAGACCATGGTAGAATGTAGTGAAGTCATCACAGGGACACTGTGAGAGTTTATTCCCTTCGTTTTCACATAATTTATTCCATTGTAAGTTTACAGGATTTAATTTATGACAACAGCTGTGTTTCATGACCGGTCAGCCCCAGCACCCACTGCCCCCACTCCGGCTGGGGAGCCCCTGACAGGAGTGAACGCGAGAGGGGCCTGGGGTCTGCTCCTCCTCCTCCTCCATCTTGGCGTCCACACGCTGCCCAGGAGCCCCTGACAGGAGTGAACATGAGACGGGTCCCAGGTCTGCCCTTCATCCTCCTGCTTCATCCACACGCTGCCCGGGAGCCCCTGACAGGAGTGAACACGAGACGGGCCCCGGGTCTGCCCCTCCTCCTCCTCCTCCTTCATCCTGGTGTCCACATGCAGCACACTGTGAGCCTCTCCCAACATGATCCTCATGATTAAAATCAGTCTTTCCCCACAAGTGACCCCTACATCTAAAGCAAGGACAGCATCTGTGACTCACTGAGACCCAGGATCTGGGGGCTGGCATGTGGTGGGGGGATGCTGACAGCTCAGACCGGGCTGTGGCCTGAAGCCAGCGAGGAGGAGAGGCTGAGGCGAGGAGCCAGGTGCCCGCCCTCCATCCTCCGTTCCTCTCTGTAAAGTGACCTCTCGCTCAGAGCGGGGATGTGGATGTGACATTTGGACAGACGCCCGATGAAGTGAGGGAGCCGTGTGAGCACTCGGAGCAGGGCCTTCCTAGCAGTGGGAATGGGGGTGCAAAGGCCCTGAGGTCAGGGGAACTTGATGTGTTCCAGGCACAGCAGGGACACCTGCTGGAGGGGGGCGTGGGACATCAATTCAGGACGTCAGAGTGGCCGAACTTGCAGGGCCTGTGCATACCTCTGTGTCCCAGGCTTAGACCCAGGTTTTGTTCTGAATATGTAGGGAAACCTTAGAGGCTTTGAGCAGGGAAGGGACAAGGTGTTTAGGATGCTCACCCTCCTGTCCCCCACTTTCCACGCCACACCCAGCACCTGTGGGGCAGGGGCAGGATTTCCACTGCCGTTCTCACCATTTCTGATGCCATCCCAGCTCTGGGGACTGCACTGGTGCAGAGTTCTTTCCATCCTGTCTCTCAGCGTGTTTATCTAATCACTGTGTGGCAGGTGGTCTTGCCCATTATTCCCTCAGATTAGGTGTTGATAATTCACTGAAATGGAATCTGAAGGTGTGCGGCTCATTAGGCCTCTAATGAGAAGGGAAGGCTGGGCCCCAGTGGCCCTCGTCAGCTCTTCTGTCTTTGCACATGGCCCTCGTCAGCACCTCCTGTCTCTGCAGCAGTGATTGATGACATGACCAGCCTCAGATGCTGGCCTCTTGATCCACACGGGAGGGGCCCTTTGGGGTCCTGTGAGGCCAGGGCTGGAGGCAGCAGGGGAACTGGGTTTGCCGGTGGAAGGTCCGGGCTGGGCTCCCTTGTAGGGTCTGAGTGGCCGAGTGCATCCTAAAGACCTTGGGTGACAGTGATGGAGCCGCCCCCCCAGGGCTCAGGTGGTCATGGGGGATTCCAGGGCCCATAGAGCTGAGATTCCAGGGTTGGGGCAGGGCCTCTCCACCAGGACATCTTCCCAGGCCATGGGATTCGGCTCCCTCTTTCCTGCCTGACTTTCTTCTCTGGAGGTTGCTTTTTTTTTTGTTATTGTTGTAATAAAGGACACATAACATAAAATTTATCATCTTCACCTTTTTTTCTAAGTGTATATATAGCAGTGTTAACCACACGAGATCTCTAGAACTTTTTCATCTTGCAAAATGGAATCTATCCATTAAGCAACTCGTCTTCCCCCTCCGCACTGTCCCTGGCAACAGCAACAGCCATTCTTTCTGTCTCTAAGAGTTTGACTGTTCTAGGAATCTCACATGAGTGGAATCATCTTGTGTGCATCTTTTTGTGACTGGCTTATTGCCTTAACATAATAACCTCAGGATTCATCCACGGCGTAGCACCTGGCAGGATTTTCTTCCTCCCGAAGGCTGAAGAGGATTCTGCTGTGTACAATCCCACGCTTTCTCTAGCCACTCCCCCTTCAAAGGACATTTAGGCTGCTTCCACCTCTTGGTTACGGTGAGCAAGGTTGCAGTGAACGAGGGTATGCAGATATCTCTGTGAGACCCTGTGATCAGTTCTTCTGGATAAATACCCAGAAGTGGGATTGCTGGGTCATAGGGATTTTTTGAAGAACACCACAGTGTTCATTTGACCATACCTGTGAGGGCTTATTTCTGGGTTCTCTATTCTGTTCCATTGGTCTGTATGCCTGTCTTTATGCATACTGTTTTGATTACTGTAGCTTTGTAACACATCTTCGGTTTTCTTTCACCAGATTGTTTTAGTTATTCAGGGTTCTTCAAGATTCCATATGAATTTTAGGATGCTTTCTAATTTTTCTATTTCTGCAAGAAGTCCCACTGGGACATTTATAGGGATTGCATTGAATCTGTGGATCACATTGGGTAGTATGGACATTTTAATGCTACCAAGTCTTCCAATCCATGAACATGGCATATCTTTCCATTGATTTGTGTTTTCTTTAACTTTTTCCAACAGCGTTTTGTAGTTTTCAGTGTACAAGTATTTTGCCTCTTGGTTAAGCTTTTTCCTGAGAATTTTCTTCTTTTGATGGTGTTGTAATGGGATTGTTTTCTTAGTTTCCTTTGGAGATTGTTCATTGTTAGTGTATTGAGATGACACTGAGTTTTGCATGTTGATTTTGTATCTGGCAACTTTGTTGAATTAGTTTATTCTTTTTTTTTTTTTGAGATGGAGTCTTGCTCTGTCCCCCAGGCTGGAGTGCAGTGGCCCCACGATCTCGGCTCACTGCAACCCCTGCCTCCTGGGTTCAAGCGATTCTCCTGCCTCAGCCTCCCGAGTAGCTGGGACTACAGGTGCCAGCCACCACGCTTGGCTAATTTTTGTATTTTTAGTAGATACGGGGTTTCACCGTGTTAGCCAGGATGGTCTCAATCGCCTGACCTCGTGATCCGACCGCCTCGGCCTCCCAAAGTGCTGGCATTACAGGTGTGAGCCACCGTGCCTGGCTGATGTGTAATCCTTCTAATTTGTTATTAAATTGTGTTTGTTAGCATTTTATTTAGGATTTTTGCATGAATATTCATCAGAGATTTGGTGTTGTAATTTTCTCTTTGTGTAGTATCTTTGATTTTTGTATAAGGGTAATACTGGCCTCATAGAATGAGTTTGGAGGTGTTCCCTCTTCAATTTTTTGGAAGAGTTTGAGAAGGATTGCTGTTGGTTCTTCTTTAAATGTTTGGTAGAATTCTCCATGAAGTCATCTGGTCCTGGGCTTTTCTTCTTTGGGATGTTTTTGATTATTAATTCAATTTCCTTACAAGTTATAGGTTGGTTCAGATTTTTTATTTCTTCATGGTTCTGTCTTGGTAGGTTGGATGTTTCTGGAAATTTATCTATTTTTTTTCCAGGTTATCCAATTTGTTGGCATATAATTGTTCATGCTAGTTTCTTATGATCCTTTTTATTTCTGTAGCATCAGTTGTAACATGTCCTCTTTTATTCCTGACTTTTGTTATTTGAATATTTTTTCTTTTTTTAGTCTAATAAATGTTTTTGATTTTATTGATCTTTTCAAAAAACAGCTTAGTCTTTTTTTTCTATTGTTTTTCTATTCTCTATTTTATTTTGGCACTGATCTTTATTATTTCTTTTTTATGTTAACTTTGGATTCAATTTGCTTTTTGTCTAGTTCTGTGAGGTGTAAAGTTAGGTTGTCGATTCGAGGTATTTTTTTTCTCTTTTTAAGGTTGGCATTTACCATGGTAAGCATCCCTCTAGTACTGCTTTTGCTTAGTACTGTATGTTTTTACCTAATGTATAACTTTGGTATGTTGTGTTTTTATTTTCATTTGCCTCAAGGTATTTTCTAGTTCCTTTGTGTTTCTTCTTTTACCCATTGATTATTCAAGAATGTGGTTTATTTTCCACATATTTGTAGGATTTTCCAATTTTCCTTTTGCTGTTAACTTCTAGTTTCATCCCGTTGTTGGAAAAGATACTAAGCATCATTTCAGTCTTCTTAAATTTATTATGATTTATTTTGTGGCCTAACATATGATCTTTCCTGGAGAATGTTCCATGTGTGCTTAGGAAGAATGTGTGTTCTGCTGTTGCTGGAGAGTGTCCTGTGTGTGTCCGTCAGGCCCAATTGATCTATGCTGTTGCTCAAGTCTTCTCTCACCCTGTTTTTCTGTCTGGCTGATCTATCCATTATTGGAAATGGGGTATTCAGACCTCCTGCTGCATTTCTGTGCGTTTCTCCCTTCAGTTCCGTCAGTTTGTTTTACATATTAGTGTGCTTTGTCAATAGGTCCATATGTGTTTATCATTGCTATATCTTCCCAGTAAATTTATCTTTTCATCATTGTATGAAGTCCTTTTTGTCTCCTGTGACAGTTTTTGACTTGTCTATTTTGTCTGACATGAGTGTGGCCACCTCTGCTCTCTTTTGTTTACCATTTGCATGGAGTATCTTTTTCCATCCTCTCATTTTGAACCTGTGTATGTCCTTATATCTAAAGTGATATGGAGGTAGAGAGTGGAAAGACGGAAAACAGAGACTGGGAAGGGTGAGTGGGGATAGGGGAAGGATGAAGAAAAGTTGGTTGAAGGGTACAAAAAACAGTAAGATAGAAAAAATAAATTCAATATTTGATAGCAGAGTAGGGTGAACATAGTTAACAAAAGTATATTGTACTTGGGTGGTGAACACCCTATACCCTGACTTGATCACTATGCATTATATATGTATAACAACATTTCACATGTGCCCTATGAATTTGTACAAATAAAAAAATATAAAGTGTCTTGTAGATAGCATATAGCTGCATCTTATTATCCATTCAGTCACTCCATGTCTTTTGATTGGGGAGTTTCACCCATTTATGTTTAAGTTAATGACTGATGGGACGGACTTACTGTTGCTATTTTGTTGTTTTGTGTTTGTCTTATAATTATTTGTTCCTCTTTTCCTCTCTTGCTGCCTTTCTTTGTGTTTCTTTGTTTTTGTTTTTTGTTTTTTGTATTGAGCTGCTTTGATTTCTTTCTCATTTTCTTTTCTGCATCTTCTACAAGTATTTTCTTTTGGAAGGGTCTGATCTTATTTGCTACTCAAAAAATCTTACTTTTGTCTGGATGCAGACTTAGAAGTAGAAGCTCACCGCTGGAGGGTCTGCATTTCCTGGCAGTCTGTTCCTGATGTTTTTCTTTGGCCTCTTTCATTCTCATGGCCAGCGTGTAGCCTACTCTGCAGCCTCTGCTTTATTTTTCGTAGTGCACTGTTTTCTTCAGAGCAAGATGCCAGCATTTGTGTTGCAGGACACGTGGAGTAACAAGACACTGAGTCTTGGGTGCTTTGGTCCTCAGTTTCTTACATTCTTTGTTTAAGGGCTTTCAACATATTTCCAGACATCATCTTCTTTAGAGACATAGAAAAGTCTGCGGATTCTGCTAGCTCTTCTGGGCCCCAGGCAGCGAGGCGCCATAGTATCAGTCAGTCCAGGAATATCCTTCTCTCCTACTTTTTTTTTTTTTTTTTTTAACAATAACCAAGTTGAGGACGCTGAGATTGGCATCCACAATATGCAACGGCGAACAGGTTTTCACTGTCTTTCTCCAGTTCTCCTTGGTCTATGGCAGGAATGCCGCTTACTCGGTAGCAGGTGGACATGGCCATGGGTCGGGTCACCCTGCTTCATGGGAAGGCTTGTTTGTCTTTCCCACCACTGATCCAGACCACAGAACCCTTCCATGCTTCACGAGAGCATCAGCAGCAACTTCTGTGGCCACAGGCATCTCATACAAACTACGAAGTTTGCGTTCATCGTCCACTTCAATGAGCTTTTGGCAGCTAGCGGCTGGGAAGATGTTCAGCTTCATCTTGAAGCAGCTCTTCTGTTGGTATTTTCTTTGTGGTTACTATGGGGACTGCATAAAACATCTCATAACAATCGACCTTAAGCTGGTAACAACTCCAACTGCATGCAAAACCTCTATCCTTTCTACAACCCCCCGCTTTATGTCCTCAGTGTCACAGATTACACCTTCTTACACTTGGTATCAATTCGCAGAACTTTGTAGCTGCCTCAGAAAGGCTTCTGGGCCTTGCTGTTGTGAGTTGGTGTTTCTGCCGGGAGGGAGTTCTGGGCTTCCTGTTCCGCTTTTGTGCTCTCCTCTCTAGAGGTCTAAACACTCAGCCAGCATAATGTGACAACCCCGGACTCTCTGTGCTTCCATCCTGCCCTGGAGCAACCTCCTGAGAAAGTGCCCAGAAAGAGTGACCTGGCGGGCCTGAGACGGTGGTCCTGGGAAAGGCCTGCTGGTGAGGGTGCCCTTGGCTGGTGTCTTGGAATCTGGCTGCAGCAGTTCCCTGTGGAGACACACAACCTCCCTCAATAGCGAGGAGCTCCTGTGTCTAAACTCCTGTGGAAACCACGTGGTATCCTGAGCCCGTTTCCTTCTGGGGTCCTGGAATGTCTGTGCGCGCCAAGCAGAGGTGCCCCCGTGACCAGCCCCCTAGTCGCTGGGCGCTGAGTCTCCGTGGGCTTCCCTGGTGGGCGACGTCTCACTGTGCCGTCACGTCACTTTGCTGGAGGAACTAAGCACAGCCATTGTGGCTCCACAGGGAGAGGACAGGGATGCTTGTGCCTGGTGCCCTGGACTTGGCCACCCAGGCCCTGGCTGTGCTCACCCTTCCCGGCCCCTGCAGCCCCGGATGGCAGTGGCTTCCTGCTGATGCCTAACTCAGGGTCACCGCCCCACCATTTCTTCTGCAGCTCCTCCAGCCCCTCTGTGGCGAGTTCCATGATTAAGTGGCCCCCATGGCACTCCCTGGGTGGCTCTGGCTTCCTGGCTGCCCTGGCCCACTCATAGGACCCTTTTCTACCAAGCATGGCCTCCTGGGAGCCTCACACCCCAGGACACAGAAGGGACTGGGGCCCAGCAGGTGGGTTGCTGACCCTGGAGACAGAGTGTCCACTTTGCTCATGGCCAGAAGTCATTTCATTATCTCTAAGAAGCAGACGGTCTGCTCCTCCTGTGTCTATAATTTCATTTACCTTCACACACACACAGAATTTCAATGTGACTTCCTACCTCCAACTCAGCAAGGAGGACACGGATGCTTAGATGGGAAACGGCTGCTGCAAACGCAGCCTGAGTGTGAGGTCAGGGGCTGTGCAGACAGACAGGCAGACAGACAGATGGAGAGATGGACAACAGATGGATAGATGGACAGGCAGACACACAGATGGACAGACAGACACACAGACAGGCAGATAGGCAGACAGATGACAGACAGACACACATGGACAGGCAGACAGACAGACAGATAGATGGAGAGACAGCAGAGACACACAGGCAGACACAGTCAGGCAGACCTGGTTGGATTCCCGCCAGTCGCCCTAAGTAGTTCAGTTGACCGTTCAGAGCTTTTGTTGCTCACCTGCGAAGCGGGGCGGGGCTCCGTCTCCTGATCTTCGGACCACCCTCCATCCCCACCTACCCGTGGGGAAGCCCCCTCCCTACTCTCAGTGGACCTGGGGGTACACACAGCACCGCTCCCTGATGCCAGGCTCTTAGGGCAGTCGCGTGGCCCAGGCCTGGGGAGTCCCTGGACTCCGTCTCCTGGTCACAGGGACGGGCCCAGGATCAGCGGGGTGTGTGGGGTGGGATTCCAGGCCAGCGGGGATGTTCCGGGCTGGTGGGACCCTGTGGATGCGGATGCAGCTCCCTATTTCTTGCCTTCCAGGGTGTTGTGGTTCTGAAAGAGAAACCCCAGTGCAGTAGGTGAATGCGTCCCCAGAAATCCCCCTGGGGGTCCCCAGTCACAGTGGACAGTGAAGCCATGACTCAAGCAGGCCCCCCAACCCCGAGTCCCACTGTCCCCTAGTCAGAGCCCACGGGGACCCGGCCTGGGTCACTGCACAGGAAACGATGCTGGACTCACTGCGGAACCCACAGGCCCAGTGATCTGGTCTGACCCAGGAGGACTTGAGCGGCCCAGTCCCCAGGGGCTTCCTGTGTGACATCACAAGCAGACTGAGGCCCGTCAGAGCCGCCCCAGGCAGTTATGTGAGGTGCTCTCAACTTACAACCTTTAAAACAAGGAAGACCCACCCTGTTCCCAGGAGCTTTCCAGATCCACCAAGGGCAGGTGGGAAGAGACCTTGAAGTATCAGGGTTCAAGCCCCGAGAGGAGATCCAAGGGGACCCCCTCCATCTGACTGAGGAACGGACTCCCCACTTCCACCAACCCAACTCGTCATGGCTGCTCGGAAATCTCATATTCAAGTCAAAAAAGGAGGCGAAACTCCTCTCAACGCCTGCATTTTAAGCAGCGGCTCCTCGGCTCTTGTGTGGTGTTCAGGCGCTCGCAGATCGTCCCTGCTCTTCCCTCCACCCTGCAGTGAGCTCCTGGCAGCTGGGCCGGACGCAGCTTCCCATGAGCAGAGGATCGACCTGGGAGCCTGGTGGGTGATCTCCGCCCAGACCAAGCATGAGAACCCCAAGTCCAGTGGGACAGGCCACAGACCAGCGACTGCTGCCCATGCCTGTCCTGGGGACTCCAGACAGTGCCGAGGGAAAGGAGAAATCATTCATTCAGCCATTCATTCGTTGACCCAGGCAATCATTCATTCATTCAACAGATATTGACTGAGTCCTCCCTTTGAGGCAGGCACTGTTTTATGCACTGAAATACAACTATTTATACAACAGACACTCTTCCCTCCCCCCATGGAGGTTCTGTTCAAGCGGGGAGACAGTCATTTGTTAAACGAAACATAAAATCTCAGTGACAATTAGAGCTCTGGGGGAGAATGAAGGAGCAGGAAGAGGCAGAGGAGGAGGAGCCAGGGCTGCCAGGTGCAGTAGCCCAGGTTGCGCACTGCTCAACTTTGCTGTGGGATTCACATCACAGTCATCAGAGTCACACTGGGCAGTTTCCCAGTAGATGGCCGCACTGTGTCTCAGGAAGGGCCCATTGCCGCTTTGTCCAAGGCCATCTCATGGGCTCAAAGCCATGGGAGGGGAGGGGTCCTGCCAGGATGACACAGAGTCTGGGGCCCTCATTTTCCTCCCATCAGATGATGCCCAGCCTGGGAAGGCACTGAGACCGCAGCGGAGTGGGCCAGGGGGCAGTGAGAGGAGGGGACGTGGGTGGGGCAGGGCTGGGGCACTGGAGGAGCAGGTCAGGCAGGGCCCGTCAGCCCAGAGGCACCCCAGGACTCAAGCCTGCAGCCGACCCTGCTCTCCTAGCCCTCACTGCAGCTGTGGGAAGGGGAAGCATGGAGCCCTCCCTCAAGGTCAGTGCAGCGCCTGGCTTGAGCTCACCATGGTGACTGTCCCCTGCTGCCACCATTGCAGTCACTGCCCTGGTGGGCAGCCTGGACCCCAGCTCCACTGCGCATGGACTGTGTGGTCTTGGGCAGTGCCAAGCTCAGCCTCACGGGCCTGTGGGGACGGTCACAGGAGGTCCACGTGCCAGGCCCAGGGTTCATGCACAGGGTTACCACCACTGCGAGGTTGCCTGTCCCGTCTTGTACCCGGCTGTCCATGCCCTCATCTCAGGCAGCAGGACAAAGGCAAGTGGAACTGAGAGGGGAGAGAGAGGCCAGAGTCCCCTGCAGCCCTGTCCCCAGGACCAGTGCCAAGAGCAACCTCAGAGGAGGGACCTGGGAGTGGCTGGTTCCAGTCCCCACCCCCACTCCGATGGGAAAGTGACCCCGGGTGACCTGCCAAGGTCACAGGGCAGAGCTAGGGCGAGGTCTAAGCACCTCATGTCTGAGCAGAGGAACCCACTCAAGGCCCACCAGGACCCACACGGCCAGTGTTGTCATCACTGAGACATAGAGACGGGGGCCCCCGAGCCACACAGCTGGACAGTGAGAAAACCAGGCTCCCAGCAGTGAGCTGGCCGCATGCCCAGGGCCTTCCACAGCTCCACACAGCCCAGCCTCCAAACCAACTCAGGATGGGCCCAGGGCTCAAATGCCCCCAAGGCCCAGGCAGAACCGTGGGAGTGCAGGTGCCCAGGGGTGACGATAGGGAACGGTGGGGACTGCGGAGAACCGGAGAGGGCTTCCCTCCTAAGGGCAGTGAACCTCAAAGTTCCCTAAACCTACAGAGCCCACCAAGCTCACCTCTCCAGGGGGCTTCAGTCCAGTCTCAAGAGTGGCACCTGGTGAAGGGGGTTCTTGGGATGTGACAGTGACCTCCGAAGCCTGGACATTTGCTCTGTAAGGAGGGGGTCTGGGCTTTTAAAATGTCCTGCTGAGAAAAGAGAAGACACAGGGTGGATTCGGGCACAAGGGATGTGACGGAAGGAACAGCCCCTCTGCAGCGGTGGCGGTTCAGAGGGCCCAATCAGCACACGACCCCCACCCTGGCCCCTGCAGAAAGGCAGGCCTGGTGCGGAAGCTGAAACTCGAAGCCTAGCGCGAAGGCCCCGCAGATGTCAGTCGTGGGGTGCGCCAGAGGCAATGGGGGCCCCGTGATGAGTGCGACCCTAACTGGGTTATGTTGATGAACGCAGGGATTTTCACATCAGAGTTAGGAATGGCGGTGACAATAAACTAAGGAATGGTTTCCGTGGATACAGTTGACACGCGGAATCTTGTGTCTTAGAAAGCCTGTCTTGAGGCTGGTTACAGTGGTTCACGCCTATAATCCCAACATTTTGAGAGGCCAAGGAGGGAGGATCGCTTGAGGCTAGCAGTTCAAGACCAGCCTGGCCAGCATAGCAAGATTCCATGTTTATTAAAAATTTTGAAAGGCACGTTGCTTTGTGTCTCAGGATTGCTCTGTGCTGTGTTCAGACAACAGGAGGATGAAAACAAACTCTCCAATCTCGGGGCTGGGAGGAAACAGGGTGCCTATTACCGTGAGGTGGGATGAATTGATCTTTCATTTAATCCTCCTGCAATACTCGTGGGTTCGTTCCTTCCTTCCTTCAAGAAGCGTTTCTTGCGGCACCTACTACGGGCCAGGTGCTGTCCTGGGCTCTGCAGATCCAAAAGTGAAAGAAACGGACAAAATCCCTGCCCTCCTGGAGCTCCCCTGAAATAAGCGGATCCGTGAAATGAAGGGAAGAGGTGAAGCCAGAGGCGTCGGGGCTGGGAAGGGAAGAACCGGGCAGGGCCCCGGGGGCATCTGGGGGGCGGCGGGGCCTCTCCAGCCGCGGGGGCCTCTCCAGCTCTGGGGCTCCTCTGAGCGGGGCCTGCGCGGTGAGGAGCGGCCCCTACTGCGGGCAGGAAGCAGCGCGGGAGGGGGAACCGCAGGGCAGACCCGGGCCGGCATCGCCTCCGGGGACGGGCCCGCTGTGCCCGGGAGGGGTCAGGGCCCTAGAGGCGGCGGCAGCGCGTGGACCAGGCCCCGACTCAGGGTCCCGGGCAGGAGCGTGGACTTCGTGCATTCGGAAGCCGCCGGTCGAGGCTCGGTGGCTGCTGCGGGGGCAGCGGGTGGGGAGGGCAGGACGCACCTCTGTCTACACCCGCTTCACCCGCTTAACGACACGAATCAGCGTCCTCCGCGCAGGGACCCGGAGCTGGCTGGAGGCGTCCGCAGAAGACCCGCGCCGGGGCCGAGGGCCGCGTGGGGGCCGCAGACTTGCAGGGAGCGCAGCCCCAGGTGGGCAGGGCCGAGGCGGGGACCTGAAGCCGGGGAGGGAGGCCCAGGGCGGGCTCCGCGCGTCCAGCCGCGGGTGGGTGTCTGCGCCGCTGGGGGTTCCAGAGAATTCTCAACCGTCCCCCTCTCTCCCCCCGGGACAGCGTCTCTATTCCAACCTGGCACGGACGCCAGGAGCTCGCGCTACGAGTCATTTTAAAAAGAAAACACAATTTACGTGTGAAAGTCGAGACGAGAAAGCTCGCGGGTGCCCGTTAGGATTTGTGGGGTGAGACGGGAGAATTCACACCAGTCCCAGCTGCCCTCCAGGGAAACAGAACCCACGAACGTGTCACGTCTGCGTTTATCGATAACCGCGTGTGCGCGGAGGGGCTGTGCTCAGTGTCCCGCGTGAGGCTCCCGGGAGAGCTCCCTCCCCTTCCGCGTCTGGCTCTGGGAGGGCCCTGGGCGGCCAATCAGGATCCCCATTGCCTTCGCCGAAGTGCTGTGTCCGGTGCAGGCCTGTGACCCACGTGGCCTCCAACAGGGTCCCTGTTTATCGCGCTGTCGTGGTCGTGGGGTTTGAGGAAGAAAGCCCAGCGCTGGCGCCATTTGGTCTCCCATCCAAGTTCTAACCGGGTCCGACCCTGCTTAGCTTCCGAGATCAGATGAGCTCGTAGGCGTTCGGGGGGCATGGCCGTAGACTTTGGCCACTTGGTACCACGGTGGGCTGAGGGGCTGCGGGTGGGAAGGCGATTTGAGGAGCACATTTGCAGGCAGCAGACTGTGGCTTCCAGAACCGACTGTGCCCGAGGATAAGGCCTGAACTTCAACAACCTGCAAGTGGGTTGAGCAACCCGTTTCACCGTTGAGGAGACAGAGCGCTGGCCCAGCCTGGACCCGGAGCTGAGGTGGGTCCTGCAGAAGCCGTGGGGGGCCCGGACTGTGCATGGGAAAAGGGCCACACCAGGGGCTGCAGGACCCCTTCCTGATTCCCCCAGGACGGGGCGCCTGTCATTTGTCTACAACCCATTTTCCCTGGGCCTTCTCCTCCGGCTTCCCCCGCATGAAGGAGTTTGCTGCGAAGCACGGAATTCCAGCAAGGCTGGGAAATCCACGCAGGCCCAGCGCCCAGTGCCCCAGGGCCCCAGTGCTATGGGTCCCACAGGATCCGCTATTTGGGGTGAAGGCCCTGGGTGTCCCCGGGGGGCAGAGCTGGGCTCTCTCCTGCTTGGAGAAGGGTGTGCTTTTGTTTCAGAGCTGTGGGAGCAGACAACATTTCTGAAGGTTGCAATTTTTGTTTTTTAGCAAAAATTCCTTTCTAAAATGTATGAGCCCGAGCAACACATTCATTTTTGTGATACGGAGTGAAATCAGGCATGAATTTTTCACGTTTCTTTTCTCATTCATTGGGCGTTAGGTGTACCACTCCTCGGCTTGTCAAAATGTTTTAATTTGTGGATTTGTTTTTTAAAAGTGTACGATTGGCAGGGAAGTGGAGGAGGGTTTCCCTCCTGAGAACACCCACCACGTAGACAGGAGGCCCCAGTGCCAGCTCGGGACTTGGGGGTGGGAAGTATTTAACTGGGATGGGGAATCCCCTGCATGACAGGTTCCTGTTTCCTGGCTCACCTGGAGGCTCCTGCAGTTGGCCAGATGAGACCCTGACGTGGAAACAAATCTCTCGGGCACAGGCACACTTCAGGGTGAGTGCAGCCTTCACAGGGGATGGGGCCTCACTGGGCTCTGAAGGCCAGGGCCACCTCCTCCTCCTCCTCCTTCCCAGGGACTCCAGGAATCCCCTCCCCATTCCCATCCCCCAAACCTCTATCCTCCATCCCAGGCTTTAAAGAGGTGCATTCACCTGTTGAAGATGGTGGTCCAGGCAGGAAAAGAGCAGGGGCTGCTGCTGACTTGTTCCCCAGGAGCACAGGAGAGGAGGCTTCGAGACCCACATGTGTCCTGTGGCTGCTCCACCCACACCGGGGTCTGACCCCAGCGGATCAGCAGAGAGAGCGGCCCAGAGCAGGAGGCCCAGCCCAGGGCAGCTGGGGTCTGCAGGGCTCCCCTCCAGAGGCCGCACCTCAGACCTTGGCAGCAGCCCCCAGCTCTGTGGATCCTCCAGGAGATTTTCCCAAGCTCCAGCCCCAACCCTTTAATTCACACTGGGAAGAGCCTCAAAGAACCCGGCAGGGACGGAGCTCCCCCGACCCTCTGGGCAAAGATCAACTTGGTTAAAAGGGCCTCCAGCTGAAACCCATCTCCTGGGGAAATGTATTAAAACAGAAACTCTGCTAGGAAGATTGTTTTGCTCAGACGTTCTTCTCCTCCTGGGTTTCTGCTTTTACAATCTTGACCTGAACTAAATTTAATGCAGAAACCTTCACTGGTTGCTGGGAGAGCAGAGTGGAGGTTTAAGTGAGAAAACTAATTTCAAAGAACTGTAGGGGAAGGAAAACTTTTCCTCTACTCTCTCACCTTCAGTGGCTGGGGGCCTGTGAGTTAAACGGATGAAAGTTATTAACAGGAAGAAATTGGCTGGGTACCGTAGCTCATACCTATAATCCCAGCAATTTGGGAGGCCAAGGCGGGTGGATCACCTGAGGTCGGGAGTTCGAGACCAGCCTGACCAACATGGAGAAACCCTGTCTCTACTAAAAAATACAAAATTAGCCAGGCATGGTGACACATGCCTGTAATCCCAGCTACTTGGGAGGCTGAGGCAGGAGAATCACTTGAATCTGGGAGGTGGAGGTTGCGGTGAGCTGAGATGCGCCACTGCCCTCCAGCCTGGGGAACAAGAGTGAAACTGTCTCAAAAAAAGACAAAAAATCAACAGGAAAAAAGCATGCATTTGGAATTTTAAACTTAACGTGCATGAGGGTGTCCCAGAAATAAGCAAATACCAGAGGAGCAGTGAGATTCTGGAGCTCACATCTCGTCCTAACGGGGGTAGGGAGGGCAGAGGCGCACTTACGGAAACGCAAAGGACTTTATTGAGAGATAAATGGGCCCTCAGGAGGGCAGATGGGAGACATGGTCCTTTGTGACAATGTCTGCCGGGATGTGGGGGGGCTTCTCCCCTCCAAGAAGAGAAGATTACAGTTGTTCCTGGGGAGACACTTAGGACAATGGAGTTGTTTGGGGGAGGCTCTGGTTTTAGGCAGATAAAGAATTTTAGGAACTCCAATGCTTTCTGCTCAAAAGAATTCTGCTGCCAAAATGGCATACCTCAGGTTGGCACTTCCTGATTCCCTCTAGAGCCTTGCGATGAACTGTAGACCTCTTCCTGTAAACACCACCACCACACACAAGTGAAAAGAGAAGGTCAGATTGAGGAGCGACGTTTGCCTCATGCTTAATAGTCAACAGTTTGGTACATGCAACCTCTAAGTGGCTTCCATAAATGAATAACAAACAGAAAGAAAGAGCGATAGAAAAATGAGCAGATATTATGAGCAGGTAATTCACAGAAAAGGAATATCAAAAAACAGTTAAGCAAAAGAAAAGATGTCCCCCCTCACTAATAATCAGCCAGACAGTGAATTCAGCAGGTGTGTGACATTTTTGCCTGCCAGCTCCACGCTAATGTACTAAGATGTGCAGACAGCAGCCTGGGGAGACCAGCTGCACCTCCCTTAATGCAGTAGCTCTGGGCCAGGCATGATGGCTCCTACCTGTAATCTAAGCACTTTAAGAGGCCAAGGCAGGAGGATCATTTGAGGCCAGGAGTTCAAGATCAGCTGGGCAGCATAGTGACCCCCATCTCTATAAAAAAGAAAAAAGAAAAAAAAGCAGTGGCTCCAAAGCCTCCCATGGAAAACTTCTCATCATGTGGGCAAGGCAGAAGCTTCATTAGTAAAATGATTCAGCACCTGCCATCTGATGTCCATTCTCCAATCCCTTAGCCAAGTGCAACTCAAATGCCATTGATCATGGCCTATTTCAGGGACACAAGTTTCCTTGCATTAATCACTCTTTCCAGGATGCCAGGCACACTGACCCCCTTGGTACAGGGTCAGGGGACCCACCTGTGTCTCCTCCTTGTCTGGGGGAAGTTTACATGCTCTATGGAGGGCGTGCTGCTGAGGGCAATACCAGAAGGGAAGTTTTCTATAGGGGACCTCAGCTCCTGTTTATAAAGAGGGAGTCCAGGATAGGGGAGATGGCCCCTGGGAGGGGAATGTCTCCACATACCTAATAATTTGAGATGATTATAACAATAATAAGTATATTTCATCCAGCGTTTGTGGTGGGATTGTCTGTGCTCTGAGACTTGTCATGATCTCACCACATTCTCTTCTCTCTCTGGGATACCAACATCACCATCATCACCATTACCATCATCATCATCATCACCATCACCATCATCACCATCATAATCATCATTATAACCACCACCATCATCACCATCATCACCACCACCATCACCATTATCATCATAATCATAACGATCATCACCATCATCAACATCATTATCACCATAACCATTGCCATCACCATCATAATCATTATAACCACCACCATCATCCCATCGTCATCACCACCACCATCATCACCATCACCATCACCACCACCATCGTTACTATCATAATCATAATAATCATCACCATCATCATTAGCGTCATCACCATCATCACCATCATAATCATCATCACCACCACCATCATTATCATCATAATAATCATCACCATCATCATTATCATCATCACCACCATCACCATCATCATCATCACCACCATCACCATCATCATTATCATCATCACCACCATCACCATCATCATCATCATCACCATCATCATCATCATCATGATGACAATCATGACCGTCGTAGTCATCATTATCACCACCATGATCATCACCATCATCGTTATCACCATCATCACCACCACCATCATCATCATCATAATCATAAAATCATCACCATCAACATCATTATCACCATCATCATCACCATCACCATCATCATCACTATCATCATCACCATCATCACCACTACCACCATCATCATCATTGTAACAATCATCATCATCGTCAATATCATTATTACCATCATCATCACCATCATCACATCACCATCATTACCATCATCATCACCATCACCATTATCATCACCATCATCACCATCATCCTCATCACCATCATCACTATCATCATCACCATTATCAACATCATCATCATTCCTATTTCACAGCTGAGGAAGTGGAGGAGAGGAGGAGGAGAGGGCTCACCTCTGTCAGGAAATGACCAGGAAGTGGCTCCCATGGCCCTCTTATCTTAGTGCATTGGTCAGAAATGGGTCACTTGGTCACATGAGGCCACAAGGAGGGCTGGGGAAGGTTGTCCTCACTCTGGGTAGCCATGGGTCCAGTTCCCACTCAGGGCTCTAATCCACAGGTGAGGCAGATGTGGAGGGAGGGTTTGAGAGTCTTCAGTTCTGAGAAGCTCCTGGTGATGCTCATGCTGCTGGTCCCAGAGTAGCAGAGCTTTAGGGGCTCAAATTCCCCATTTTCCTTCACTGTGAGAGGTACCTGCTTAGGGGCCATGGGAGAGTCCCTTTTATCCCATAACTGATTGTTGCTCAGGGTCCTCTCTGCAGAGCCCCCGGTCGACTCCCAGGGACAGACCTGTAAGGTTTCTCAGCTAATTGTGGCAGCATTTCCTGCAGTGGATTCATCCCCAGAATGTGGCACCGGGCTGCCTGTGCCTCTCTTTGTTTTCCTGTTGCTGATGCGGTGCCTGGGATAAGAGTGCAGAGCTGGCTTGGAAGACGGGAATTTCTCCTGTCGATATCAATCACGTCTAGTGTATTGCTGAACCTGCCTCATTACAATGTCAAATGTGTTCAGAGATGGGAGCTTAAACTGCCATTATCCTTACCCATATCTCTCTCTGCCTTGAACTTCTGTAAGCAATGAATTTGAATCCCAGGACAGGGATGAGAAGGTGCTGAGTTCCAAAATGAGGGGATAGGCTTTGTGGCATCCTGGGCAGAGGAGTTTATGTGTTTAGTGTGCAGGCACCACGGCGGGGGATCACCCCACAATGAACCCGGCCACAGGGCCATGGATGGGACACATCTCTCAGCGGGGACCCAGGGACAGTGTCTCCATCACCTCCATCCCAGCGACCCTCTACTCACACCTGCAGTCAAATGTCTGCTCCTCCCTGTGAAGGGCGAGGGGGCCATGGAATCCCTGACTGCACAAAAGGCTGAGCACTGCACACACCTGGAGATCTCAGGCCCCTGCCCTCTGGCTGAGCCAGGGGGAAAGGGGATTTTTCCTGGAATTCAACTCTCTGCACCGTGGCCACCCCTTGAAGGACTCACAGACTCCCCTGATTCAGCCTCATGGCATCTCAGGGAGGTTGGGCAGCTTCCCTCTGCAGCTGGAGGCCGAGTGCCTCTCCCACCTCCAATCCTGCCCTTCAGCAAACTGACTGACAGGCAAAGGAATCAACCCAGAGCCTCCAGAAGCTTCCAAGTCCCAGCCAGGGGAGCCACACCTGCCCAGATGCTGCAGAAGAGCAGCACTCAGTCATGGCCTGCGCTATTTCACACAAGAGGAAACTGGGTTTGGGAGAAGGAAGGGGCTACGCAGACTTAAACAGACACGGCTTTAAGCAAAGATAAACTCACAGAGCAGAGAAGGTGTTCTCTACGCTCTGCTTTGTCCAGATTTTAGAATCATGAATGTGTGACCTGAGACCCTATTAATTAGACGCTTTAATGTGATGACTAAAATTGGTCAAAAATTTAGATTAGCCAATTCACAAAAGAGGATTCTCACATGTCCCATAAGCACAGGGACAGTTGTGCAGCATCGCCAGACATCAGGGAAGTAAAAATTAAACCATAGTGAGACTCCAGTCCATGCCCACAAGAATGGCTGGAATTGGAACAGCTGACCTCCTGCTGAAGACCAAGTGGGGCCCTTGCAACTCCTGCGTGTAGCTGGGAGGAGTGTGCAATGGTGCACCCCCCTAGGACACCCTTTTGGATGGCTTCTGGGGAGGAGTGTGCAACGGTGCACCCCCTAGGACACCCTTTTGGATGGCTTCTGGGGAGGAGTGTGCAATGGTGCACCCCCCTAGGACACCCTTTTGGATGGCTTCTGGGGAGGAGTGTGCAATGGTGCACCCCCTAGGACACCCTTTTGGATGGCTTCTGGGGAGGAGTGTGCAATGGTGCACCCCCCTAGGACACCCTTTTGGATGGCTTCTGGGGAGGAGTGTGCAATGGTGCATCTCTAAGACACTCTCTTGGATGGGTTTTGTGGAGGAGGGTGCAACGGTGCACCCCTAAGAAACCCTCTTTGGTGGGTTTTGTGGAGGAGTGTGCAATAGTGCACCCCCAAACACCCTCTTGGATGGGTTTTGTGGAGGAGTGTGCAATGGTTCACCCCTAGACACCCTCTTGGATGGGTTTTGTGGAGGAGGGTGCAATGTCGGACCCCTAAGACACCCTCTTGGATGGGTTTTGTGGAGGAGGGTGTAATGGTGCACCCCTAAGGCACCCTCTTTGATGGCTTCTAAGGTTACACATAGAACAATCCCATGACCCAGAAAATCCATTCCTGGGAACGTAAGAAAAATCCATAAATATGTCCACAACAAACAACTGCACGAGAATGACACAATAGCTTTGTTCAAAATAGTGAAACCCAGAAACAACCCAGGCAAATGCAGAAACAAATAGCAGAATCTTCATACAATGCAACGTTACTCTACGATCACTCCTGAGAAAGACAGTTTTAGGGAGAAATCTCAAGAAATTATGTTGAGAAAAAAATGGGAGTCCTGAAATACTACACGTCACAGAATTCCATTTATATCCAGTTCCTGTCACTTAGGTTTCCAAACAGGCAAGACTGTGTGGAAACAGAGCACAGGAAAAGTGACCTCTGAGTGTGGACTGGAAAGGGCATGAGGGGCTTCCTGGGGGTGGTGTCTGTGCCTCAACTTGGGGGCGGTCACAAGGCCTGTACATATGTAAAGTCCCGTCCATCTGTACTCATAAGATTTGTTATTTTACTGAGTGTAAATGATGCCTCAAATAACTACTAAAAAGGGATGATGGTAAATCCTGCCTGATCCTTCAAACCCCATCTCCTCCTGCCCCGCCCTCAACCCTTTCCTTAATCTCCCAGCCACACACCATCCCCTAGAGCAAAGATGTTGTTTTTGCTGTTTTTTCCCCATACGTGGATTCAAGATCAATGCAAATATCAACTGTACATTTGAAGATTAAAGTGAAAGTCATTCTTGACTCCACCCCATCCTTTCCCTCCTGCTCACCACATTCCTATTCATTTCCAGAGAAACACTGTGGCCTGGTGGGGGTGGGGGTGTCTCTTCTTCCAGAGGGTCTCTAAGCTTTTACATCCATACATCCATATGGATGGAAATAAGTGCCCCTTTCACCATGGCTTTTATAAACACACACACACACACACACACACACACAAACATCACACTGGGGCCATGTCTTCTTCCTTGCTTGTTTTGTAGAATAGCAAGACTTAGAAATCTTTCCATATGCATATGTATAGTGCTACCATTTTGCATCAGCTGCTACACAATATTCCATAACATGGACATACCGTAGGCTGTATTTAACCAAATCACCCTCGGAAGAGACTAAAGTTTTATTTTTCCCCACGTCTCCAGGATGACTGTCGACGTGGCAGCACACATTCTAGCACCCGCCTCCTTTGCCCATGCTCAGGTAGATGCTGAGAAGTGAAATTGGGAACCATGGCATGTGTGCACTTTTTGTGTCAATAGATACGTCAGATGGTTCTCCAGAAAAGACCATTCGAACTTACATTCACACAAACAGCATACGTGAATCCTCTTTCCGCACATCTTGGCTAATACTTTTTTTTTTTTTTTTTGAGACAGAGTCTGGCTCTGTTGCCCAGGCTTGAGTGCAGCGGCATGATCTCGGCTCACTGCAACCTCCGCCTCCCAGGTTCAAGCGATTCTCCTGCCTCAGCCTCCCAAGTGGCTGGGACTACAGGCCTGTGCCACCTCACTTGGCTAACTTTTTATATTTTTAGTAGAGACGGGGTTTCACCATTTTGGCCAGGCTGGTCTCGAACTCCTGACCTCATGATCCACCCGCCTTGGCCTCCCAAAGTACTGAGATTACAGGCGTGAGCCACTGCACCTGGCCACTTGGCTAATACTTGACATGATCATTTCCTCACTTCTGCCCATCAGATAGGTGAAACGTTGTATCTTGTTTTAACTTGTTTGCCCTCATTCCTAGTGAGTTGAGCATTTTTCTATGTTGCCCTTTGTCATTTCTCTCCCATAAATTGTTTGTTTATATCCTTTACCTGAATTTTTGCTGGGTTGTTTATCTTTTCCATATTACTCTAGGGAGGCGTTTACAGATTCTGTGTGTGAATCTTTTGTTCTATGTCGTGTAATGTTTTCTGCGAGTCTGTGGCTAATCTCTTCACTGTACTGATATGGAAATTTTAAATGTCGATGTAGACAAAAGTATGTATTTTTCATTTTAGCCCTGTGTATTTTTGTCTTGTTTAAGGTCTTTTGATACCCAGGTTACATTTTCTTTCTTTCTTTCTTTCTTTTTTTTTTTTTTGAGACGGAGTTTCACTCTTGTTGCCCAGGCTGGAGTGCAGTGGTGTGATCTTGGCTCACTGCAACCTCTGCCTCCTGGGTTCCAGCAATTCTCCTGTCTCAGCCTCCCGGGTTCCAGCAATTCTCCTGTCTCAGCCTCCCAAGTAGCTTGGATCATAGGCGTGTGCCACCACACTCAGCTAATTTTTGTATTTTTAGTAGAGACGCGGTTTCATCATGTTGGCCAGGCCGGTCTCGAACTCCTGACCTCAAGTGATCCACCTGCCTTGGCCTCCCAAAGTGCTGGGATTACAGGCATGAGCCACCGAGTCCGGCCCATTTTCTTATATTTGTGTGCATTGTCTGTATAGTTCTGCTTGATGTTTAGGTCATAAGTCTGTCTTTGTTTTGGGGAAGAGCGGGAGGTTGAGGCTTGATTTTATTTTTCTCCCACAGAATAGGCAAGCATCTCAACACCATTCATTGCCACCCATTAGGGTGTGAACAGCTCCCTTATTGCATCTTAAGTTCATGGCACATGGCTCTGTCTCTGAACCTTCCATTACATCCTATTGATCTCTTCCTCTACTTCCGTTGGTGCCACGGTGTTTCATTCACAACGTCTTTATTATCTATTGAAAACGGGGGGAGAATCACTGCTCTCCACTCTTCTTTCTCTTCCTCTCTCTCTTCCTCTCTTTTTGCACTGTTTTAGCACTTACTCTTCATGGTGTATTTAGAATCTATTTGCAAATGTCCCTGACAACGTGTGTGGAGATATGGATTGACGCTGTGCAGAACGTGTGGATTTGAAAGGGAAGAACGGACGGTTGTGCACTCTCAGGCTCCCTGCTCAGGAGTGGAGCAACTTCCTCCTCCCTCTCTTGAGAGCACGGTAACGTCTTGCAGGAGAGTTTTACAATCATCTTTACAAAGATCTCACTCATTAATTAGGTTTACTAGCACATGTTTCAAAGGTCTTGCTGCTATTGTAAACGAAATCTTACGTATTCTATTGCGTCTTCTAATCAGACAGTGCTGATCAGTAAGAAGTGTTCTGTATTTGCAATTTTTCTTTTAGTCCCTATGATTTATGGTGTTGGTTAATTAGGTTTTCTATGTGGGCCATGATATATCTGCAAATATTGTTAATGGTGTCTCTTCCTTTTCGATATCTATGCTTAGTTTTTCCTTGTTCTGTGCATTATCAAGGACCTATATTAAATACTGTTTGTGATAGTGATAGCAGGCATCTTTACTATGTTCTTGACTTCAAAGGAACAGCTTCTGATATGTTTTTTCTTTTTTAAGACAGGGTCTCGTTCTGTCACCCAGGCTGCAGTGCAGTGGCATAATCATGGCTCACTGCAGCCTCAACCTCCCAGGCTCAATCAATCCTCTCACCTCAGCCTCCTGAGTAGCTAGAAATACAGCCACCCACTACCACACCTGGCTAATTATTTTTGTACTTTTTTTTGGTAGAGATGAGGTTTTGCCAGGTTGGCCAGGCTGGTCTCGAACTCTTGGGCTCAAGCGATCCACCCATCTTGGCCTCCCAAAGTGCCGGGATTTCAAAATGACACATGACAATAACCATTTTCTCCGTTTTCTGAATGTTGCGTGTTTACAATACCCTGGATTGTATTCCTGTTTAGTGCCAAAAAATGGTTTCAAAATTATAATCCAATTCCTTGCAGGCCAAAAGGATGCTGGAATAAAACAAACCAGAGCTTCTTCCCCAAATCCCAGTGAGGTTCCTGCCTCTGGGCAGGAAGGAGTGGCCTTTGCTCCTGGGGAAAGGAACTAAAGAGGATTCTGGAGGACTCTGGGCTCCCACAGCCTCTGGGACTCTCAGGCCTCCTCTAGGGGGAAACATGGCCAGAGCCTGGGGAAGACAAATTGAATGCTGCACACGCTGACCGGCTGTGGCCCCTCACCTCACAGCCTAGGAGCTACTTGCTGTAAGGCCAGTGTGCAGATGAGGGACATTGGTCTCCACAGTGTTCAACCATTCAGCCAAGATCACGGCCAGTGAGCTGTGGAGAAGGAACCCACATCTGCCTGGATCACGATTCTTTCCACCACTGGGTAGAAGGTAAGTGAGGAATCTGAGTGTCTGGCAGCATTTCTGGAAAATAACTGAGTATTATCATTAGAAGACATTATCATTAGAACCCAAGGGAATTCTTGGTGAAGACCCATGCTTGTCATACCCAGTCCTACATGGGACTGGCCAAGGCCACTGCTCAGCCAAGGGGAAGCTATATGTTCGAGAGACAAGGGGCTCAGCGAATCCTGTGCTGTTCCCATGGGGGGAACCCTACACAGACCCAGGCACCAGGGCGTCCACCAAAATAATGGTGAGGAGGAGGACAGAGAGGAGAGGGGAGGTGCAGTCACCAGGCTCCCCACTTTGGTGGAGCAGCAAAAATAATGGCGAGGAGGAGGACAGAGAGGAGAGGGCAGGTGCAGTCTCAAGGCTTCCGCTTTGGTGTAGCAGCAAGGGACACATTTCTCCCTAGTGTCTTAGAGGAGCATGAATTAAGAATGTATGATTTGAAAAAAAGTAAAAGTGGTTGGGCACGATGTCTCATGTCTGTCATCCCAGCACTTTGGGAGGCAGAGGCAGGTGGATCACCTGAGGTCAGGAGTTCAAGACCAGCCTGGCCAACATGGTGAAACTCTGCCTCTACTAAAAATACAAAAATTAGCCAGGCATGGTGGCACACGCCTGTAGTCCCAGTTAGTTGGGAGGCTGAGGCAGGAGAATCGCTTGAACCCAGGAGGTGGAGGTTGCAGTGAGCTGAGATTGTGCCACTGCACTCCAGCCTGGGTGACAGAGCGAGACTCCGTCTCAAAAAAAAAAAAAAAAAAAAAAAAAGTAATAAAAGTAAGACGTTTAAAAAGGGATTTCCAGGTTTCAGTTCACTGTCTCATTGCAGTTGAGCTGCTGGCCTCAAGAAAATTCCATGGTCTCTGGAGGACCTGGCTATGCAGACAGTGGTCGGTGGACATCCCAGTCATTTAATACCAACCACTTGGCCCAAGGGGAAGCAGTCACTTGTGGCCCTCCGGGGGGTCTTATCCCATGGGAGCAAGTGAGGAACATTGCCAACCTCTCCGTCACAAGTGAGTGGCCCATTGTGTGTAGATCACCAATAAGAACCCCCATGTGGTCCCCACAGGCCTGTGAATAGACAGAGGTAGCAGGATCAGGTCCCATCTTCTGGCAAGGGTCTTAGGATGAAACTATAGGTGTAGAAAGATGCTCCCAGTCTGAGCCAGATGCATGCCTTGGAAGGCCCAGCGGGGAAGCTGTGGTCATGGTCCCGCCTCTCCACATGCTGTCAGCAGTTATGCTTGTCAGATATGTTTGGTTCTCATCCTTCTGGGCACAAGGAAAAGACTGCACATCCTGGCTCCTTGTGGTTGGGTGGGGCCAGTGACAGGCTCTGACCAATGAGTGTTGAGTGGAAATGACACTACAATATCCATGTCAAAGCGACGAATTGTCCACGTGAGACTCCCTGGGACACCCCTTCCTTCAGGCACAGCAGCCAGCAGTGTTCACATGTCCTCCTGCCACGGGCGGAGCCTCCCTGCTGACATGTGGTGGCCGTGCAACATGCATGAGGAAGAAGCTTTTACACCGCTGAAGGCGGGTTTTTTTTTTTGGTCACTGAAGCAGAGCTTAGCCTATGCTGACTATTGCACCTCTAATTCTTCTCCTCTTTGGGGGACCCAAAACTCTAGCATTTCCTTGCACATAGTGGAAGTGCAATTAATGGATGGATGGGTGGATCATAGAATGGCCCAAAGCCCTCCAGAATCTCAGCAGTGGCCCAAGAGCTGGTCACTCACAAAGTACGGAGTTTCTTCTTTCCCCAGATCATGCTGCCTGTGTGGTGTTATTCTCACAACGGAGGCCAGTCTTGGGAAGGGCAAGTAAGCTGTAACCCAAATAGTGGGATGTTGTACAGAAGGAAGATGTCTCCCCTGATCAAAATTACCTTCTTTCCATCCAGCCAGGTTACCGGTTCCTCCAGGTGCAGAAACATGGGCCAGTGGCTGAGTCCCGGCTCCACGAGGAGATGTTGGGAGAAGGCAGCACACATTGAGGAGAAGCAAGGAGGTAGAGGCAACTTCTCAAACCTGTGTGTGTGTGTGTGTGTGCGTGCATGGGGGTGAGCATGGGGATGAGTGAACATGTGAGTGTGCATGTCTGTGAGCGTAAGAGTGTAAGTGTGCATGTGTGTTAGTGTGTGGGTGTGAGCATGTGTGAGAGTGAGTGTGCAGGGCAGTGAGTGTGTAGGTGTGCATGTGGGTGTGATTGCGAGTGTGCGTGCTGTGTTAGTGAATGTGAGTGTATATGTGTGAGGGTGCATGAATGTGAGTGTGAGTGTGTGTGGATGTATGTGAGTGTGCATGTGTGTGAGAGTATGCATGGCTGTGAGAGTGAGTGCATGTATGTGAGTGTGTGTGAGGATGTTTGAGTATGCATGTGTGCACAAGTGTGAGTGGGCATGAGTGTGTGTGTGTAAGTTAGTGAGTGTGTGCATATGTGCATGAATGTGAGTGGGCATTTCTGCCACTTCAAGCTGAAGCCGAGCCCTGACTGACACAGTTTTCTTATTTCTCCGGGAGCAGCACCACTCCTGATGGTCCCCTCCAGAGCCCCAGGAAACTCTTGTTAGCAATCTTAGATTAAATTCAGAGTTTCTGGATCACGACAGGAAGCTGTGTCCAGCACGAAGGTGTCCTGTGAACAGGCTCAATCACAAGCTCTGCAGAGACGGGAAGTGACAGAGGCCCCAGAAAGCCAGTTCCCGACAACGCCAATACTGCACGTTTATCAGCTGCGGCAAGAGCCGGCCAGAGGCGGTGGCAGCACCTCAATGCCCTTGCCTCGTCTTCAAGATTCTTCTGTTTGATGTTGCGTCCTCACTGTTCCTCTGCTGAGGAGCTGTAGTGTGGCTCACAACTACGCGATGACTCTCCAGATTCAAAGACCACATCTCACCCTCTCTAAAGCCCCAGGGGCCCAGCGCAGTGCCGAGTGCAGAAGGATTGATGAGCATTTGCTGAGCCGGGTGCTAATCCCATGGGCATTGTTTCCTCTGCCCTCAGTCTCCAGCCTGCAGACGCCTGAATGGATTCTGGAGAGGTGTGCGTTGGACTCTGAAGGTCCTCTGAGCCCATCCAGGATAAAGATGCTCTCTCCCAGGCGTCTGCTCAGCCGCCGGCTATCGGCAGGACATTGCGCACCAGGTATCTTCAAGCTGCTTCTGGCTGGATTTAGGGCATGATGGAAACATCAAAACAACTGTAGTTCTGCCACGGGGTCCCACATCTGCTTATCCTGGGACAGCCACGCAGTCCCCACCCAGGAAGCGGCAGCAGGTTTCAGCACCCTGGAGAGGGCCAGGCCCCTGTGGCTGGTCAAGCTCCTCAGTGTTAAGGGAGCAGCTCAGGAAGGCCCCGCCCAGGACGATGAGGGGACCAGGAATGAAGTCAGCAGGTGAGCGGGAGGAACTTGACTCAGAGCAGTGGGAGGGCAGGAAGCGTGCTGGGGAGGAACCCTTGAGGGGCCACCACCTGGGGAAGCGCCTGCTGTCCCAGGGACAAGGGAAGGCTCCTCCTTGATTCCCAGAAGGACAGAGTGGCTGCAGTCAAATCCATCCACAGGGCAGATTTTCCCCACGGCCCTGTCCCCTGACCCTAGTGGCCCTCCCACAGACATGCCCTGGCAGGGCCCAGGACACTGGCCCTCGATGGGCCCTGAGCCAGTGCCACCTGTGTGTGCACTGATGAAGGTCACGCACTTTATTGGAGGAAGGAGGAGCAGAAAGAGGAGAAGGAAACGTTAACTCCTAAATCACAAGGCAGAAAGGATTCCTGAAACAAATCAGCCAAATCTGCCTCCTAGGTGGTTCCAGACCTGCCCCCTCCCCTCCCCGTTTCTTAGGGCGCGGCAGTAACATTTACCCGGCTCCACTGCACATCCTCCTGACCCTGGCCCTGCGCTCTTGGCCTCTGCACATCTCATGGCTGGCACCTCCGTGCGCGCTCTCATTTCATGTTTCACCTTCAAATTGTCCTCTGTGAACACGTGTATGCATGCACATTTATTGATCTATTTGTTTATATTTGTTTGATGATTCAGTTGCAGTCTCTTTTCATTAGAAAGCTAGGCTTGTTCCAAGCATAATATGTGCTTGACTTCTTTTGAAAATGAAAGCACCTGAAACCTCCCACAGCTAATTAGCCTGCCAGGATTTGTTTAATGGCAGAGACAGAAAAATCCCCTCAATGCAGCCACGCAGCTCAGCAAGAGGGCGGAGGGAAAGATGCACCCCAGCCCCTTGACTCAGGTATTTAAGAGGAAAACACGTCCTTCCGGGATGGGCAGAGGGCGGTGGCCTGCAGGCCGGCATGGGTTGGCAGGAACGCCTGGGCTGACAGCTTTTCCTTCTGCCTTTCTGCTTCGCGTCTGTCTCCCCAGAGACAGCAAATATGCCCAGCACCACGGTGGGCACGGAGACTCAGCCCCAGCCCTGAGAAGCGGCCCCAGGTCCTGAGTTATTTAACAAGCAGAAGTGAGTAAATGATGTCCGAGGCTCCATCCCTCCCATCCCTGCTGATGGCTCATCAGTCACAGGCAGTTACAGGGAACGGGGGAAGCCACCATCAGGGAGGTCCATTTCCTGCAGGATAGATGATTCGAATTAATATTTCCACCTCCAATCCAAATCATGAAAACAAGACATTACATTTGATTACAGCCAATCAAAATAGCAGTCATCCTACCTTGGAGTGATCTCCTGCCTTATGTGGGCGAAGCCTCCAAGTCTTTCCATGTTATTTCCTCATTTGTGCCTAAAAAGTTCCTTCTAGGGAAGAAGGGCCCGTCATCATCCTGCCCACTGTGCAGATGGAGAACCCAAGACTCAGAGGTGCTTTCATGCACTTCCCAACCTCCCAGAGGCCTGGAGAGCAGGGGCCAGCTGTGCTTCTCCTCCCGTGCTCTGCTCCTGAGCCAGGAGTTTCCCCAGCCAGGCCCCTGCCCCAGGCCCAGGCTGGGCCATGATTTCTTCCTTAGCCTGCCTCGCTCTCATCCTCTGGCCTCCAAGAACAGGGCGCCTCCCTTCTTCCAGGCAGCCGAGCCCAAGCCTCTCGCTTCTACGCAGCCTTTCAGGAAGTCCCTGTGCTTCTGCCTTTAGAATAACCTTAGCGGCAGACGTGTCCCAGTGCTGCTTTCCTGAGATTCACCCTGGGATCCTCTTCCGCACCCATGGCCTCTCCTTGTGGTCTTGCAGGACACACCCCAGGCTGCTGCCTGCATCCAGGCCCTGCACTCCCCACACAACTGCCTGGGGTCCCTCCCCAGCCTGTGTCAGAGGATGTCACCCTCTGCTTGTACCCTGCAGGGGCTACACCTGCCCTTCAGAACCTGTGCCATCCCAATGGCAGCAGAGGAGGCCTTGGTCCTCCCCAAGGGCCTGTGCACTCCCCGGGGCCCCTGATCCCTGCAGGGGGTTGTGCCTGTGCCCTGTGACCAGTTCTGGTGCATGGGCTGTGAACTGTAGGGACAGGAGAGGGCCCAGGGAGCTCCCCATCCTCTCTCCCAGAGGCTGGTCTGGGTTCTGTCCCTGCACCACAACTTCCACACCCCTGCAGGCTTAAAACAGCCCCAGTTATGGTCTCACGATTCCTGTGGTGCGGCCTGGGCAGCCCTTTCCTCTCTCACACAAGAAACTCCAAGGAAGGAAGCAGAGAAGGAGCCCAGACCTCCTGTTCTGAGGTTGTCCCCAGACCATCCTGTCCTGCAGGCCTCCCGTGGTCAGGCAAACAAAGGGCACCCTAACAATAGACTCAGCAGGGCAGTCCCAGCAGGGGCATACCAGGCTTGCTGGCTGTCCCCAGTCCAAGGCCCCCTCTGTCTTCTTGAGCCCACCAGGGGGTGGTCCAGCCCCAGGAGGCCCTTCCTCTCTTCAGGGCCACAGTCACTGGGGACCCATCTGTGTTCATGGTGCTGCCTGTGCCTGCTCTGGTGTCTGATGGGGCTGAGACAAGCCCCACTGTGAGCTGAGTCCCAGAGAAGGCGGCAGGGAGGGGGTGGGGAGTGGAGGAGCACTAAGAATTCCATGCAAACGATATGCAAATGAGCAGCACATGCTCGGGTTTGGATCCTGTTTTCTTCCTGGCCTCATTCCTGCTGGACTGTGAACCTGCCCTACTTTCTGTCTCCCAGTTATAGACTTTTTGGGAAAAAACATTTTTAGCTACCAGCACTCTCCCAAGTCCAACAGAGCCAGAGCGAGGCTGTGAGACCCCACCCACCACCTGGGGATGGAGCTTCCCTCCCCACCATCTGCAGGCTGTGCCCCCAGCCCGCCCCCGAGTTCTTCTCTCCTCCATGCTCTGCCTGAGTCCCCTCCTCCAGGAAACCTTCTCTGACCAGTGCAGGCCACAGGGTCCTCATGGAGTTGTGGGGGTACAGCAGACAGGACACTGGGCAGGTGACCATGAGCTAGTGAGAGTGGGAAGGACTCATAAAACTCATTTGAGAGGAGAATTTGAGCTGTGCAAATTTGTATCCATCTATCCATCCACTCATCCATTCATTCATCCATCCATCCATCCACTCTTTCACCTATCCATTCATCTATCCATCCACCCATCCATCCATCCATTCATCCACTCTTTCATCTATCCATTCATCCACACACCAATCCATTCATCTATTCATTCTTCATTCATTCACTCATCCATCATTCATTCATTCATTTACCTATGTATTCATCCATTAATTCATCCTCCCACTTATCCATTTATTGATCAGTCATTTTGTTCATTCATCAATCCACTTCTCCATTCAACAAATAGGGGACAACTGAGACTGAGACCAAGACCAAGTCCTGTCCCTCATTGGGCTTGTTTGTGCTGCAGACAAAGAGTAACCAAAATAATCCACGTTAAAGCATTGGGTGGTGATAAGGGAAGAAAAATCAAGTAGGTGAAGGTCAGCGTGACATGGCAGGGGTGTGAGTGGGGCTCCTTCAGATGCGTGGTCAGCAGCAGAAGGTGTTCGAGCCACAGGGGCTGACTCCTGGGGACGGGGAACAGGTGGAGAGGTGGAGGCCTGGGATGAGCCTGGCAGGAAGAGGAATGCCCATCGAGGAGACTCAGGGGCGGGTGCCTCACGGGGACCGTGGCCAGGCTGGGGTCGGGCGCAGTGCAGCAACACCAGACTGAGGAGGACAACGCCCACACTGGAGACTCGCAGTTGCATCCGGACTTCGTGGGGCTGAAGTGGGTCCTTCTTCCTGCTCCGTCTCGGGGATATGAGGGGCACCCTGGCAGCAGGAGAGCTCCGTATACTAATAGCAGCCCCTATTTAAGAATTCTTGTAGCCAGGCACCCTCATCACCTCCTGTTTCTGAAATAGGCCTATCTTGTCCTCATTGATGTTAGTGACACAAACCCCACCGGAAGAACCTAAGCCCTGAAAGGGGATGAATGGGTGAATCTAGGGGAGGGGCAGAGCGACCTGATTTGAGGTCTGGGTGAACCCAGGGCTCAGGTCACTATCACCAAGGCCTGATCTACCCCGGCTCTGCTTCTTCCTCGTGGACTCCAGTATCCAGCAGGCTCTGTCCACTGGTCCCAGGGGCGCAACCTGTGCCACGCCCCCTCAGGTCACAGGCAGTGAGAAAGGCCAGAGCCTCTCAGCCTGTTTCCTTGCATCTGATTGGCTCTGATGGAGTCACACCCCTATGCCTGAGCCAATCACGTGCTCTGGGACAGCCGTGTGCTGATTGGCTGTGACTCAGTCATGTGATCTGTCCCTGGCCTGGGGATGTCCCCAAACCACGTGGACTGAGGCTGGGTGAAGGGTGATCCTCAGGGGGCTGTCCCAGGCACTGGGGGAATGGCTGCCGAGTGGTGTCCCTGGGAGAGCATCAATTTCCCTGCTTTACAGAGAAGGGAACCGTGCTCAGTGGTGAGGATAGCTCCGGGATCACACAGCACAGCTGTCAGGGTCAGCACTGGGAGTTGGACCTGCCTGGAAGGCCTGGGCTCTGATCGCTGGTTGAACTGTCCTTGGCCTGCCTCTGGCCCTGAGCCACAAGTCAGCTCTGGAGATGCCTGGGTGGCAAAGGCGCGCCCCCTAGACCCTCTCCATTTTACCCACAACCTGACAATGAGCCCAGCACAGGCAAGGACCCGCAGACAGTGCTATAAATCTACCCCTCCATGGTAAACTGCAAAGCAGCCATTAAGTCTTCAGGAAACACATACTGTATGGCAATTAAAATGATGTTCTCCCCCTCCGTTTCAGGGATGAGACATGTGAGGACCAGTGAGAAGTACTCATCTTTTACAATGAATGTCAACAGACTCTTACAAATGAATTCACCCCAGACTACACTGTCAGCTCCTGGGGACAGGTTTAAATCGCCTTCTGTGTCTGTAAGTATCAGCTTGTCCTGGAGTCGACCCCAGATCTGAGGAGCACAAATGCTAGCTTGGAAGCCTGAGGTCTCCGGGCTCCTGCACAGACAGCCGGACAGACAGACACAGCACATCCCTGGGCTCCTGTCCTTCTGCCCCCCACAGTCCTCTCTCAGGGTGGGTGTCTCGTTGCACAGGCAGAAGTGGGGCTTGCTCTTGGCTCCTCCAGGCACCTCTGTCTCCTGACCCACGGCCTGGGGCGGTGGGATAAGATAGGGAGGGGCCTGATGAGTGCAGCACCAGGAGAGACACTCAGCTGGACACACTGCTCCGTCCGTGCTGGGTCTTTAGACAGGTGTCCATTGTGATTGGCCCGTGCTCCATTCTGACTGAAAAATGCTCCAGCCTGATTGGACGGTGCTCCATTGTGATTGGCCCATGCTCCATCCTGATTAGATCATGATCCATTCTTTGTGGTTCCTGATCCATTCTCACTGAGGTATGCTCCATCCTGATTGGCAAATCTTTCATCTTGATTGGCCCCTGCTCCAGTCTGTGTGGTCTGTGGTCAATTCTGATTGGTCCATGCACCATTTAAGTCGGTGCCCTATTTTAATAGTTCAGTGCCCTGGGGAATATGTTCCCAGTTGGAACTTCCCACTGGTTTGGAAATAACTGGGAAATTCTCCCCACCCCATCACCTCTCTGCGGTTCATCCCTAAGATTCCTGCCCAGCATTCTGCACCCTTGAGCACATTCTAGCCCATTCCATTGTCTCTAAGGGAGAAAAGGCTCAGGGAAGGGTTGGAAGCAATTAGGAAAAGGGAACAAGTCTGGGTTTCTTTTAAATCCTGACGTTTTCAGCATTTGCAGATTCCCCAGGGCCAGATGCTTAGCCATCTGCATGGGGCACTTTCTCCTGGAAACGATTTCCTGCCTCCCAAATGGCACAATTCTTGACTGTGCCGAGGGCCATATCACTGCTTCAGGAACAGACGCTCGCTGCTGGCACCCAGAGAGGGAAGGCTGTCTGGTTCTGGAATCTCATTTTCCAATCCTATAATGATATGCAACTGTGTTCACACTACACTCTGCAGCTGAGAGGCCCCTCCCCAGCCTGAGCTCAACTCCCCTCAACCCTTCCCCAGCACAGAGCGACTCTCAGACTCGGGGTTCCCCTGTTCCCACCCCAAAATGTCTCCTCTGCAACCTGGTACAGTGCCAGATCCCAGGGGTGCACCTCCCATCCTCTAGGTAAGCATTGCCCCTCGGAAGCTCTTTTACAATTAAAACCTGCCAGGGAACTCAACCCCGCTCTCAAGGTCACCGAGTGCTCGCATCTGCTTTTTATGGTGCCCCAAGAACCTTTCCCTCCTATTCCACCAAGAGCACACTGGTTTCCCATGGAAATGACCCCCCCCCCAGTTCTCAGATCATGCGTCTGTCCCAGCTCTGGGATGGTTGTTGATGAGGCCTGGCCAATCAGAGCATCTTGATCAGGGCACCTGGTGCTGGATGGACACAACCCCCAGGCAGTGAAAGCCCGAGGGACCCACATCTGGGCTTTGACAGAGGACTGGGAGGATGGATCTCTTCATAAATGTCCCTGAGAGGAGGGGAGTGGGTTTGGCACTGCAGGTGGAGGGGTTGGCCCCACATGGCTGAGCTCAGCCAGGAGAGGAACCAGACAGGCAGCAGAGTCAGAGAGAAGGAGACAGAGAGACAGACACAGAGAGACAGAGAGGTCCTGGTGGCTTCTCCCGGGCCCATCCATCAAGCTGTACCTGCAGATACACAACCCTGGACCCTTCAGTTGGTTTGAGTTGGGTTTTTTGTCTCCTTCTAACAGAGTCCTAAATATGGAGAAGACATCAGAGCGGGAGGTGGAGAGGCTTTGACAAACCTCCAGTTTACAAGCAGCACCTCCAGACTGGAGACTGCTCCCCGTTTCCTCCCAGCACCCACCCACGGAAGCAGCTGGTGCCCATAGCAGGGACGGCTGAGGGATGTGTCCAGGACGCCCTCCCAGGAGGCTCGGTGTTTGGGCTCCTCAGCTCATCCATCAGCACAGACATCCTAGGTCCTCCCCACTGGAGGGACTGGGGTGGAGAAGGGACCACTTCACCCAAGGTCTGAATGAAAAGGCTTCCACAGGTGAGGTGAGGACGGCGGGGGTGAAGGTGAAAGCCTGGACATGACCCAGAAGGGTGGACGTTGGCCTTGACCAACTGGCAGAGCCCCAGGGGATGGAGTGAGATTGATGCCCCCGGGCCTGGCTGGCACAGAGCCAAGGAAAACACCTGCGTCAGAGCTTCCTTCCACCCACCCCCTATGCCCACCCCTTACCTAGCTGTGGAGTCCCCAGAGCTAGAGAGGACCCTCCCTTCCTGCCTACTCTCTAGCAGGGTAACCCCTGCCCAAGACTCGTTTTTACTTCACTGAGAAGTACTTGGCTGGTCCGTTTCCCCTTAGAACTGCAGAGGTCGATGCAGCGGCAGGGGTCACCAGCCCTGTCACCTGGGCAGGGCTTGCAGATAGTGCTTGATGGGTCAAGTCCAGTTCCCAGGTGGAGCTTTAGCCCATGGAATCCTTCAACATCAGAGCACACAGAACCCCCTTAAACCTAATCGATTTTTTTTTGCCAGTGTTCTGTGGTAGAGCTGGGTGTCGTTCACCTAATCTGCCTTCTGCAGATGGAAACTAGGGCAGCTCAATGTGACCCTGAATCTCACAGAGCCAGAGAGGATGTCCTGGAGTCTATTTCTTAGCTCACACAGGTGTATTTTCTGCCGGGTGGATTCCTAGAGGGAAGACGCAAGAGCTGAGCACCATCAATGTCCCCACGTGAGCCCAGGGGCTGGAGAGTCTGTTGCTGGTCATGCACCATGTTCCCCTCAGAGCCCCTCACCACCCTCATCTCTCTCCTCACCACCCTCATCTCTCTCCTCACCACCCTCATCTCTCTCCTCACCACCCTCATCTGTCCCCTCACCACCCTCATCTGTCTCCTCACCACCCTCATCTGTCCCCTCACCACTCTCATCTGTCCCCTCACCACCCTTATCTGTCCACTCACCACTCTCATCTGTCCACTCACCACCCTCATCTGTCTCCTCACCACCCTCATCTCTCTCCTCACCACCCTCATCTCTCTCCTCACCACCCTCATCTCTCTCCTCACCACCCTCATCTCTCTCCTCACCACCCTCATCTGTCCCCTCACCACTCTCATCTGTCCCCTCACCACCCTTATCTGTCCACTCACCACCTTCATCTGTCTCCTCACCACCCTCATCTGTCTCCTCACCACCCTCATCTCTCTCCTCACCACCCTCATCTCTCTCCTCACCACCCTCATCTCTCTCCTCACCACCCTCATCCGTCTCCTCACCACCCTCATCTCTCTTCTCACCACCCTCATCTGTCTCCTCACCACCCTTATCTGTCCACTCACCACTCTCATCTGTCTCCTCACCACCCTTATCTGTCCCCTCACCACTCTTATCTGTCTCCTCACCACCCTTATCTGTCTCCTCACCTTCTCATCCCCAGCCTGGCACCCACTGGGACCTCCAGCTCCTCCACACCCAATTCCCTTTCCCTTCCTCCGCCACTCCCACATTCTTACCTACCCCATGCTGCAAAAGAGACTCAATACATTGATGTGTCCAACTCACAAGATTCTCCCTCTGACTTTGCAACAGGGAGAACCTCTGCCCCAGGTTAGGGCCAGCGTCATCCTTTCAAACACTCTCTTGCATCTGGACTGACTGCCCCCAGTTTTGACAGTACCTCAGTGTGCAGCATCATCCCAGGCCCTGCTTCCCAGGCACCGCCCCATGGGGTGAGCAGCCTCCTGGTCTCTGACTCCCTCCTCCCTCTGACTGCCCCACCCCTGCCCACCCAGACCCATTCAGGAAAGCCAGGGGCTTGTGTTTGAAAATCATTTTCCTCCCACAGGGCCCTGAGCCTGAACCAGGCCTGGTCAGGGGGTCTCTACGCCGCCCCCCGGCCCCACAGCCCCGTACACGGGGAAGGCACACGCGGCTGGGCTCTGATGCAGCTCAGGACCCTGCTCCTCCTTGGAGCCAAGTGGCTGAGAAGAAGCTGCCTCCTGTGTGCCGGACCCTCCCATGGGGAGCACTTGCTGGGTGCCTCTGTGGCCCTGAGACACTGCTGCAGAATGGAGATAAAGTCACTGGCTGGCTGTCCCCGGGCCCACCCGCCTTCCCATGTGTCCACAAAGGATGGCCTCAGGCTGCCTGGGGCTGTGCTGGACGACCCCCATGTGGCCACCCAAGGGCATGTTGGGGTGAAACATATACCCAGGTTACTATCCTGGGCACTCTGGGGTCCTTCGGGGCCTGCTGTGTGGGCTACCCTGGCTGGCGGCCTCTCCTGAGTCTACAGTTGGGAGCTGGCACCAGCTCTAGACTCAGGCTGATCCCTCAGAGGATGACTGTGCAGCCCTCCCCACCCCTCCTGGCACTGGGTTGCCAGCCGCAGGTGGCCTGTGGCTCTGCTGCTCATCACGTGTCCAGCATGGGGTGGGATATGGTCTCCCCTCCTGCAGGGACCCTGATGTTCACACAGGATCCCCAGGAGCCCCTCACTGTGTTCAGCTGAGTCAGCACTCACTCCTACACGGCCTCCCCATCAGGCAAGCAACCCCCCCACCCATGCCCGCCCTCCCTGGTCCTGTCCAGGCCCAGAGGGGGTGATTGTTGCAGGGTGACTGTCTGTCTCCATCTCTTCTTAAGCCGTGTGTGTGTGTGTGTGTGTGCGTGTGTGTGTGTGTGTAGGGGGGGGTTACAATTATGGGAAAAGCCCCGCTGGACCTCCTGTTGCCAAGAGAAAGGTGCCTCTACCTTCAACTTTGTAGAACAGAGTGGGTGTCAGGAGGGTGGCAGCTGAGGCCATGGCCAGGTGCTCCTCAGTGAGTGGATTCCCCAGACAAAGTCTTCACCTCTCACCCTGCCAGCTCCTCCTCACACACCTATTCCTGTTATTTCAGTGAATGGCATCATCCTCCTCCCATCGATCTAGGTGCAGAGCCCTAGAAACAGGGCCCAAGAGGGCCTGGAAGAAATGAGAAGAGGACTCCATGTTCATGGTCAGCCCTTTCCTGCACTTACTACTCACCCACACCTCCAGCCCCTGCTCTCCTGTGGTCCCCTCCTGGGTCTCCCGCGGTCCCTTCCTTGGTCTCCCACGGTCCCTTCCTTGGTCTCCCGTGGTTCCCTCCTGGGTCTCCCGTGGTCCCTTCCTGGGTCTCCCGTGGTTCCCTCCTGCATCTCCTGTGGTCCCCTCCTGCGGGCGGAGTGGCAGCTCCTGGATATTCTCAGACTCACCTCTCAGGTCTGCACACCCTCCCAGCCCCCCTGGTGTTTCTTTCTCATCTGAGCAAATCCCTTTGGCATCAGAGAGAGGCCTGTGGACAGCCCACAGGAAGGCATCTAGGGCAGTGAAGCTCAAAGCACTTCCCTGGTGTGGGGGTGAAGGCTGATGTTTCCAGAGAAGACATGTTTCCACCACACTCTACATGGCTGCCTAGTTCTCTGTCCACACCAGCCTGGCTGTCAGGAAAGGCACATTTGCATGGAAGGGGCTCAGGGTGTGGAAGAAAGGCAGACTCAGGGTGGACTCAGACAGGAGCAGAACCACACGCATCACATGAAAAGCACCATCAGTGGACAGAAACCCTTAGTCAGACTTCACAGCATTAACAGCCCTAGCGTAAAAGAAATTGCTTGGCATGTCTCCTCCCATCTCTGCACATCATGTGTCAGGTGGCCACTCAGATGGCTAATTGACTCCCTTGAGGAGCAGAGGCTGGGTCCAGGCAGGAACAGTGGTTCTGGTGTGATAATGTGACAATTAAACAAAGTGGCATCTGATTAAGTGACCACATCGATTCTCTTAACATGGAAGGACAGTAGCTCTTAGACCAGGTGGCATAAATCTCACTTTCTTTTCCAGGCTCCCTCCAGTGGAAATGTCAAGGTAAGAAATAGGCCAGCGACAAACATGGACAGATACATCCTAGCCCTAATATACTCACCAAGCTCCCTCTAATGCTGGCCAGGTACTATGCATTCATCAATCTGTCCATATTCCAGCGTTTGATGAAGTCTCCAGGGAAATAGCTGGTGCTGTCAGGTGATGAGCAGATGCAACCAGAGATGGATGACGGGGTCATTAAGAAACAGAGGAGCAAATGGGCAGACAGAAAAATGGAGAATTGGTGAAAACGGGGATGGGTGTGCAATGGATGACTGGATAATTGCAGGACAAATGGTATAATTGGTTAAAATCCAGATGATTGGTTAAAACGGGGGGGATGGGTGTACAAATGGATGAGAAGGTAGATGGATGATGGATGGACAGATGGAAGGATGGATGGATGGATGGAAGGAAGAAGGATGTATAGTAACCTGAGTATATGTTCAGATAAGTGAATGGGGAGATGGATGGATGGATGGATGAATGGAAGGGAGACGAATGGATAGTAAGCTGGGTATATGTTCAGATAAATGGATGGGCAGATGGATGGATGGATGGATGGATGGATGGATGGATGGAAGGAAGAAGGATGTATAGTAACCTGAGTATATGTTCAGATAAGTGAATGGGGAGATGGATGGGTGGATGGATGGATGGATGGATGGATGGATGGAAGAGAGAGAAAGATACATAGCAACCTGGGTATATGTTCAGATAAGTGGATGGACAGATGGATGGATGGATGGACAGATGGAAGGATGCATGGATGGAAGAAAGAAGGATGTATAGCAACCTGGGTATATGTTCAGATAAGTGAATGCAGAGATGGATGGATGGATGGATGGAAGGAAGAGAGAAGAATGGATAGTACCCTTGGCATATGTTCAGATAAGTGGATGAACAGATGGACAGATGGATGGATGGATGGATGGATGCATGGAAGAGAGAAGAATGGATAGTAAGCTGGGTATATGTTCAGATAAGTGGATGGACAGACAGATGAACAGATGGATGGATGGTGGATGGGTTAGTGAGAAGGTAGGTGGCCATACACACAAATGACAACTTTGAGAGCACATGTTTGACTTAAATCTTAGGGTCATCACGTTCCCAGGAGACAAGCAGGTGGTGCGTTACTCCTCACCTTCTGTTCCCAGCAGCCCAAACTTCCTGTTTCCACCACTTTCCCTAATCAATTCAGACACTCAGGGAATGAGGGGGTCAAAATCTGAGTCAGCAGGAGGTCAGCCAACCTGGCCAGCGGTATGGATGCCCGAGGCAGCCCACTTGTGGGTGGTGACTTGAACCTACACAGGCCATGGGGTAGGAATTTGGGCAGTTACGTGGATAATTGGGATAAAAACAACTCCACTCAAGAACCCGGAGGACTCGGGCCTCATGGGCTCTGGTGGGACATGATCCTCAGTTCACTCCCCTCCCCATCCCTGTGCAGGTCCTGACCCAGGGAGCCCCTCCCATGCAGAGGGCAACGCTGAGCCGGCCCTGGGTACAGATAGGTCTAATCATCCCTGTCTTCCCCCCCAGGGGAACCACAGCCCATCTTTCCTCCAACACAAACCAACCACATCCCTGGATGGAACTCAGACAAACCACTTTCTATTGACTTCAATTTGCATTTTAAATAGGCTAAATGGCTCTGGAAAGAAAGCAGAAGTTCATTAGTGTTGTGAAATGCCATTTCCATCAACTCCTTGCATGGGAATCCTAATTACAGCTCCCTGGGGAGCAGTGGCAGGACCCAGGCCCACCGAGCCAGCAGCTGGAGCAGAAGTGAGCGGAGAGCAGCCTTGGCTTCCTGGGCCCTGGCTGGGAGAGCGGGGCTGCCTGGGAAAAGGAGCCCCCTCCTCCAACTCAGAGGCCCCTGGACCCTGACCTTGGCCGGCCAGCGGCCTGACCAGCAGCCGTGTCAGCAGCATTGCCCCGGGAGCAGGGGCTCTCAGTCCTGGTGCGCTCTGGAACCCAAGGAGCCTGAGACAATCTTGTGCCTGGAGACCCCCCCACCAAGAGATGCAGGTGGGTGTGGGAGTCAGCACAGACCCCAGGGGTAACTATGCCTGGAGACCCCCCCCAGAGATGCAGGTGGGCGTGGGAGTCAGCACAGACCCCAGGGGTAACTATGCCTGGAGATCACCCCAGAGATGCAGGTGGGCGTGGGAGTCAGCACAGACCCCAGGGGTAACTATGCCTGGAGACCCCCCCAAGAGATGCAGGTGGGTGTGGGAGTCAGCACAGACCCCAGGGGTAACTATGCCTGGAGACCACCCCCAGAGATGCAGGTGGGCGTGGGAATCAGCACAGACCCCAGGGGTAACTATGTGGGGCTGATTGGTGACCGCTTTCCCAGGCACCTTCTGCCTCCCCCACAGAGGCCCACACCTCCCCCCACAGACAGAACCCATCCCCACCCGTGCACTGAGCGCCAGGGAGACAAAGCCCCATCCACCCGCAGTGCATTCATTCATGGAGGAATAAATGTGTGTTGGCTGGAGAAGGCTTTTATATTACTCACTAAAATTTTCAACGCATCTATCCACAAAGACAACACATCAGGAAAGGATCATGTTTTCAACAGATGAGGCTGTAGCCATTGCAGGTCCGCAAGCAAAACAGTGAGCTCCACCTACACCTCCCGCCTCACACAAAAACTACCTCAGCATGTATCGGGGACCTACGTGTAAAACGTAAAATTATAAACATTTTAGAAGCAACATTGGAGAAAGCTTTGTGACTTTGGGTTAGGCAATGACAAAAGCACAATTCTTAAAAAAAAAATCTATAAACTTGACTTCATCAAAATTAAACCCTTTTGCTCTGCAGAAGACAGAGTTTAGAGAATGATCAGACCAGCCACCGGCTGGCAAGGAATATTTGCAATTCATATATCTGACCAAAGTCCTGTATCTGGAATATGTAAATAACTCTGAAAGCTCAACCGTAACAAAGCAAAGGACACAATATTTTTTAAATGAGGAAAAATGTACACAGACATTTTCCCAAATAAAATATACGAGTGACAGATAAGCCCATAAAACAATGGACAATGTCGAGAATTATTAAGAAAATGCAAATTAAAGTCATGATGAGGTCACAGCACACACCTATTGGGATGCGAAAATTAACAAAAAAAGGAAAGCAAAGAAAGAAGGAAATGACAGCAGGTGCTGCTGAGGCTGCCGAGCAAGCTGCGCTCACAGTGGACGGTGCAGCCACTTCATTATGGAAACAGGGTGGCTGCTGCTCCAGCTAAACACTCCACACACTCAGCATGTGAGTCCGCAGCCCCACCCCAGGGACCCACTCACGTGGAGTGAAAACCTACCTCCACACAAAAAAATGTAGGTTAAAGTTCCTAGTGGCTTTATTTGTAATTGCAAAAACCGGAAACAACGCAAACACCCCCATCAGTGAGCACAGAACGAGCCGCCATGCATAGGTGCAGTGGACGCCGCTCAGCAGGGAGACGGGCAGGGCAGGCCGTGGGTGCGCACAGCCGCCCGGGCGACTCTCCATGACCCGCGCTGAGGGCCGGGAGCCCACCCAGAAGGCTCCCACTGCGTGAGCCCATTTATGGGACGCTCTGGATGTCAGAGAAGAGGCCTGTGGTTTACAAGTGTTAGGGTGGAGGGGAGGGGTGAGTACAAGAGGAAGTGTGGAGGGATGTGTGGGTGATGGGGCTGTTCATCTGTCTGTCCATCCACTTATCTGAACATATACCCAGCTTACTATCCATTCTTCTTTCTTCCATGCATCCATCCATCCATCCATCCATCCATCTGTCCATCTGTTCATCCACTTATCTGAACATATGCCAAGGGTACTATCCATTCTTCTCTCTTTCATCCATCCATCCATCTCCCCATTCATTTATCTGAACATATACCCAGGTTGCTATACAGCCTTCTTTAATCCATCCATCCATCCATCCATCCATCCTTCCATCCATCCATCCATCCATCTGTCCATCTGTTCATCCACTTATCTGAACATATGCCAAGGGTACTATCCATTCTTCTCTCTTTCATCCATCCATCCATCTCCCCATTCATTTATCTGAACATATACCCAGGTTGCTATACAGCCGTCTTTCATCCATCCATCCATCCATCCATCCATCCATCCATCCATCCATCTTTCCATCCATCCATCCATCCATCCATCCATCCATCCATTCATCCATCCATCCTTCCACCCATCCACCTATTAATCCATTCTTCCATCCTTCCACTCATCCATCCGTTCATCCATCCTTCCACCCACCTACGCATTCATCCATTGTTCCATCCTTCCACCCATCCACCCCTTGTCCCCCATCCATTCATCCATCCTTCCACACATCCACCCACCTACCCATTCTTTCATCTAGTTCACTGAGCACATGCTGTGGGCCAGACTGCATGCTGAAGCTGGGGATAGAGCCATTAGGAAGAAAAACAAGGTCCCTGAATTCCTGGACTTAGCTCTGAGTCAGGGAAACAGAGTAGCCACATACCCTTCCTTTTACTTAAAAAAAATCAATTCCTCATGGAGAAAACCATATTGCAATAATAACACACACCTAAAATTTAAAAAATTCCCGTAGTCTGAGCAGATATGTAATTTCTTCTTCTTCTTCTTTTTTTCCTTGAGACAGAGTCTCGCTCTGTCACCCAGGCTGGAGTGCAGTGTTGTTATCTTGGCTTGCTGCAACCTCTGCCTTCCAGGTTCAAGCAATTCTCCTGCCCCAGGCTCCCAAGTAGCTGGGATTACAGGCGTGCGCCACCACACCTGGCTAATTTTTGTACTTTAAGTAGAAACGAGGTTTCACCATGTTGGCCAGGCTGGTCTCGAGCTCCTGACCTCAAGTGAGCCACCCGCCTCGGCCTCCCAAAGTGCTGGGATTACAGGCGTGAGCCATCGCACCTGGCCTCAGATCTGCAATTTCATTTGTCCATATTATTTTGTGATATTTGTCCACAGGACCATTTACTTTGTAACAAGTTTGTACCATTATCATAAATACAAACAGATGGTCCGATGGGTCAACACAGGAGTTTTTGACTTTATGATGATGTGAAAATGATCTGCTTTCAGTAGGAACCCTACTTTGATTATCTATACAGCCATTCTTTCACTTACAGTGCAGTGTTCAATAAATTACAGGAGATGCTCAACACTGTATTATCAAATACGCTTTCTGTGAGATGATTTTGCCCAACAGTGGGCTAACGTCATGTTCTGAGCATGTTTAAGGTAGGCCAGGCAAAGCTATGCTGTTCCATAGGTTTGGTGCATTGATGCATTTTGACTTAGGACATTTTCAATTTAGGAGGCGTCCTCGTGACACAGCCCCACTGTAAGCCGAGAAGCATCTGGATTGTAGTTGACGTCTTCACTTCTCATTGCAGCCCTGCCCCACTGTAAGTCGAGGAGCATCTGGACTGTAGTTGACGTCTTCACTTCTCTTTGCACCCCTTGTGTGTCCGGCACAGGCTCCCAGGGCCGGGAATTCTACTCACCCTGCGCGGCAGCTGCAGAAATCCCACAGTGCCCAGGGACCACCGTGTCTCGGCTGCCCTCCCACGGGTGACATCTGGGTCACTATTCCCAGTTCTCAGCCACCATACACAGCACAGCCACAAACACACGTGTGGGCATGTCCTTGCGTGTTTGTGGCTCTTTCCATATGATATAAGAATTAACTTCAAGGCCCCCATTCTGATAAGTTCCTCAGTCGGTACAGGACACCCATCCTAGGCTGACCTCAGGAGACTCCTCTGAGGAAGTGATGTGTGGAGAAACCTGGGGAGAGCGGAGGAGCCGGCTCAGGAAGCTTCCAGACCCGGTGAGCTGCAGGTGCCCAGTCCCTGGGCCTGGCAGGAGCGTGGCGTGGGGAGAACAGAGAGGAGGTGAGCAGGGAGGCCCCATGAGTCGGGGTGTGGCAGGGCCCTGGGGTTTATGATAGAGCTCATGGGGTCTCTAAATGCGGGGAGAAGCCGTGTGAGGGCTGCACACAGAGGTGGCCGCACAGAATGGGTCGGCACAGGCCCCTGACTGAGCGCTAGAGAAGGGGGCAGAGGGAGGGTGGGTCTGGAAGCCTTGCAGGAAGGAGGTGGAGCTGTGAAGACGGGGCAACGAGGATGGTGTCAGGTGCCTTCAGGACACAGGATCTGCGGCTCGGTGACTGTTGGATGGGGAGAGGAGACGGGCGTCCAGCACGTCCCAGGTTTCTAGTGTCAGCGTTGGGAGGCTGCAGGCAGGATACTGGAAAAGTAAAGCATTCCAGGAGGGTCATGAGTACAGCTGGGACTCGAAGAGGCTGAGGTCCTTTGAGATGACCCAGGAGCTGTCGACAAGGCAGGGCCAGGGCCAGGGCCAAGGCCAGGGTGGAGATCAAGGGGTGTCAGCAGAGGGGCAGGGGCCACACTGGGGGGCTTCCCAGGGAGCAGGGTCCCGGGATCAGCAGGTCACCCTAGGAGGCCTTGTTGAGTCTAGCCTTCAGGGAAGCTGTTTCTGCGATGCCCCAGGCACCTCTCAGCATCGCACAGGGCAGGGCTGTCCTTGAGTTCTAAGTCCTGGGACCTGGTGTTCAAATTCAATGGACTCAGATGCCCCACAGAGCCCATGTGCCCAGCCACGGAGGACGTGGGGTCTCTGACCACAAATGGGGCACGGCCAAAGGGCACCCGGCTCCCCCTCAGCCTGTCACAGCATGAGGTTGGGGGTAGAGTGGTCCTGCAGCCCTCAGCCCCACCCCGCTGGTGTGGAGTTGGGAGGGCACAGGAATGGGAGGGCCCAAGGGCTGAGGACCAGCAGGTGCAGAGTGAGGAGGGGCTGAGGCGTCCAGGATAGAGGGAGGCCGGGCTGAAGGGCGGCTGGGGGTGGAGAGAGGCCAGCTCCTCACACGTCCGCCCCCCAGGTGTTTGAGGCGCGTTCGGTATCCATCTTGGCGGACCTTATTCTGTGGCCATGGTTCTGGGAGGATGGAATCCTGAGGTCCGGTGTGCGGGGCCCCGAACAAAAGCCCCACGGTGTTCGGGGCCAGGCTGGGTGTGGGATGAGCACAGGAAACGGGGGCACAGTTGCGGAGGGAGCCCAAGGAGACCATGGACTTGGCAGGAAAATCCCAGGCAGGGCCCAGGCAGGGCCCCTGAGTCTGCGGGACCCCGAGGCGGGCGCTCCCTCAGGGACCACCCAGGGCATCAGCATGGCCGCCTAAAGTCCTAAAAATACCTGCCTGAAAGGAGCCTGCAGTCAGCTCCCTGGTCTCCCTTCCCTGTTATGACTTCCCAGCTCCTGTTTTTCCCAGGAAGGACAACCCCCCCCATCCCGAATCCCCCAGAGGCACGTCCTGGGAGGGGGCGCAGAGACCGCAGGGCGCCCTCCAAATGAGACTCCTGAAATTTCCCAATCCATTTCCACAAGGTGTACTTTCCTTTAAAATAACTCTAAAAATTTGAATATATTAATCACATAAATAAATAACACACACCATATTACATATCCCATATGTCAATATTTACACATGCATTATGTAAATCGATTTATGCCGTATATTTATATAGATGTAAGCATGTATATGCGATGGAAATGTACACATGACATAATATAAATATTTGATTCCTCATGTTGTTTGGAAGAATTGCCTGTTACTAAAAATGGGACCATAACTGGATCCAGAAAAGTATTTTAACACTTGGAGCTCTTTAGACACAAGAATTACGTTGCTATTTAAATTTCAAACACGTTTTTTGTTGTGGGGAATGTAATCTGGCAATTAGTAAATACTTCCAAGCATTGAGTACTCACTCCATGGAGAAACGGGATGCAGTGAACTGTGAATTGGAGTAGAAAGGATGCTGTGGTTTTCCCTCTGTACATTTAAGTGTGGATGGGGAGAAGGGAGTGGCTGTGGTCTCGGGTGGATGGGGTGAGGGGAGTGGCTGTGGTCTCGGGTGGATGGTGAGAGGGGAGTGGCTGTGGTCTCGGGTGGATGGTGAGAGGGGAGTGGCTGTGGTCTCGGGTGGATGGGGAGAGGGGAGTGGCTGTGGTCTCGGGTGGATGGGGAGAGGGGAGTGGCTGTGGTCTCGGGTGGATGGGGAGAAGGGAGTGGCTGTGGTCTCGGGTGGATGGGGAGAGGGGAGTGGCTGTGGTCTCGGGTGGATGGGGAGAAGGGAGTGGCTGTGGTCTCGGGCGGATGGGGAGAGGGGAGTGGCTGTGGTCTCGGGCGGATGGGGAGAGGGGAGTGGCTGTGGTCTCGGGCGGATGGGGAGAGGGGAGTGGCTGTGGTCTAGGGCGGATGGGGAGAAGAGAGTGGCTGTGGTCTCGGGTGGATGGGGAGAGGGGAGTGGCTGTGGTCTTGGGTGGATGGTGAGAAGGGAGTGGCTGTGGTCTCGGGCGGATGGGGAGAGGGGAGTGGCTGTGGTCTCGGGCGGATGGGGAGAAGAGAGTGGCTGTGGTCTCTGGTGGATGGTGAGAGGGGAGTGGCTGTGGTCTCGGGCGGATGGTGAGAGGGGAGTGGCTGTGGTCTCGGGCGGATGGTGAGAGGGGAGTGGCTGTGGTCTCGGGCGGATGGTGAGAGGGGAGTGGCTGTGGTCTCTGGTGGATGGGGAGAGGGGAGTGGCTGTGGTCTCGGGCGGATGGGGAGAGGGGAGTGGCTGTGGTCTCGGGCGGATGGGGAGAGGGGAGTGGCTGTGGTCTCGGGTGGATGGGGAGAGGGGAGTGGCTGTGGTCTCGGGTGGATGGGGAGAAGGGAGTGGCTGTGGTCTCGGGTGGATGGGGAGAAGGGAGTGGCTGTGGTCTCGGGCGGATGGGGAGAGGGGAGTGGCTGTGGTCTCGGGCGGATGGGGAGAGGGGAGTGGCTGTGGTCTCGGGTGGATGGGGAGAGGGGAGTGGCTGTGGTCTCGGGTGGATGGGGAGAGGGGAGTGGCTGTGGTCTCGGGTGGATGGGGAGAGGGGAGTGGCTGTGGTCTCGGGTGGATGGGGAGAGGGGAGTGGCTGTGGTCTCGGGTGGATGGGGAGAGGGGAGTGGCTGTGGTCTCGGGTGGATGGGGAGAGGGGAGTGGCTGTGGTCTCGGGTGGATGGGGAGAGGGGAGTGGCTGTGGTCTCGGGTGGATGGGGAGAAGAGAGTGGCTGTGGTCTCGGGCGGATGGTGAGAGGGGAGTGGCTGTGGTCTCGGGTGGATGGGGAGAGGGGAGTGGCTGTGGTCTCGGCGTTACTGGAGACACTGAGGATGGGGCAGTTTCTAAAATATCAATGTTCATAATACATGGGGAATTACATTTCTGCAACCATGTCCTTATATTTTAAATGAAAGTACTTGATGTGAACAAGTGAGGAGATAAGAGTGAGGGGGTGGCGAGTTCGTGGAAATGGTTTAAAGCCCACCAGCATGGAGGTGGTGGGGGTGCCTCCAAGCACAGGTGGCAAATCCCGCAAGACAGGAGCAGCAGTTAAGGGGGCCGTGGGTGAAGTTGGGGGGCGGCTGATTACGGAGGAGCTTGTGGTGGGTGGGATCCTGTCCTAGCCCAGACCCAGGGTCTCGGGAGGATGAAGGACAGCAGATGTGGGGGGTGGGGCCGCTCCCGCAGGTCTGGACAGATCCAGGCTGCCAGGGCTGAGTCGGCCAAGGCTGTGGGGGCCCCTGTGTTACTGAAACCAAAGACGATTCTACCTCCCCAAGGAAGGTACAGGAGCCCAATGGAGTTCGAATCTTCCCTGAGCACCACACTCTTTAGAAAGCCCAAACACAAATTCTCTCCCTATTTTAAAAACTTCTTCCACTTTCGGTCCCCTAAACACGTCCTTAGCCTACCTTCTGGGGACTTTTCCACAGCGTGTTAAAGGTTTGGGACTTTCAGGACAGTGGGAAGACATCGCAAGCTGCGTAACAGAGGAGTGGCTATTCACCTGTTGTACCTTAGAGAAAACGCCACACTTTGAGACGAATTAAGAGTCCGTTTATTTAGCCGGTGGTCAAGAGACGGCTAACGCTCAAAGTTCTCTTGGCCCCGAAGAAGGGGCTAGATTTTCTTTTATACTTTGGTTTAGAAAGTGGAAGGGGGTCTAGCTAAAACAATTTTACAGAAATAAAGTAGGCAAAAAAGTTAAATGGATAAATGGTTACAGGAAAGTAAACAGTTCCAGGTGCAGGGGCTTTAAGACTATTACAAGGTGATAGACGCGGGGCTTTGGGCGTTATCAATCGGGTGAATTCCTGGGAACTGTGGATATTGCTCGCCACAGTATCTTATCAGTTAATTGCATTCTTGGATGTGCTGGGAGTCAGCTTGCACAAGTTAAGTCCTTGAGGAAGGGACTGCCAGTGAAAGAGCCAAGATGGAGTCTGTCTGGCTCTCTTAGCCAAGGGAGAGTCTAAGAACAGGGTTAGTAAAAACAAGGTTGGGCATTACACACCCATAGAGTCATTTCCTGGACATTTGTGAGGCTTAGGATGTGCCAGGCCTGGGGCCAAACACCTGCTGCACTCTCTCCTGAAGCCGACAGAGACCCTAGACAGCAGGTGCTGTCCTCAGCCCCTTTCTCCAGATGAGAAAACCAAGGCGTGGACCTGCCCGAGGCCCCAGCCAGCACCTCAGCGGGGCTCCTGGGTCCTGGAGTCCTGGGTCCCGGCCAGGCGAGCCCAGAGCTCTGCTCTGAGCAGACACAGCCTGCTGCTTTTCCAGGGTTCTGGAGTTAGAAAACAATGGACACACGCTGTGAAAGCTGCTCAGCCCTTTGTCTTTGAAATGGCACCGATGTGGCCGGTTCTGGGAGTTCCTGGGGGAAACAAAGTAACTTAATCTTCCAGAGACTCAGTGAAACCTGAAATAGCTCTGGTCTCTCCACGAAGTTGGACAACTTCCATCCAATTAATTACCAGAACAAAACACAGAATCAGAAAACATCTTGGATTGCAAGAGTCGTTGGCAATACAATTTAACTCTTTCCACCTCTGGAATTAGAAATCCCATTAACAGCCTTTTAAGTTTGAAACAGCTGATTCCAGCTGAGCCTCATTAACTAGCAGCACCCGCTGGCTGTCTCTTCTCGGGGCTCCTAGGGAGAAGCACAGTCACTCAGAAAATGAGGCCAGGGTGATGAGTGACACAAATGGGCCCACAGCCTGGGACACAGGGGACATGTCCACATCCTGTGAGAGCAAGGCACACCCAGCTGTCTTCCCATGGGCATCTATGAGCCCCTCTGTGCACTGGGCTTCCTGGCACTACCCTCCCTGTGGAACCTGGCCGGCTGCCAGGAGAAGCTCAGTGGGCATCATGGGTGCTGGGCAGGGCCTCCCATCTGCCAGAGGCTTTTATGAGCCCTGGGTGACAGCAGCCTGGGAGTCCTGGAGGGGACAGCTGAGGGGATGTCTCTGCTGCAGGCCACACCCCTGGCTTATCTGGGAGTCCCCTGCTCCCTCGCTCTGTCCACATGGTCTGGTCTGGGTGGGGCTGACTCCACCCCCAGGTCAGGTGTGCTCCTGTGACCCAGACCTGTGAGAGGAGAACATTCCATTCTCATGGCCTGGGCAATGGGTTCCGGGGTGGGCACTTGGCTGTGACCCAGACCTGTGAGAGGAGAGCATTCCATTCTCATGGCCTGGGCGATGGGTTCAGGAGTGGGCACTTGGCTGGACCTGCTTGGAGAAGTCAGTCGGCTTCAGTGGACTTAGCCCCAAGGAGATGCTGGCCTGGGAGGGCCCTGGACACAGGAAATCAGAGCCCTGAGGTCATGCCTGAGCTGCAGGATCACGCTGTGCCTGAAGCTGTCCCGGCCTGAGGATTTCAATGCATTTCCTCTGGTGCCTGGGCTGGTCTGGGGCTTCTCTCACCCCCAGAGTCCTGACTCCTGAGCGCCCCCTGTGGCCTGTGCAGAAGAGGGTGGTTGTGGACACTCTCCCACCCAGTGCAGCCGCCTGTGGCCACCCTGAGGACAGTGACATGGTGCTGAATTCACCTCCTGTGTGATGTTGGGACCCTGCTCCCCAATGGGGGCCTCACCCCCAAAAATGTCTCTGGAGTCTTTGGGGTGCTGCTGTTGACACATGAGATCAGTCCTGCCATCTGATCTGGCACTGCTGCTGGCACTGCTGCTGGCCCTGCTGCTGGTCAGTCAGCTCCTGGCCACCGTGCTGGGGTCTGAGCCCCATGGACATCCCGGGGTCCTCAGCCCAGACCCAGGAGGGACACAGGGAGTAGAGTGGGGTGATGCCCCCGTCACCTCCCGAGGCCCCGGGAGTGAGTGCCGGGACCCTCTGTCCTAACCCTCTGCCTCCCTGGGTGTTAACCCACCTGGGCAAAAGTGCGTGGTTCAATGCCAAGGCCAGGGCCATGGGCCCTGCGTTTCCCTGCAGAGTCCCTGGGCTTCTTGGCCCATCACAGGCTTGAGGATCAGCACCTGCAGCCCGTGGTGGTTGTTTTCTCATCTGTAAATGCGGATTTGGGCTTTAGAGCTGACTCTTTGTCACCGAGAGCACAGCCTGTCTTCTCTGTTCCTTTCCTTTGTGACTCAGAGGCCCTCTGCGCCTTGGTGGGAGGAAGAGGAATCATCCTTGTTGCTGACCCCCTGCGACGGTGCTGGCTGGACGGGGTGTGCATCGTGCCAGGAGCTGGTCCCTCATTCATCCTCACAGCAGCCCTCCCGGGCTCGCCCGCCGTGACTTTCACTCCCATTTCACAGACGAGGACCCTGAGGTCCAGGGAGGCTGAGTGGGCTGCCCTCCCCAGCTGGAGCCTGGAGGGGATTTGAACTCGGGCCTCAGGGCAGAGCCTGTCGCTGTCTGGGCTGGGCTGAGCTGACTCCCCAGGGCCGTCAGCTCCACTGCATCCTGACCACCTGGGAACTGTGGTCAGCACTTTCCAGGCTCAAAGGCATGGCTGCTTACAGCGTGCCCGAGGGTAGGTGCCATCGTCCTCACCCTGTGCACTCACTGTGCCCGTCTTTGCTGGGTGAGGGCCCTGTCGGGTCCTACTCTGGGCACTGAGGTACAGAGGGCGGCCCTCCTGCCCTGCCCCGGGAGGGTGCTGGTCTCCACCAGGACACAGAGGGAGGTGGGCGAGGCCACAGCCCAGAGAGGGAGGGCAAGGTGGCGGGGGTGGGGGGTAGAGGGGTAGGACTGACGGTGGCAGTGATAGCAGTGAACCCCGGGTGAGGAGAGGCATGGACTCCCCTGCATATCAATGGGGAGCCACAGAAGCTTGTAGAGGAAGGTCATTCTGCCCCGGGTCCCCCAGGGAGCTGGGGCCTCAGCTGTCTACCCTAACAGCTGGGCCTTCTGGCCCCTCCTACCCTGAGAAGTGTGGCCTCTGTTTTTGGTGAGGTCACAGCTGCAGGGAGGGCCAGGGGGCCGGATGCCTCAGACTGCAAACAGCTTCGCCCAATACCCCCTGTTGCGGGGCAGAGGCTGGAGCTAGAAATAGCCCCGCAGTGACCCCCACCCCAGCCACACAGGGCAGGCCTCCTGACCACAGGTCCTGGGCCACCCCTTCCTGCTCACGTGGGAGGGAACCCTGGGCTGGGGGAGGCTGTTCCCCAAACAAGGCCACCTTGTGTAGCTCTCTGAGGGCCTTTTATAATCTCCTTCCCTCCCCCAGGACAGCCCAGCTGCAGCCCCTCCTCACCAGCGACCCCTGGGCCCTTTGCCTCGGGGCCAGGCAAGCGGAGAGCAGAGAGCAGTGTGTGAGGAGGGAAAAAAGCCGGACTACAGGGACCCCAGCCACCCGCCAGCCCCTACCCTGCAGCCTCTCCTGCCAGAGGCCGAGGCTCCTGAGCTGCCCCGTGCAGGGAGTGTGGCCAGGCGAGGCTCCGTGGAGTGCAGGAGCTGCGGCAGCAGGAGAGCCAGGAGGAGGCTGTGGCTCTTGCCCAGGCAAGCAGACATGCCAGCTGTACGCAGTCCTGGGCCACGTATCGTGTGTGGTCTTAGGAAATGTGAGTGTACACTTGGTGCGTGCCTGTGTGTGCCCATGTGCATGTGTGTGTACACAGCCTCAGCCCACATATCATGTGTGTGAATTCAGGAAACGTGTGCGTGTGAGTGCATGTGTGTACATGCGCGTAGGTGTGCATGTGCCTGTGTGTGTTCTCATGTACACAGCAGAGCTGTGGGTCTCAGCCCCCGCTGCAGGCTGGAACCCCCTGGGGGTGTGGTGGATCTGGAACTTGGGAAGCAGCCCGGCAGCGTCGCCCAGAGCTGAAGATCCACTTACCCCGACCCAGCAGTTCCACTCCGGGGTGTCTGCACCACAGACAGGGGCATGTGTGTTCACCAGAAAGTGCTCTTAGCGGCACCGTTCGTGAGCGCCAGCCTGGAAATTGCTGCAATGCGCGTTAATCGTGCAGTGGGCACGTGAGCGGGAATGGCCATGCTGGGCCTCCCTGTCCAGGGGAGCCCTGACCCCCTCTCCCCTGCCCCGGGGAGAGGCTGAGGAGCAGTTTCCAGGCCTGGGAGGGATCTGGCCATCCTGGGAGTGACTGGGGAGGATGGAGAGTGCTGGCTCAGCCCACAGTGACTGCACAGCTCTCCCCGCCGCCTCCTCCTCCAGGAACAACAAGGGCCCTTGTGTCCGCCTCCCCCAGGGACAGTGCCCCAGTGAGGAACAGAGCCTGGCCTGGGAGGTGGCCCCAGGGCAGGCCTGGGTCCCAGCGGTTAAGTCTGGCCTCAGCCCTGGGGCTCTGGGCGGGGCTGCAGTGAGGGGATGGCGCTCTCGGTGCACCAGACTGGAACTTCTGCCCCCTCCCCGGATAGCCAGCTCTGCCACCCGCTGAAAAGGGTCCCTGGGCTGTGGACAGGCACCGTATCATGCTCTGCTATGTGGTCCTGAGGGGGACAACAGATGTCCCTAGGGTCCGTCCAGGACTCACCTGCCTGTCTCTGTATTTCTCTGCCAGGTCACCCCTACTTGGTGCACGTGATTCACAGGTGGGAAGCCACGCCTCCCAATCAGCATATTTCATACTGTGGTCCTGGGATTGGCTCAGGCATGGCCATGTGACCCAAGCTGGTCCAATGAGAATGTGCCCGGGACTTTTTCTGAAACCCCTGGGGAAGGGAGGCTTTGCCTCGCAGTTGCTCAGTTAAGAGGAGCTCTCTGAGGGCCATTTCCAGGCCGCCTTCCCCCATCAGGGACACAGGCAAAGTGCAAGAGCCCTGAGGATTTCCAGGGCTACAAAAATGTTTTAATTTCTTTTAAAATTAGAAGAAAATATGAGCTCTTAGGTCAAAGAAATATTAACCTATTCATCTTTGTACCAGTTGTAAAATAGAAGCTTAAAGGTGATTTTATGGAGGAAGGAGCCCACGAATGCAAAAGGGCCCAGGGCCCATGGAAGCCGCGTGCAGCCCTGTCTCTGCCGCCGCACAGGAGGGGGCCTGAGATGAGGATGGTGAGCTGACGGCCAGGGCCGGGTGAGGGTGACGCCCGGGCGGTGCCAGCCATCCACAAAGTCCTGCTGTGTGTGTACTGGCGTGGGCAACCTCATCAGAGCCCCACGGCACCTCACCATGATCGTTTCACAGACGGGGAGAGCGGGACCCAGAAAGGTTAAGCAATGCCACCAAAGCCACACTGCTTGAAAGTGGGAGAGCTGGGTCTTGAACATTGA